>NT_187660.1:0-325986 GCF_000001405.40 Homo sapiens | reverse complement strand
GAATTCCAGATTTGCCATTAATGGAAGTGGAAGCACTTTACAATTTACTTTTTGCCTTGTATTTATAAAAGCATTTTTAATAAGAATGGTTTTTGTGAGTGCTGTTATTGAACTTTTCCCACAGCTTATTTTGTTTTCTTTGGAAATATATTAATCTGCTGTTGTTCCCTGGGAGGTTTTAGTAGAATAAATCATAGCATTATGTGGACTTCATCTCATAAATTGGTGTAACTATATCTTGACTAGGGAAACCATTTGTGGCATTTATTAACTCCTTTCAGTTTGAAACTTTCTATTTTTCTTTAAGAAGCTCCTTACTATGTAATATTCTTGATCATGATGTTTCTCCCCAGTTCAGCAAGGGTTAATTCTCTTTTTGACTATCACGAAATAGGTCAGTCTGCGGTATTTTGTGGCCGTTCTGGAAAACAGCTGAAGCGTTGCCACAGCAGCCAGCCAGGCATGCTGCTGGACAGCTGGTCCCGCATGGTGAAGAGCCTGAATGTGTCGTCCTCCGTGAACCAGGCATCCCGTCTCATTGACGGCAGCGAGCCCTGCTGGCAGTCATCGGGGTCGCAAGGAAAGGTAGCATCTAATAGGGCACAGCAGCGGGCACTTTCACACCGATGGTTTTGCCTTGTACATTTTCAAAATGAACTTTGAGCAGCCTGCAAAGTTTTGCTGATAGCACCTGTCAGTACTCACGTTATGTTTTAATTTATAAGTTATTTCAAAGTTAGAGTTATATACCATCCAATTTTATTGTCAGAGATTTTAAACAATACGAGTAATAGATTTTATCTAACTGACCACTTGATAGAGGATGTGGTCAGGCTTTTTTTCCTCCTCTCCTGCATAGAATGTATGAATTCAGATTTGCTTCTGGTTAGAAGTTTTTCTAGTATAGTCTAGCAAATTTGTGTTGCACATTGGAGTGCTGTTGTGATTACACCAACGCGTGGAGGCACCTCGTGGGCACACAGGTCAGACTTTAGGACAGGGCCTTTCTCCATCTCGACTGTAGTGTTTTCTGTCACTCACTTGGTGGGTAAAAGGACCACCCTAGGCCAGGAGTATATAGATACATGGTTTCTGAGTCTTAGAGTGAGACTTTTCTCTAACAATCAAAGAATGGCGTAGAATATTCTTGTTGCTGCCAGGTTGAGGGAAAATTCTCTCTCATGCTACATTTTATATTGAAAAAATCTCATGTAGATTCAAGCTTCAACGATACTATTGTAGTAGCTAAAATATAGCTGAATTTTGCTAACTGAGAATGTGGTTTTTTTGTTTTTCTAAAGCACTGGATTCGTTTGGAGATTTTCCCAGATGTTCTTGTTCATAGATTAAAAATGATCGTAGATCCTGCTGACAGTAGCTACATGCCGTCCCTGGTTGTAGTGTCAGGTAATTCAGTTAGTTTACCTAAAAAGAAGTACCTTCTATAATAAAGACGCCTTTGTTTGATTCTTTACCCATTTTTTCCTAGGTGGAAATTCCCTGAATAACCTTATTGAACTAAAGACAATCAATATTAACCCTTCTGACACCACAGTGCCCCTTCTGAATGACTGCACAGAGGTAAGTAGCTATGCTAGTGTTCCATTTGGATGATTTACAGATGACAAGGGAGGTGACTTGGCCATTTCTATACTAGCATTGAGCCCAGTTTTTCCCCGTTTAAATAATTGGTTCTTTCTGTTTTAAATTTTGACACTTTAAAAGATACAACTTATTTTGTACAACTGAATTTGCTGCTTATCAGTTCAGCTTGAAAAGGAAACAAATTTCATTCTCACTCTCTTTGGTAGCAGAGGTATACTTGGTAACTGCTCCTAGCAAAAGTTTTCATCAGGCATTTTAGGTTGCTGATTGCATCTGAACACTTCGGTTTTCATTAAATATCTCAGTTTCTGGTGGTTTTCCTGACCATATATGTGACGCTGAAGTTGCTTTTTTGTCGTCACACCTGTTGGCATCAAGTGCTGAACTTGTCACGGAGTGGCAATTTTTTGGTTAATAAGGCAGCTTTCAAAATGAGTCTAAGTTTATCTCTGGAAAAGTTTGAAAGAATCAGTGAAGGTTCTTTTAAACAGTACCCACATACTACAGATCAGCAATTATCTCTCTCTCTCAAATTTTTAGTAAACCTTTCCACATAGGATGTCAGCATGATTTTTAATACATTAAATATATGTAAAATAAGACAAATTAAGATACTTTTGTTGGCCGGGCGCGGTGGCTCACGCCTGTAATCCCAGCACTCTGGGAGGCTGAGGCGGGCAGATCACGAGCTCAGGAGATCGAGACCATCCTGGCTAACACAGTTAAACCCCGTCTCTACTAAAAAAAAAAAAAAAAAAAAAAAAATTAGCCGGGCGTAGTGGCAGGCACCTGTAGTCCCAGCTACTTGGGAGGCTGAGGCGGGAGAATGGCATGAACCCGGGAGGCGGAGCTTACAGTGAGCCGAGATCGTGCCACTGCACTCCAGCCTGGGCGACAGAGCCAGACTCTTGTCTCAAAAAAAAAAAAAAGAAAGAAAGAAAAAAAAAGATATTTTTGTACTATGTATACTGTTGTCTGGTGTAGACTAATTATAATGATAGCAGATAAAAATATCAAATAGTTGATTTTTGTATTCATTTAAAGTTTATAACTGATGAGTTTATTTTTTAATTATTAAATGTAGTTAACCATTCATTTTTTAAAAAAGTTTTATTTTAGTTTTAACCAAATAGTAATTTGTAATAATTTGTATTTATTTTTGGAGAACACTGTGATGTTTTGTTACATGTATACTTTGTGGAATGATCAAATCATGCTAAATAATGTATCCATCACCTCAAATATTTATCACTTTTTTGTGGTGAGAACATTTAAAATCCTCTCTTTTAGCTATTTTGAAATACGTAGTACATTCACAGTAGTTACCATTTATTCTGGAATGTCATGGAACTATTTCATAATACACTGATTCATTATAGCCAATACCAGTGGTGCTAATAAGTGAAGAAATTGGCAAACTATAAAAATGAAAGATAATATTGAATTTATCTGAAAAAATTAATCTTGAGTTTTAATGCATTTTACTGGTAACTTATTGCAATGTAACCGAATACAGCCTGTAGAGTGCCTTAGTTACATAGTTCAGAGGATGTTTTTACTTTAGCCAAACCAGAAACTAAGTAATTAAATCAACAATGGAGATTATCATTCGTAAAAGATATCTTTAATCCAAGAAATTTTCAATTCAAAACCATTCATCCTGTGATACTTAGTGTATGTCATGTACATGAGAAATACGAAGCATTGCAGGTAAATGGAAAACTCCTGACCTAACCTGCATGCCCCCAGCTGACCAAAGAACTAGACTGTACCATTCCTGTGGAGCCACTGCATCTTAAGCATGGCCTTTGCTGTACAAATAGTTTGTTATGGGAATTTTCTTTTCTTTTTTTTGAGACTGAGTCTCACTCTGTCGCCCAGGCTGGAGTGCAGTGGCAGATCTCAGCTTACCGCAACCACCACATCCTGGGTTCAAGTGATTCTCCTGCCGCAGCCTTCCGAGTAGCTGGGATTACAGGTGCCCACCACCTCACCCAGCTAATTTTTGTATTTTTAATAGAGACGGGGTTTTGTCATGTTGGCCAGGCTGGTCTCGAACTCCTGACCTCAGGTGATCTGCCCACCTTGGCCTCCCAAAGTGCTGGCATTTACAGGCATGAGGCACCGCACCCAGCCGGGTTTTTTCTAACATGTAAACAAAAATAGAAAGTATGCTGGAACCCTCACAAACCTGTCACCCAGCTTCAACATTTATCAACATTTTGCCAGTCATGTTTCACTTTCTCCCTCCCACCTTACTTCCCTGCCTCAGCAAGTCCTAGTCATGGTCTTATTTCAGGAGCACTTGCTTCAATATTCATCTCTGACAGGGCTTAACAAAATATAACCTTGGTACCATTATCACACCTCTAACAAGTACTCTTTTTTTTTTTTTTTAAGACGGAGTCTCACTCTGTCACCCAGGCTGGAGTGCAGTGGTGTGATCCCGGCTCACTGCAAGCTCTATCTCCCGGGTTCACTCCATTCTCCTGCCTCAGCCTCCCGAGTAGCTGGGACTATAGGCGCCTGCCACCATGCCTGGCTAATTTTGTTTTTGTATTTTTAGTAGAGACGGGGTTTCACCGTTAGCGAGGATGGTCTCGATCTCCTGACTTCGTGATCCACCTGCCTCGGCCTCCCAAAGTGCTGGGATTACAGGCGTGAGCCACCGTGCCCAGCCAATAATTACTCTTTAATGTCATATAATATTCAGTCAGTGTCCAGATTTTCCTAATTATCTTGTAAATGTCCTTTTGCAGTTTCTGATTCAGATGATGTTTGCATTCTACACTACACTTAAGTCACTCTTGGTTTTTTTTCTTGCTAAAGAAAAAAAAAACTGAGTAATTGTTTCCTGTAGCATTCTTCATATTCTCAACTTGGCTTTTGCATCCCTATGGTGGTGGTCAAGCTGTATTTCCTCTGAAATGGTAGATCTTGAGGTTTGAGCAGGTCGTTTAGGCAATAAAAAGTAATTGTTAGTGTGTGCTTCCAGACGCATCTCTCTTCGTTCACATGAAATACAGTGATGGAGGAATGTTGTCAGTACCACAGCAGGCATGCAGTCGGCCACATGGGGTGTGGGACATTTGCAGGACAAGTAGACCAACTCCACTAAATGCATGGCAAAGGCAGAACAGAGGAAGGTTGGGTCTTGCTTGTGTTCTGATTTGAATGAGGCAACAATAAAATGACATGACATAATCAGAAAAGTTTGATCACTGTAGCATATTGGGTGATATGGGAGTTATTGTTTGTGCTATGATAATAGCAATGCGGATATGTTTTTCAAAAAACTCCATAATTCTGGCCAGGCGCGGTGGCTCACTCCTGTAATCCCAGTACTTTGGGAAGCTGAGGCAGGTGGATCACCTGAGGTCAGAAGTTCAAGACCAGCCTAGCCAACATGGTGAAACCTTGTCTCTACTAAAAATACAAAAAATTAGCCGGGTGTGGTGGCAAGTGCCTGTGGTCTTAGGTACTCAGGAGGCTGAGGTTGGAGAATCGCTTGAACCCGGGAGGCAGGGGTTGCAATGAACCAAGATTGCACCACTGCACTCCAGCCTGGGCAACAAGCAAGATTCCATCTCAAAAAAAACAAAAAAACAAAAAAAAAAACCAGACCTCCTTAATTCAGTGATATATACTGAAGTTTTGAAACAGCATAATGCCTAGAATTTTTTAATGATAATCCATATCTGAACAAGATTGGTCACATGTTGGTAACTGTTGAGCTGGGTCATGGAGTCATGGAGTTCTTTGTACTATTTGTTCTGATTTGTGTATATTCAAATATGTTTTATGTTTTAAAAACGATGAAAGGTCTGTTACTACCTGACATTTAATATCTTCCTTAGTTAAAGCATCTTGGTTCAAGAAAGCTCTAAGACGGAAGAGTTTGCAGTCATTCAGTAAGGCTGTTATCCTATTTAAAAATTTTAGGAAGAAAATCAGTGAGTGTCTCATGCCTCAGGTAGACATCTTGATGAGTTGACCACTTCTTTTGAAGTAAACATTACTCAGATGTGGCTGCATTAACTTTGAGTAACTCAGTTGATATTTCCAGAACTGAAGTAAAGGAGCTCTAACCGTGTGTACATGTTCGTGTCTCACACATCCCGTTCTCCAGTTAGAGGATCTAATATGCTTGATTCTACAGAGTCTATAGATCATGGTTTTTGTGTCTAGTATCACAGGTATATTGAAATTGCTATAAAGCAGTGCAGGAGCTCAGGAATCGATTGTAAAATCCATGGTCTCATCCTGCTGGGACGGATCCGTGCAGAAGAGGAAGATTTGGCTGCAGTTCCTTTCTTAGCTTCGGATAATGAAGAGGAGGAGGATGAGAAAGGCAACAGCGGAAGGTGAGAACCATTTGTTACAGGTGCTCACTTACCTCCCGCTACATTCCTGGATCCTCACTTTCGAAAGGAAACATTTAATTAGAATGTGTCTCATACTGAGAGTCATTTTATGTCCACACGATTGGTAAATTACAGTTGTTTCCAAAAATTGTATTTTTTAAAAAATAAAGTGTTTAATGTAGAAACACATTATATTTAGAAAAATACCATTAAAAGAGGGAAATGAAAATGTTTAATATCTCTACCTAAAATATCACTGTGACTATTTTGGTATATATCTTTGTAGTTTTCCTTTTTTTCTGTTACTAAATTTATTGTCCTATGGAAGTTGTATGGTATATTTTAAAGCTCTTTTTGTTAAGTATTTTATCATTAACTTCAAAAAATGTATTTATTTTTTATTATGGTGAAATATATATATTGTTTACCATTTTAAGTGTACAGTTCAGTGGCATTAAGTACATTCATATTTTTGTGCAACCATCACTATTGTCCATCGCTAGAATTTCCATATGATTAGTCTTCAGTCCTGTAATTTTTGAGTGCAGTATTTCATCTTATGACTGTTCTCATTTACTCACTCAATTCCTTATTTTATCTGAGCACTGTGATGATGACTGTTGTTGTATTTATTCATTCAACATCTTTTGAATGCCTACTGTGGGCCATTCCCAGTTATGTGTACTGGGAACACTGTGATGAACATGCAAAATAAAACAAGACAAACACATGCATCAGTGTGCTATTAGGCCTTTGGTAAGAGGCAGGAAGAAGTGCATACAGCCTTGAGAGTCTGCATTGGAGCATTGATCTGTCAGGACAAGGAAAACTTCCCCCCAGGCCATACGTACAGAAGTCAGAATTACTGAAACAAAGTGGACAGGCAAGGGCGTTTCTGATAGGGAAGACAGCATACCAGAGGAGAATGATATCTGCGAAGTTTTTGCATGCTTGTGCATTTCCCAGGGCATGTATCTAGAACTTGCATTTGCAGGGGCTGCTCTAAGCCTTGTTTACCATCCCAGCAGCAAACAGTGGATAATAGTGGATAATAACAATGGAGGATAATCAGTGTCCTCATAGAAGTTGTATTTTCCTAGATAAATTGCTGAAAGTGAAATTGCTAAGTCAAAGGGTATGCAAAATAAATGGATATGTTGTTAACATTCCCAAGGCGCTTTGGATTGCTAGTGTGACCGGGGCCCTCCAGACAGGCACAGGAGGCAAGCCGCCAGTGCTGGCTGAACTCTGTTGACCAAGACACCCTGTGCTCTAAGTACTCTGCAGCGTGTGACATGAGGAGACAACAGAGCACTGCCCTGTGCCGCTGTTGAGCACGTTATATAGACAGAAGTGGGGGGTAGTAGTTCTGGTAATAAATCAGGTTATTCTAGGGCTCTGTGATCTTGGCTTTGGATTCTGTCCTGTTTTATTTCAGAAACTTTGTGTAGAAGTTGAAAAGAAAATAGTATCTATAACATTACCTTATCTAGAATATATGTTATACTATATGCTGTAGTTCAAACTGATTGCATCTGTAGATATTAATTAAATAGGGACAATACCAGTTCACTTAAATAAGGAAGTCATTGGGATTTTTAATAAAAGGATTATAGATTGTAGGGGTGGGTTGCCCCTACAATAGATTAGCATTTTCTTACTCAGTAGCTACTAAAATGAATTGGACAAATAAAATTATTATTTATTTATTTTTTGAGACGGAGTCTTGCTCCGTCACCTAGGCTGGAGTGCAGTGGTGCAATCTCGGCTCACTGCAAGCTCCGCTTCCTGGGTTCACGCCATTCTCCTGCCTCAGCCTCCTGAGTAGCTGGGACTACAGGTGCACGCCGCCATGCCCGGCTAATTTTTTTGTATTTTTAGTAGAGACGGGCTTTCACCGTGTTAGCCAGGATGATCTCGATCTCCTGACCTCGTAATCCGCCTGCCTCAGCCTCCCAAAGTGCTGGGATTATAGGCGTGAGCCACTGCGCCTGGCCATAAAATTATTAATACATATATTGTATATGTGGAATAACCAAAAATGTTTTGAGCTTTACTCATTGATCAGATTTTTGTGTAATTGAATATATTGTCGAAAGAAAAGCTAGATACTTGATTGTAATGGGTTTTGTTCTGGTAAGATCTTATTAATTAGCTAATAACTTCAGAATGAGTCAGTGGCCCAGGCAGTCTCCTCCTACAGGGCTGCCACCCAACTGGGATGTTCCCACACTGACCACGTACAGCTGGCCTCCACTCTGGCTGATTGATACTTACATGGTGCCAGACATTAAATATCTTGAATATCAGTCCTGGTTTCCCATACATACATGCATACATATATGTGTGTATATATATGTGTGTATGGAAAATATATATATATTTTGAGATAGGGTCTCACTCTGTTGCCCAGGCTGGATCGCAATGGTATGATCTCAGCTCACTGCAACCTCTGCCTCCCGGGCTCAAGTGATTCTCCCACCTCAGCCTCCCAAGTAGCTGGGATTACAGGTGTCTGCTACCACACCTGGCTAATTTTTTGTATTTTTTTTGTAGAAATGAGGTTTCACCGTGTTGCCCAGGCTGGTCTCCAACTCCTGGGCTCAAGGAATCTGCCCACCTTGGCCTCCCAAAGTGCTAGGATTACAGGTGTGAGCTACTGTGCCTGGTCCCCATACATATTTTTAAGTAAAAATGTATCACAAGATATTTCAATATTTTGTGCTTATGCTTGCTCACCTGTGCCTAGTATTGGATGAAAGAGTTTTCCACTTTTATTCCAAAACATGAAATTTTGAACCCTTAAAGTAAATATTTATTAGTATATAATGTGTGAAAAAAGTGATACCTGTCTGGAAGCCGTCTGGTGCCTTTGGGCATCTATCCTAGCTTATAAAAATAGAGCAAAAGCAAACACAAAGGTGAAAACCCCAAACACAGAAGCAGCAATTCCTTAGCACCTGGCATCAGACCATCAGCCAAGAAAATCTAACACTGTCCTGTGTACTCTTTTCAAGTTGCAAGAATTGGAGTGTTTTGGATGCTGTTGATTAAACTTCTAACCTGCTGGGTGTGGTGGCTCCCACCTGTAATCCCAGCACTTTAGGAGGCTGAGCAGGGAGGATCACTTGAGCCCAGGAGTTCAAGACCAGCCTTGACGATATAGTGAGACCCCGTCTCTACAAAAAAAAATGCAAAAATTAGCTGGGCATGATGGTGCAGGCCTATAGTGCCAGCTGTTCGGGAGGCTGAGGTGGAAGGATTGCTTGAGCCTGGGAGGTTGAAGCTACAGTGAACCGGGATTATGCCACTGTATTCCAGCCTGAGTGACAGAGCATGACCCTGTCTCAAAACAAACAAAAAATAAATAAACTCCTAACCTGTTGAGGGCAGGTCAGGAGATAGATGAGCAAGGTGGAAGGAGCAAGCCCTCTGGGAAGGACAGGAGACGAGGACTTTCAGCTTAGCTGGCCGATGATCAGGTTCCTCTGGCCGGTGTCCTGGGCAGAGGGTATAAAGGAAGAGAGAAGCATTTTACATTGGGACATGTGTCTGTGTTAAAGTAACTCCATGGTCATGTGGCCACATCCGTTTTATTCTTTCTGTGGGAAAATAATTGGCCAAACAGCTGTCTAGATTTGGGGATAGTGCTGCAAGGCCAGACCCAGCGTGGCTCCTGGGCAGGTTTCCTCAGTGTCTCTACAGTGCCATTTGTAGCAGCTGTGCGTCTGTTTCCTTGGCTTGGAATGATTCCCACCCATGTTCACGTTGGTATTTAAGATGAAAGAGAAGGCCTGGTGTATCATCGTTTTCCACCAAAAATAAAGGCTGAAATTAAGTGCTAGTATTAAAAGGTGGCATGGTTGTATCTAGAAAATTTGACCCTCCAGAGGACTTACTCCTGTACATGCTTGAGGTTTTTTTCTATTAAAGCAAAATTTTAAGAGTTTCTGAAAGTAACCATAAAACTTTGAGTGCTTGAGGTTGCTTTTCTTTTTATTTTTTAAATGTTTTATGCTGAATAACCTCTCTTTTCTTTTTCTTTTTTTTTTCCGTTTGGTTAGCCTCATTAGAAAGAAGGCTGCTGGGCTGGAATCAGCAGCTACGATAAGAACCAAGGTGTTTGTGTGGGGCCTGAATGACAAGGACCAGCTGGGCGGGCTGAAAGGCTCCAAGGTACGGCCTGCTCCCTGGGACCCAGCAGGGTGGGGCACTCGGCAGCAGCCACACCTCGTGAAGTTTCTATAATAACTTTACTCTCTATATGTTGTATTGTTTCTTTACACGAACTAAAAGACATTATCAAATTACCCCTCAGAAGCGTCTCTCCTTGAAAAATTTCACTTTAGGTATAATTGTCTTATTGCGGTCTTGTAAACTAGAAAATGAACTTTTGAAAAGATTTGACAAGTGCATAAATGAAAATTATAGACTGTCAATAGGTGTATCTTGCCTTCCCTACAATAAACATTTTTGACTATCATGAACAAAATAATGTGTAAAAAGGCTGTAGTGGCCCACAGATGAGCAAATTGTTGTCTCTGTCCTCCAGGTGCTTCGCGCCTGAGATTCTTCAGGGTGAAGTAGCTTGCACAGAGAGAGAACGCTTTGCGAGCACAGAGAAACAAGCAGAATGCACATGTGTGCGCATACACACTTGCCTTATTCTCTGCAGGGCTTGTTGTGGGTGGAGAGCGCCATGATCTCATTCACCTTGTCAGTAAACCATGAAGCTTGCACGGGAAGCCGTGCCATAGCCTCTGTGTTCACAACGTCCTTCATCCCCTAGGTACTTGGATGAGAGGTTAATTTGTATTTTGAGTTGCTTAGGAGAAAAAGACCATATTTTGAAAAGAATAGGTGTAAGAAATGATGCATTTGAATTGGAGTTGAATTCAGCATTCCTTGTATTACTTAGTGTCTCCTGGCTGAGGAGCCACAAAGCAAATTCCTCTAAATTTTATTGCCCAGAGGCACTCTCTGTGTTCACGTGAGCTTATGCTTCCTGTTAGTATTCTGTGAGACATCACATCATACGTTTTCTTTATTGCCTGCCCTATTGAGAAACTGAGAAATAAAGTTAGAACTCATTCATTTGAACTCTTTCCTTTCAAGGTGCAATTAGTTTTTATCTGTATTGGAGCAGTCTTGAATTGCATTTGTGTTTCAGTGTACCTGAGCTTGGTTTGGGAAGTGGACAGTGGGCAGTGAGCTGTGAGTGTCTCAGCTGCGGGAATGCAGGGCTGTCCAGAGGTCCCTGAGGTGCAGGCCATTGGTGGGAGCCTATGACCTTGCTCACTGCCTTACATGGAGTTTTCACTTCAAGGACAGAGTCGGTGTTCCACGGTTGTGATGAAAATCCTTTCTTCCGCTGCAGTAGTGACTATTTCACCCAGGGAATCATAAAGGTTTTTTAGACAAAGGGCCCTAGGAATTTTAAATTACATCCATCTACAATGGGAAATTTAAGCATATGATTTCTTAGAGATGTCAGAGTCAGAATCAGAGAGTGAGCAGGACATGACTTGAAATAAGGCATAGTCTACAGGTGTGTGTTTTTATCTTTACATTATATGCATAGTCATCCCTCAGTATCCGTGGATTTGTTCCAGGACTTCCTGTGGATACCAAGATCTGTGGATGCTCAAGTCCCTGATATAAAACAGTGTAGTGTTTGCATATAACCTATGTACACCCTCCCAAATACTGTATATCATCTTCAGATTACTCAGAATACCTAATACAATGTAAATGGTATGTCAATAGTTGTTATATTACATTGTTTAGGGAATAATGGCAACAAAAATATCTGTACATATTTAGTACACGTGCAATAAAAAATATTTTCAATCCATGGGTGGTTGAATTCATGGACGTGGAACCTATGGATACAGAGGACCAACTGTATTTTATTTTTCACTTTCTACTATGGAACTGTTCAGATGTACCCACATAGAGTGAATAGCTTCATGAACCCTCATGTCCCTGGTACAGCTTCCATAGTTACCAGCAGCTGTCTACGTTTTTCTGTCTTTATCCTCCCATTCCCCCAACTCTGGTTTAAAGTCAATCACAGTGTATCATTTCATTCTTAAAATACTCCAGTGTGAATCTCTAAGGGATAACCAATGCCTTTGGTTAATGTAACCATACATATTAGTAGTACAGTCATGCATTACTTAATGATGGGGATATATTCTGAGAAAGTTTTGGTTGGGTGATTTTGTCATTGTTGGAAAATGATAGAGTGTACTTAACACAAAGGTAGATGGTGTAGCCTACTACACACTCAGGCTATATGGTATAGCCTGTTGCTTCTAGGCTACAACATGGAACTGTACTGAATATGGTAGGCAGTTGTAACTCAGTGGCATGTGTGTATTTAAACATCGAAAAGGTACGGTAAAAATACATTGTAAAAGATAAAACATGGAACACCTGCATAGGGCACTTACCATGAATAATGGAGTTTGCAGGACTGGAAGTTGCTCTGGGCGAGTCAGTGAGAGAGTGGTGAGTGAACGTGAAGGCCAGGACATCACTGCATGTTACTGTAGACTTTAGAAACACTATATGCTTAGGTGACTCTATGCAAAATATTTTTCTTTCTTTAATAATAAATTATTTGTAACTTTATGAACTTTTCACTTTTTAAAAAACTTTTTGACTCTTGTAATAATACTTAGCTTAAAACACAAACACAGCTCTGCACAAAATGTTTTCTTTACATTCTTATGCTGTAAGCTTTTTTCTATCTTTAACATTTATTCTTTTACTTTTTAACGTGTTTGTTAAAAACTAAGACCCAAACACATACATTAGCCTAGCTAGGATCATAGTGTTGCTCTCTTTCACCCCCACAAAGGAGCTAGCTGTCCTTTCCTGTGACAGCAGTGCCTTCTGGAATCCCTCCTGAAGCACCAGCCGCAGGCTTTTTACAGTTAGCTTAAAAAACAAAAAAGTAGAAGGAATACACTCTAAAAGAATGATAGAAAGTACAGGAGAGTGAATATATAGCCCAGTAGCAGTAGTCTGTTATCATGGTGAGGTATTAGGGATTGTTGATATGTAGCTGGCAGCACAGAGGCTTGTTGACACCAGCATCACCACAGACACATGAGGAATAGGTTGTGCTGTGACGTTGTCACGGCCAGGACACCACTAGGCAGTAAGGATTTTTCAGCTCCATTATAATCTACTGGGACTGCCATCGTATATGTAGCCTGTGGTTGAGTGAAATGTTACACAGTGCATAACTGTAATTCCTTGTATCATATAATAAGGTAACATAATTTTAAACATGCAAGTAAAATTTTCTTTTCTTTTTTTTTTGTTAAAAAAATTCTGTTGTAGATAAAGGTTCCTTCGTTCTCTGAGACACTGTCAGCTTTGAATGTGGTACAGGTGGCTGGTGGATCTAAAAGTTTGTTTGCAGGTATGATTATTCTAATCTTAAAAAATTTTTAAATTATGCTTGGCACCAAAAAACAAAAAAGTTTTTAATGTTGTGAAAAGAGAGTCCTCTCCTGGCTGTCGTTCCTTGCAGTGACTGTGGAAGGGAAGGTGTATGCCTGTGGAGAAGCCACGAATGGCCGGCTGGGGCTGGGCATTTCCAGCGGGACGGTGCCCATCCCACGGCAGATCACAGCTCTCAGCAGCTACGTGGTCAAGAAGGTGGCTGTTCACTCAGGTACAAGCCAAGCACCAGGAGGCCTGTGCGGGGCGGCCTTTGCTCCTGCTCCGTTGTTAACCAAAGCCCTAATTGGTGTCCTTACATTCTTTCTTAAGTTTTTACTTAGTAGGAATAAAAATTGGATAATGTAAATCTCTAGGTGGTCTAGAATTTAGTTATTGCTGCTAAATCAAGTTCTTTGCCTAAAAGTAGGCTGTTTTTCTGAGAAAGAGTCTATAACTTTCTTCAGATTCCCAAAACCATCTATGAACCCAAGTAATGAGAAAGATCCTTTAAAAGAAAATGAAACCACTCTTTCAGTGTAGGGAGTGTTTATTTTGGAGGCACCGTGCTAGGCCTCTGAGGAATGGAACTGAATTAGACACAAAGTTCTAATTCAGTTCATGCCTATGCTGAACGGGGCTCAGTGTAACTTGCATAACAGGAAATCCAAATGATGGTGGCTTAAGCAATATAGAGTTTTACTTTTCTCCTTTGTAAAAGTCCAGAGGTGGGGTCAGAGTCTGTCCAGCAGGGCTGTGTCTATGAGGAGTGCTGGTCCTTTGTGTCCACCTTTGTGGGAAGATGGTCTTAGACTAGCTCTCGCCCCCAGAGTCCAGGGCCAGGCCTGGCAGAAGAGGCAAGCACCACACAGTGTGCCCTCCTGCCCACGCAGCCCCCTCTCCAGAGCCCCTCGGAAGCCCCACTCATTTCAGTCACCATCTCCTGGGGGCAGAGGAGGCTGGGAATTAGCTGAGCACTTTAACATGGGGGTTCTGTTGGTAAGGAAGGGGGAGAATGAGGGTTGGGGGAAGAAGCAGGGTCTGCTGTGATGTTCTCAAAGCCCAGGAGTTGGCAGGAACTCACTGTATAGGAGTGGTCATGCCTTTAATCCTGAGGCAGGTTGTATGGACTTTGAGAATATTCCATGCTGGGGAAAGAGCATAAGCTGACGTGTTTTGGGAAGAGTGAATATATTGCATTAATCGCAAATGATTGAATAATTTCACTGTTGAGGTACAGTTCTCAAAAACTTAAATTGACACTATTTTTACATTTTGTCTAATCACAAATTATTTTTACTTTTTTCATCTAAATTTTGATTTTTCGTGTATTTAACATAATAGGAACCCCATTAATAATCAGTATTATTTTGCCTCTTTGCAAATTCTTTCTAGAGTTAAAATTTGTAGTTTAGTGAAAATTCACCTATTTGGCACATATGTCCCAGGAAGCTTTCCTGCTAACTCCGCTGTTGATCCTGTTGAGTTACTCATTTATTCAGCTCACGCTCATTGAGTGTGTGCTATATGCCAGGCAAAATAGGGAGCTAGCTATGCTGTGGGCTTTCTGTTCCCTGCCCTTTGGCAATCCGTGTGTCTGTGAATGTTGCAGGTGGCCGGCACGCGACGGCTTTAACTGTCGATGGAAAAGTGTTTTCGTGGGGCGAAGGTGACGATGGAAAACTTGGACACTTCAGCAGAATGTAAGGGTACTTTTTTTAGTCTCATTTGCTAATAAGAAACTGTTTCTGACTGATACTCTTGAGAATTATTTTGCAGAAAATTAGAATAGAATAGATTATAGAAATGGTTCTTAAACAAAATTTTTTTAACACGGTTGTTTGTGTTTTGGTCTCACCGGTTCTGCTTTAAGTTTTGATAGTTGATCTGTGGATCCTGTGTTGACTACATGTGGATCAGTATAGATGTCTTTTTTCCTTCATCTCTAAGAAGGGACAGATTGACTGTAGAGAGCTGATTTCATCTTGTTGTAGGAACTGTGACAAACCAAGGCTGATCGAGGCCCTGAAAACCAAGCGTATCCGGGATATCGCCTGTGGGAGCTCGCACAGCGCAGCCCTCACATCCAGCGGAGAACTGTACACCTGGGGCCTCGGCGAGTACGGCCGGCTGGGACATGGGGATAATACGACACAGCTAAAGCCCAAAATGGTGATTATACGCATTTTTGTTGCTTGCAGAAAGCTTACCATCTGAAGATGTCAAGAGAAAATAAGCTTCAAGTCTAGGAAAGTTCATAAAGATGTGTGCATGGTTGGCTTTATCTGTGGGAAAATCCATTGCTTTCTCCGTGCCTGTGCGTGATTCTGTTTTTAAATTTGTAATTGAGTAGGTGAAAGTCCTTCTCGGTCACAGAGTAATCCAGGTTGCATGTGGGAGTAGAGACGCGCAGACCCTGGCTCTGACCGATGAAGGTGAGTGGCTGGCAGGATTCTGTGCTTCTGGGTGGGTAGGAATGATATGAAACGCTGGCCTGAAGTATATGTGTTTCTTAAACCTAGGTTTGGTATTTTCCTGGGGTGATGGTGACTTTGGAAAACTGGGCCGGGGCGGAAGTGAAGGCTGTAACATTCCCCAGAACATTGAGAGACTAAATGGACAGGGGGTGTGCCAGATTGAGTGTGGAGCTCAGTTCTCCCTGGCGCTCACCAAGTCTGGAGTGGTGTGGACATGGTACGTAAACGTCCTCCCTGTCACACTGTGTGTGCTTGTGCAGGTGTGTGCAGGGAACCTGGGCCTCGCCCCAGGCTCACCCGGCGTGATTGTGACGTGTCCTCTTTTTACTTATGCATGCATCTTTGTCCTTTAAAGGATATTGAGTTGGGATTAGTGACAATAGTACAAGAAGAAATTTCCCATTGTAACTGGGTCATTTTGAAAATACTAGAAAAATTTTAGGCCACTTACCTTTCCTGTTTGGGTGAGATTTATGGGAACGGTTTCTTCTGCTGAAGCCTAAGGATAAAATGGAGCAAAATAGCCTTCTGAATCCTTTGATCCTGAAAAAGTTAACATGTGTTTCTTGTAAAAGCTTATTTTATTAATATGCAAAAGAGCAGGTGCCTGGACTGGCTGTGGATGGTGTGTCAGGCCTTAGTGCCAATGTCATGACCCGAGGCAGCTTGAGAAAGATGTATACCAGATAGGACTTTGGATAGGTGTTTGCAGTAGTGTGTCTTATTTTCAGTCTCTTTATATGAAAACCTACAACAGTAACTTAAATATCATAAAATATGTATTAAGGTATTAAGGTTTTTCCCAGCTGGCTTAATAAGTTAATTTGAATTAATGGTGTATGATTTTGAATACAAGTTTGAAGACCTTGGGTGCTGTGTGTGATGTCATTGAGCTGGCTGTGAAAGATGTGAGACAATGAGTGTCTTCTTGTATAGCATTGTCAGACCATAACCGTATTGTAACTCTCCACCATGGGCCTTCTCTCAGGGGAAAGGGGGATTACTTCAGATTGGGCCACGGCTCTGACGTGCACGTGCGGAAACCACAGGTGGTGGAAGGGCTGAGAGGGAAGAAGATCGTGCATGTGGCTGTCGGGGCCCTGCACTGCCTGGCGGTCACGGACTCGGGGCAGGTAAGGCTGCAGGTGGCCTGGGGGTGGCGTGCCATCCTGACTTGGGGGACGTGGGGGTCATGACACGGCCTTCGTCCTGTTGAAATCACAGCTGTTGATGAAATCAGCTGAGTCTTACTGCTTGGAGAACCATGAGGGCGGGTCCTGTTCCTTTTGCCCACTGGTGTATCTGCCTGCTTTGCAGCAGGGGTTGGGGGCGGGGTCCTCAGAAAAGAGGCGTTCCCACTCTGAAGTCCACGTGAAAAGTGTGTGGAAAGACTGTTATTCTTGAAGATGCTCCTAGTGCAAGATATTAGCAAGACTTTCCTTTAGAGAATTGGTAACTGGCGAGGAGGGATCCATGCCTCATTTTAGAGACAGAGCTAGTGCCTGACAAGTGTTACACTCTCTTCTGCTTGGAGAAGCATACGCTATGACTGGCTTATGGATATTCAATTTTAAATTTTATTTATGGAAACAAAATTACCATTACTGTATTTTAGTCAGAATGAATTTTACTTTATAATTCTATAAGGCCAAGAAGCAACTTACTTGAAAAATGAGCATACTGTTTTTGGTCATTTTTCTTTGCAAAATAAAAGGGAAAAAATTATTACACTTAGTTAGAGAGAGGACCTTCTGTGTGTCTTGCAACAAAGCAGAATTGGATTAATATTAAGAAAATACTCCTTTTATAGGTATTAGCAAGCATTTTCATGGTTAGATTTTCTTCAGAATTGTAGTACGCTGATGCCATTTTGAAAGATTGTGAAATGGTTTGTTTTTACCTTTAAGAACTCAATTCTTTCAACTACCGTGGCATACGCGTTAAGCATTTTGAAGTAAAAATTACATTAAAGAAAATGTCCTGAAATGTTGAAAAATTATAAGCTTTTTTCTCCTCGTAAACAGGTGTATGCTTGGGGTGACAACGACCACGGCCAGCAGGGCAATGGCACGACCACGGTTAACAGGAAGCCCACACTCGTGCAAGGCTTAGAAGGCCAGAAGATCACACGCGTGGCTTGTGGGTCGTCCCACAGTGTGGCGTGGACAACTGTGGATGTGGCCACGCCCTCTGTCCACGAGCCCGTCCTCTTCCAGACTGCAAGAGACCCTTTAGGTGCTTCCTATTTAGGTAACACAGATTTGTATCTTCTCTGAGATTTTTCTGTAGGTTACAGCAACCTTATAGATTTATTTAATTGTGCCAACACAATTAGAGGTTGTAGTGCCATGTTAACTGCATTATGACTCTAAAGACACAGAAGAATTATGGTGTGCTCTCATGCGATTTATACATGCTGGAATGAAAATTTTAGAAGAAAGTATGTTGCTGATTCTTGTATTTATGATCAGGTAAACTCACAGCGCTGTCCTTCTGTGTGAACAGGACTCCTAATAACTGCCTGAGAGATACAGGCACTGTACTGGGCTCTTTTGTATTTTTTAACAGCTTTATTCAGTTATAATTGACATATAATAAACTGCACCTATTTAAAGTATGCATTTTGATTGACTTTGGAATATGTATGATCCATGAAAGCATCAGCACAATCAAAGATAATGAACTCATACACTACCCCAGCGTTCCTCTCTGGCCCTCTGTACCCCTCCCTTTTGCTTTTAACTCCCTCCTTCCTGCCGTATGCACCAATTTAATTTCTGTCACTAGAGATCAGTTTGCATGTTTTCTTTTTGTTATTGTTGTTGTTTGGTTGGGTTTTTTTTTTTTTTTTTGTAGACAGGGTCTCACTCTGGAGTGCAGTGGCACGATTTTGGCTCACTGCAGCTTCCACCTCCTGGGCTCAAGTGATCCTTCCACCTCAGCCTCCCAAATAGCTGGGACTACAGGCACATGTCACCATGCCTGGCTAATTTTTGTTTGTTTGTTTGGTGGAGAGAGGGTTTTGCCATGTTGCTCAGGTTGGTCTTGAACTCCTGAGCTCAAGTGATCCTCCCATCTTGGCCTCCCAAAGTGCTGGGATTATGGGCAGGAGCCACCGTGGCAGACCAGTTTGCATGTTGTACAGCTTACTATAAATAGAATCATACAGCATATACTCTTTTTAAAAATCTTTTTCCACTCAGCATAATAATTTTGAGATTCACTTATGTTGCATGTATCGATAGTTTATTCTTTTTAAATTGTTGAATAGTATCTTAAGATAAACAAATGCAATTTGTTTATCCATTTATCTGTTGATGAATGTTTGGGCTGTTTCCAGTTGACTATACAAGTGAAATTGCTAATGGACATTTCCATACAAGTTTGTGTATGGACATCCACTTGAAATTCTCTTGGGTAAACTCCTAGGAGAGGAGTGGATGGATCATATGGCAGGTGTACGTCTAGCTTCTTAAGATCGCTACATACTGTTTTGCAAAGTGGATGTTCCAGAGGTCCACATCCTCCACATTTTTGTCAACCCTTGATACGTTCAGTCTTTAATTTTAGTTATACTGATAGACGTATGGTGGTATCTCATTGTGGTTTCAATTTGCATTTCCCTAGTAACTAATGATCTCAAGCATCTTGCTTATTTACGAATCAGATACCTTTTTTGGTGAATGTCTGTTCAAGTCTTTTCCTATATTTAAATAGGTTGATTGTTTTCTTACTGAGTTTGAGAGTTTCTTATATATTCTGGGTTACAAGTCCTTTGCCTAATATAGAATTTGCTAGTATTTTCTGTCAGTGTGGCTTGTCATTTTATTCTCTTCACAGGTGAATCTTAAAGATTAGAAGTTTTTAATTTTGATGAAGCCTAGTTTATTCATTTTATTCTTTTGTAGAGTGTACTTTTGATGTTGTGTCTACAAAACCTTTGCCTCAAGATTATAAAGATTCTCCTTCTATGTTCTGTTATAGAAGTTTTGTAGTTTTAGATATGTGTATCTATGACCAGTTGATTAAATTTTATATATGGTGGGAGGTTCAGATTGAAAGGCTTTTTTTGGCATGATTGTCCAGTTGTTTCAGTTGTATTTGTTGAAAAACTACGCTTTTCCTACTGAATTGCCTTTTGCCTTTGTGAGAATTCAGTTGTCTATGGATGTATGGATCTATTTCTGGACTCTCAGTACTGTTTCATTGATTTATTTGTGGATTTTGGTGGCAATGACATATTGTCTTGATTACCACAGCTTTATAAAAGACCTGAACTCAGGTTGCAAGAGTTCTTTAGCTTTGTTCTTTTTCAAATATATGTTGGCTGTTGTAGGCCCTTTGCATTTCCATATAACTTAAAATGAGCTTGTCAGTTTTTATAAAATCGTTTGCTTGGGATTTTGATGTGGATTGCATTAATTCTGTAAGTCAATGTGGAAAGGATGGATTCACAGTATTCAGTCTTCTAACCCATGAACATAGTGTTTCTCTTTATTTTTTAGGTGTTTAGTTTCTCTCAGCAATGTTTTCTAGTCCCAGTATTGTGTAGGTTTTTTTTTTTTTTTTTGAGACGGAGTCTCGCTCTGTCGCCAGGCTGGAGTGCAGTGGCGCAATCTCGGCTCACTGCAAGCTCTGCTTCCCGGGTTCACGCCATTCTCCTGCCTCAGCCTCCCAAGTTGCTGGGACCACAGGCACCTGCCACCACGCCCGGCTAATTTTTTTGTATTTTTAGTAGAGACGGGGTTTCACCGTGTTAGCCAGGACAGAATCGATCTCCTGACCTCGTGATCCGCCCACCTCGGCCTCCCAAAGTGCTGGGATTACAGGCGTGAGTCACCGCACCCGGTCTATTGTATAGGTTTTGCTTGTCTTTTGTTAGATTATTTCTAAGAATTTCAGATTATTAAATGGTCTTTTAAAAATATCATTTCTTCTGTATGGGAATATTCAGATTGCTCTTTGCTAGCATGTAGAAATAAGTACAATTGCTTTTTTTTTTAAAAAAAGTGAGCTTCATCTTGTCATACAAATATTTTGTTTTTTCCCCTTCTGTCTCAGGAGGGGACATTTAGGCTCCAGCAGCATCTGCTTTTATGAATAACTGGAATGTGATCTTCTGGCTGTGTTAGTTACTGGCTGTATGAACTGGGGCGAGTGGCTTCACCTTCCTGTGCTGTCTTCTTTTCTGGGGTAGATGAAGATAATGCTTGACTCTCATCTTCTCCTTTCTGGTTCAAATTACTCAGTATCTTCTTAACGTATAGCTCTTTTCATGTCACATTATATGTATAACTTTTGAGTCTGGCTTTTTCTGCTCAGCCTAATCCTCTGGCTATTCATCCAAGTTGTTACATATTACATAGTATGTTCAGTATTCCATCGAATACTCAACCATCGAAGGACATTTGGATTATTTCTAGGTTTTGACTATTACAAATAAAACTGCCATGTCATTCATATACAGGTGAATGTGAAAATTTACTTTACGTGAAAATAAGTTCTTATTTCTTTGGCATAAATGTCCAAGAGTGTGATGGTTGGTCATATGGTAATTATGTTTAGTTTGATAAGAAACTGCCAAGCCGTTTTCCAGAATGGCTGTGCCATTTTATATTCTCATTAGCAGTGGAGGATGATCCAGTTTTTCCCATATCCTCACCATCTTTTTAAAATGTAGCCATACTGATAGATAGGTCATTGTATCTCATTGTGGTTTTAATATTTTCCTTATGGCTAATTATGTTAACCATCTTTTCATGTGCTTATTTACTGTCCATATCTCCTCTTTGGTAAAATATGTCTTCATGCCCTTTTCTAATTGGCTTTTTTTTTTTCTGTTGAGTTTAGAGAGTTCATTATATATTCTAGATGTTTCTAGTCCTTTGGCAGATGTGTGTTATGCAGATATTTTCTCCTGGTCTCTAGCTTGTCTTTTCGTTTCCTTTCATAGAACGAAAGTGTTTAATTTTGATGAAGTCTAATTCATCAGGTTTTTCTTTTATAGATCATACTTTTGGTGTCAAGTCTAAGTATATTTTTGCCTAGTGCTAGTTCCTAAAGACTGTCTCCTATTTTTCTCTAAAAGATTTATAGTTTTGTATTTTCTACTGAAGTCATGATCCATTTGGATTTAATTTTGCATAAGGTGTAGACTTAGGCTGAAGTTTGGGTTTTTTGCCCACAGACGTCCAGTTGCTCCACCACCATATGCCGAAAGGCTGTCCTGCCTCCGAGTTGCTTTTGCACGTTTGTCAACAGTCAGTGAGGCATATTTGTGTGGTTCTGTTTCTGGGTTCTCTGTTTATTCCATTGATTCTTATGCCAGTACCACACAGTTTTGGTTATGGTATTACAACTTTTGAAATTGGGTAGACTCATTCCTCCTCCTTATTTTTCTATTTCTATTCTTGCTCCTTTGCCTTTCCATGTACATTTCAGAATAATCTTGTCTGTTGACAAAAACTCTTGCTGGAATTCTGGTGGGAATTGCATTAAATCTGTGTATCAATTTGGATGAGTTGACATAGACACATGTCCCAGCTCTACTTGGCTCCCTCCTTCTGCTGAGACCTGGGAGTTCACAACGAAGTGAGCCTGATGAGACTTTATTGGTGAACATCTTTTCTCTTTGTTGTTTTGTATTCTTTTTTGTCTTGTCTTACCGGGGTAAGAAAATACAGGTAGTTATTGTAGCATTTTCATAGTTTATATGTATATAACATAAACTGTTGTAAGTGCATTTTATAAAAGCACCTACATCTTTTTGCAGTTACAGTGGAACTATGCTGAAAATAGCTTCTTTATCGAAGTATGGATAAGTGGTTTTCTTATTTTGAAGGCCTATTAATGAGCCTGATAGGTGCTTTGTGAAATAGCAAAATGCAGATTGCAGTGTGTTTTGGAACTAACCTGTAAGGTCAGATTTTATAGAAATAGATCAAACTGTGATTTTAAAAACAATGCAAATTTTATTTTCCTCTTATAGGCGTGCCTTCAGATGCTGATTCTTCTGCTGCCAGTAATAAAATAAGTGGTGCAAGTAATTCTAAGCCAAATCGCCCTTCTCTTGCCAAGATTCTCTTGTCATTGGATGGAAATCTGGCCAAACAGCAGGCCTTATCGCATATTCTTACAGCATTGCAAATCATGTATGCCAGGTAGGCTTCTGTGCTAATTTTTGAAATTCTGCAATTATG
Organism: Homo sapiens; assembly: GCF_000001405.40. Lineage (NCBI taxonomy): Eukaryota > Metazoa > Chordata > Mammalia > Primates > Hominidae > Homo > Homo sapiens. The sequence goes on along the minus strand of NT_187660.1, from coordinate 302,886 downwards.
TGAGCTTCACATTTTTGTGATTTTTTTTCTTTTCGTTGATCAGATGTCTCCAAGAATGTTGTATTATTGTCTTTAAATGCTGTATGTTGTAAGTCACAAGTTCTTTGATGGTGATTGGTGATATCTTAGTGTGTGTCTTAATGGGCATTGAAATATGAATTAGAAAACTAACTTGAACATTTTCACTATTCTTTTTGACCAGTAGACTCGAACCATCAATATTTGGGGGAAGAAAAGAAGAATTAGGTGATACTAATTTATAGTGATGTCTAAGACGACTTAGCATCCCCTTCGCTCACTTGAGAAGGCTGAGTTTTGCCAGTGCGGCATTTTGCAGTATTTTTCTGCTGCTTTCCCACAGCCTAGATAAGTTTCCCATCTACTAATGTATCACACATGTGGACCTGACAGGTGTCCTTACATAGGAAAATTAGTTTCAGAACAAAAACAGTCATTCAGTAGAGGCCATTGAGTCGTTGCTGCTCAGTATGTGGCTTTCAGTAAACACAAAATTGCCTGCTGGTCAATTATCCAGCCCTCAGGCTCTCACAGCAGCCCAAGAGGATTTCTTTCTCAGGGAGAGCCAGAGTCTCATTCTGGTCTGGTTTTTATGTTTGGCAGTTTTTCACCTGCCATTACTCTGGTTTTTCAAATAAATAGGATCCAGAGTAAACATTTTAGCTATTAGCCAAAGGATACATGGTAATAATGTTTGGTAGTTTTCCAAAACTCTTCTACATGTATTCAGTAAAAATGAGGAAACGCCTCAGTGCGTGCTAGCCCTGCCTCTCCACTTCCTGTGCTGCAGTGGAGAAGGGGCAGCTCACCACAGGCCTGGCTTTGTGTCCTGACAGAGATGCTGTTGTCGGGGCCCTGATGCCGGCCGCCATGATCGCCCCGGTGGAGTGCCCCTCGTTCTCCTCGGCGGCCCCTTCCGACGCATCTGCGATGGCTAGTCCCATGAATGGAGAAGAATGCATGCTGGCTGTTGATATCGAAGACAGACTGAGTCCAAATCCATGGCAAGAAAAGAGAGAGGTAAAAGCGAATCTAAAGCAATGTTAGATCAGAAAGGAAAAGGTGGCTACTTTGTGTCTAGGAAAGTCTCATTGTGTCATTTAGTTTAGGCTGTTTCTGTGCCTCCCGCTTAGATTTTTGGCTTTACTTAGAAGAATATTCTCTGTAAAGGAGCTTTTAAAGTGCTTAAGTGGAATTGGCTTTCTTTTATTAAAAAAACCATTAAATCAAGTTCACAGTCCTTTATCTGCAATTCTGAAACCTTAAAGTTCTGACAGTCAAGAATTTTAGTAACATTTTGGGGGAAAGAACCAACTCGAAGATATGTGAACTCATTTTAGTCTGGTTCATGTGACCTGCTGTGAATATTAATAGTTATTCTTGAAAATATGAATGTGCTTGACTTTGCAAAACTGTCCTAGGCCTGACTGGGGGTGGTAGTGGCTATGTCTGGTGGGCACCATGTTACCTCTGTAAAATCTGGAACATTCTAAACAGCCCAAGTAGTTTTAGGTAAAGCATTTGGGACTTGCATAGGAAATGTGTTATGTTGCTGAGTTTTTCCACTTAAACTTCCCCTACTGTGCACTCTTGGACTAGATTGTTTCCTCTGAGGACGCAGTGACCCCCTCTGCAGTGACTCCGTCGGCCCCCTCAGCCTCCGCTCGGCCTTTTATCCCAGTGACGGATGACCTGGGAGCCGCAAGCATCATTGCAGAAACCATGACCAAAACCAAAGAGGTGAAGAGGCGTTCTTCTTTAACTTTGTATTGTGAAATAATCTTAAATGTACACAGAAGTAGAAATAGAACTTAGGAGTGGAACACAGTCTATTCCTATCCCATTCACCTCGGCTGTCCACTTGTTAGCATCTTCGAAGCGTTTGTGGGAATGCCGCAGGACACGGTCCCTGTCACTGCTTACTGCTTCCACGTGTATTCCTTGAGTATCAGGACTGCAGCTTGATCCAGGATTACTTTCAAACCCACAGACATATTCAGATTTTGCTCATCATCCCAATAGTATCCTTAAAGGTCTAGCACTCAACCTAGGATTGCATGTTGCCTCTTTAGTCTTCAGTGTGGAACAGTCCTTCAGTTCTTCGTTTTGACAGACACCACAGGAACGGTGCAGAATTCTTTTCAGTGCCTCCATTAGGACTCACGCATTGCTGATTTGCTGCATCATTGGTGAGATAGCTTATCACTTGGTTAAGGGTCTCTGCCAAGTTTCTCCACTGGAAGTCAGTAAGTGTGTTAAGTACTCATGGGGAGATACTTTTGAGATTATGTCAATGTCTTGTTCCTCATCATACTTTTACCTCCCAGTTTTTAGCATCTTAAAGATTCTAGCTGAATCCATTATTACTGTGGTGGTTGTCACATTTTCATTGTTCACATTTATTGTTACTTCTGGAATGTAATTGTTGCCATTCTTTTGCAAGAGACAGCTTTCCCTTCTCATCCGTCTGTCTTCTACCTACCTACCTACCTGTCTTTTTATATTGTATAGAATCAGGAGTTCCTGTTTTAGTCAAATAGTGACGTTTGTTGCTATCATTATTTGACACCCAAATGGTCCTGGACTTGGTTATTGGGACTCCCATGGACTGGTCACTGGGACTCGGTCACTGGGACTCCCGTGGACTGGTCACTGGGACTCGGTCACTGGGACTCCCGTGGACTGGTCACTGGGACCCGGTCATTGGGACTCCCGTGGACTGGTCATTGGGATCCCTGTGGACTGGTTCCATTGTCTGATGTGTCCCCATAATTTTTAGGGCTCTTCCTTCATTTCTGGCACAACTGTGCTCTAGACTTATCTTTCACCTACCCTCCCCCTGCCTGGAATCAGCCATTTCTTCAAGAAGCCATGGTTCCTGCTAGTGGCTTGTAGGATTTGGAAACCGAGATCTGGGTGCTTGGTAAGCTAATTGTTACTGAGTGTCTTTGGTTAGGCCCTCTCAGCAAATAGACCTATACACATGAACATTTATTTATCCTTCTGCATTTATCTATATAATAAAAACCATTAACAGCCCAAATCAGTACTTTTAATTCCAATCCAGTACCACAGGGCTTATTCCTACTCTCCCTTTTTCCATATTTTTTTGGTGTATAATGCTTTTATATGTTGCTAGATTTGGTTTGCTGCTATTTTGTTGAAGATTTTTACATCTGTATTCATAAGGGATACGGCTCTGTAGTTTTCTTGTGATGTCTTTGGTTTGGATATTATAGCAATATTGGCTTCATAGATTGAGTTGGAGGGTGTGCCTTTCTCTTCTGTTTTTTAGAAGAGTTGGTGAAGCATTCGGGTTAATTCTTCTTTAAGTAGTTGGTAGAATTTTATGTGTTCTTCTGGCATATTCCCATCATTCTTTGAGTATTTCCTTACTTTTTGGCACAACACAAAATTCCAGGCTCAATAAGATGTTTTATGCTCCAACATAGGAATCAGTTGTGTTTCTGAGAAGTCCTAGTTCTTTCTGGTGGAGAAGGGCATTTAGAGGTCAAGATCTGGGCCCTTTGTGTGCTTGTTGCTGTTTGGGTGACAGGGCTAGAGAATGAATATGTGTGTGTGTAACATAATAGGTACATACATCAGTTTTTGTTTTTGTTTTGTTTTTAGACAGGGTCTTGTTCTGTTGCCCAGGCTGCAGTAGAGTGGCACGATCTTGGCTCACTGCAGCCTCAACCTCCTGGTCTCAAGCCATCCTCAGCCTCCCAAGTAGCTGGAACTACAAGCATGCACCACCATACCTGGCTAATTTTTGTATTTTTTTTTTTCTCTTTTTTTTTCAGAGATAGGTTTTGCCATGTTGCCCAGGCTGGTCTTGAACTCCTGGGCTCAAGTGATCTGCCTGCCTCATCCTCTCAAAGTGCTGGGATTACAGGCATGAGCCACCGTGTTTGGCCTACATCAGTATTTGTGTTGTTATATATTTACGTACATGGAAAACCACCGGTTCACACCAATATGATTGATTGTAACCCAACTAAGATTCATTCTAGTTTTCACCCTTTCTGTATTTATAACTTCCTTCTCTGAAAGTGGGAAACCTGGCTCCTGTCATCAGCAGACTATTTACTTACAGTTCAGTCCCCTTAGATAACCAACCTCCGATCTTGGCTGTCCCCCACTCCGTGGTGGGCACCTTTCTTCCTCTGTACATCCTCTGGCACTCAGAACCAGTCTGCCTCCATGGTCCTCCATGGTCACCCTACGTGACCTCTGGCCCTCCCCTCACCTCCATGTTGACCCAGAGTGTGGCACCTTCCTCACTTGGCCTGGCTGTGTCTCTCCAACCCCCCATGTGTGGATGCCTTCCCCAGCCCGCTGAGGCGCTCCCCACACCAGGCCAGCCCCTGCTCATGTGTACTCCCTTGCCAGCCTTTCCACCTTGAGGGCAAACACTTTATTTTTAATTACATTTGGAACCCTTGATTTATTATGCTGTTACTGCTGGCAGAAAATATGTCCTACAGAAATTATTTATAACCATCCATGGTAGTAAGAAAGCCTCTATTTATGAATTAGGTGCCTGGAATCAACTTCTAATTTTTGGCAGTCTCCTGGTTTGAGGGTTTAATGCAGAACTTATTCTGAGGAAGGCAACATTTTTGTTTTAGGTAAAAGGATAATATGATTTATTTCCCCCCAATTTATTTATGAGACATAGGCATTATCCAGGTTGCAACCCTGTATTTCTATTATTTCAGTTTTGGCTTGACTCATGAATTTAAGGCAAAGCAATTTTAATGTTAGTATTAAGCTATAATTCATATTTAAGGATATGCCGCTAGTGATTTTCTTCCTTAGCAATTCTTCTAGACATATTTTCTGTGTTTGTGTGTGTGCATGTTTTAAGACACCCTCATAAAAAAAAATGGTAGGTACATTTCAATCTCAAGACTAAAGATATTCTTGTTAATATGTTTCACTGAATGCTTTTGCTGTCCTTCAGTGAGTTATGTTCTGGAATGTCATCATTTATAATGAATTTCCCTTACTCCTTGTGTCTCCATGCAGAGGCAGGAGCAAGGTCTGTTTCCCAAAAGGGAGAGGAACCTTGTTCCTAAATCAGAGTGGTGTGGTTTCCAGGGTCCACTGGTTGGGTCATTTTCCCCTTAAGGGGAACATGTGGGGCTGTCCTTCCCCCAGCCTGTTTATGTTTGTGGAAAGAGTTGCACTGGATTTGCTGAGGTCCAGAAAGCAGGAGAGAAAAGCGGCACTTCCCTGGCTCTCGATCTTCCTCTGGGGAGCCAGACTCTGCCTGGGGAATGAGAAGGGCTTGACACACTCCTGCTCTGCACAGGGTCACAGCGGTTCCCATGCTGGGTCGGAAGCGGTGGGAGTCCCTGGCACTGACAAGGGCCTTTCCCGTTTCCACAAGCTCAGCCCCAGTGCTGCCCTCCAGGAGGCTTCTGTGTGCCAACAAGCAGGGTGGGGGCGGCCATCCTGGGCAAGGCACCTCCATAGGGTGGGAGCTGGGGGTGCAGTGATGCTGGGAATTGGCTCATAGCAAACAAGGAGAGGAGTTGAAGGATCAAGATGTGGTATGTTTAGGCTGACATGGCAGGAATGGGAAGTACACGAGTGGTAATGAGAAGACTTTTATGTATGATGTTTTCAATGAACCCAAGGAGAGAGAGAGACTGGATAGTGTGTTAATGCCAGTGAGTTGCTTGAAATAAGATTCCAGGAAAGAATTATGGAGAGGATCTAGACAAAATGTATACAATTAGAGAATACAAATTTAGTTTGTAAACGATTCCCTAGCGTATCTTATGGGTAGATTATACAGGATGCAGCTTCATTCCAAAACTCCCCCTGTAGTATCTGCTTATGATCCAAACTTGGTCCCAGTAATAAATTGTCATTTCTTTATAGCTTAAGTCATCCCTTTTTGATAAATGCCATTGGTAATACAACAGTTAATTGGTCTTGAAAACATAGTACATGGCTTGGTGGAGATTTTAGGGGCCGTCGTTTCTTAATCTGTTTCTTAAGGTCTTAAACACCTTCAGGTTTCTTACTCGTTGGTATTCATGTGTTCTCTGAGTTTATGGGTAAACTGGTGACTCTTTATCTCTTAGCATATCATTCCTCATGTTAATTGTTGGATGTCATTTGACTTAGGATGTTGAAAGCCAAAATAAAGCAGCAGGTCCGGAGCCTCAGGCCTTGGATGAGTTCACCAGTCTGCTGATTGCGGATGACACTCGTGTGGTGGTAGACCTGCTCAAGCTGTCAGTGTGCAGCCGGGCCGGGGACAGGGGCAGGGATGTGCTCTCCGCGGTGCTTTCCGGCATGGGGACCGCCTACCCACAGGTGAGTCTCAGGGAGGGCGGGGCCGTCTGATTCCACCTCCTCCATGTTGGGCCACCCTCCTCTCCAAAGGAGAGCTGCTATGGATCACCGGTGATCTTGTGCTGGGTTTCATCCTAGTAGACTGCAGGTTAGGAGCACTCCTTTAGAGCAAAACGTTTTAGCATTTAACCCAGTGACATCCTTTACCTGTTTTTTGTTTTTTTGAGACGGAGTCTCGCTCTGTCGCCCAGGCTAGAGTGCAGTGGCGCCATCTCGACTCACTGCAAGCTCTGCCTCCTGGGTTCACACCATTCTCCTGCCTCAGCCTTCCAAGTAGCTGGGACTACAGGTGCCCACCACCATGCCCGGCTAATTTTTTTTGTATTTTTAGTAGAGTCGGGGTTTTACCATGTTAGCCAGGATGGTCTTGATCTCCTGACCTCGTGATCCACCTGCCTCAGCCTCCCAAAGTGCTGGGATTACAGGAGTGAGCACCAAACCTGGCCCCTTTACCTGTTTTATAACTGATTTGTGCATCTTTTTAAAATGATTTGTCAAAGTTCTTTAAGTCCCTTTTCTATCATATGTCTTACAGTTTCCACCCCAGTTTATTTTTTGATATTAGTTTGATATTTTTTGCCATGTAGAAATTTTTAATTATTATGTGGTCAAATCTGTCAGTTTTTTTCATTTATGCCTTCTGAGTTTTGTATTATGCTGAAAAAAAAATGCTTGCTTATGTGACATTGTTTTAAATAAATTCTTCCAAGTTTTCGTCTAAGGTTTTTGAGACAGTCTCCTTCACCCGGGCTGGAGTGCGGTGGCGCAATCTCAGCCTCCCAGGATCACCTCTACCTCCCGGGATCAGGTGATTCTTGTGCCTCAGCTTCCTGAGTAGCTGGGATTACAGGCATGCGCCACGATGCCTGGCTAATTTTTGTATTTTTAGTTGAGATGGGGTTTCACCATGTTGGCCCGGCTGGTCTGGAACTGCTGACCTCAAGTGATCTACCCACCTTGGCCTCCCAAAGTGCTTGGGATTACAGGCATGAGCCACCATGCCCGGCCTTCTTCTAATTTTTTATGATTTCATGTATTGTTTACATTTTTTAGCCACCTGGGATTTATTTTGATGTAAGAATAAAGTAGGTATCCAACTTTACTTTTTTTCCTAGATGGTAAACCGGTTGCCCTAACATCATTTATTGAATAACTCATCTTTTCCCTGGTGATTTAAAAACCAGTTTTATCATATTCTAAATTCCTGTATGCATTTGGGTCTATTTACAAAACTTCTTAGGTTCTGATACTATGGTATTTTAACTATTACAGCTTTAAAATGTCTTTTAATATTTGGTAGCACTGGGTCTGTAGGACTTTGTCATTGTGGAAATGTTCTGGACCGGAGCCATCTGGGACCATTGGCACCAGCCACATATGGCCACTGCACACTGAAATATGGCTAGTGCACCTGAGGAACTGAAGGTTTTAAAACACTCAACTTGAGGCACATGTGGCTAGTAGCTGCTGAATTGGTCTGTAGGTCTGCAGTATAAAGTGAGCGTCTTACTAGTATGTCTTAGAAATAGGACTGATCAGTCGTAAAGGCCGTGGGCTTCCTTAAGAACTCTTCTTTATCAGCAGCCATGCTCTGCCCTGCCAGGGAGCCTGAGATGTCCTTCCTGGCTGCAGACACTTCATCCGTTTCTCTGGGTGCCTACTTTGTGTGGAGGAAAGTCTTACTCTGTCACTTAGTTTAGGCAGTTTCTGTGCCTATTAGGATTTTTGGCTTTAGTTAGAAGAATATTCTCTTTAAAGGAACTTCTGAAGTTTTTAAGTAGAATTATATTTAAAAAAAAAATCATTAAATGTAAGTTCATACTCCTTTATCTGAAATTCTGAAACGTTAAAGCTCTGATGGTCAGAAATTTTAGTAACTTACATGATCACCAAAACGATAAAGTACTTAAGTAGAGTTGAGCAGTCTTGAAAGCGCAGCAGAGTTTGGTAGATATTTTAGGGGCTTGTTATTTCTTCATCTGCTATTCATGAAGAACTAAAAAGCTGTAGGTATCCTTTTTTCTAGTTTTTTGAGACAAGTTACTTGGCATAATTCTAAGAGATGAAATCAAGGTGAATTACCATAAGCACTATTATTATTTTTCATAAGTTTATTGCATTTGTGAGAGGGAAGGGTATGAATGAGAACTTTGATTTAAAATAATGCTGAGCGGGGGGCGGTGCCAAGATGGCTGAATAGGAACAGCTCCAGTCTACAGCTCCCAGTGTGAGCAACGCAGAAGATGGGTGATTTCTGCATTTCCAACTGAGATACCAGGTTCATCTCACTGGGGCTTGTCGGACAGCGGGTGCAGGACAGTGGGTGCAGTGCACCGAGCATGAGCTGAAGCAGGGCGAGGCATCGCCTCACCTGGGAAGCACAAGGGGTCAGGGAATTCCCTTTCCTAGCCAAGCAAAGCTGTGACAGAAGGCACCTGGAAAATTGGGTCACTCCCACCCTAATACTGTGCTTTTCCAACGGTCTTAGCAAATGGCACACCAGGAGATTATATCTCGCGCCTGGCTCGGAGGGTCCCACGCCCACGGAGCCTCGCTCATTGCTAGCACAGCAGCCTGAGATCGAACTACAAGGCAGCAGCCAGGCTGGGGGAGGGGCGTCCACCGTTGCTGAGGCTTGAGTAGGTAAACAAAGCGGCCCGGAAGCTGAAACTGGGTGGAGCCCACCGCAGCTCAAGGAGGCCTGCCTGCCTCTATAGACTCCACCTCTGGGGGCAGGCCATAGCCGAACAAAAGGCAGCAGAAACCTCTGCAGACTTAAATGTCCCTGTCTGACAGCTTTGAAGAGAGTAGTGGTTCTCCCAGAACGGAGTTTGAGACCTGAGAATGGACAGACTGCCTCCTCAAGTGGGTCCCTGACCCCCGAGTAGCCTAACTGGGAGGCACCCCCCAGTAGGAGCAGACTGACACCTCACACGGCCGGGTACCCCTCTGAGACAAAACTTCCAGAGGAACGATCAGACAGCAACATTTGCTGTTCAGCAATATTCGCTGTTCTGCAGCCTCCGCTGCTGATACCCAGGCAAACAGAGTCTGGGAGTGGACCTCCAGCAAACTCCAACAGACCTGCAGCTGAGGGTCCTGACTGTTAGAAGGAAAACTAACAAACAGAAAGGACATCTACACCAAAACCCCATCTGTACATCACCATCATCAAAGACCAAAGGTAGATAAAACCACAAAGATGGAGAAAAAACAGAGCAGAAAAACTGAAAATTCTAAAAATCAGAGCATCTCTCCTCCTCCAAAGGAACGCAGCTCCTCACCAGCAATGGAACAAAGCTGGAAGGAGAATGACTTTGATGAGCTGAGAGAGGAAGGCTTCAGACGATCAAACTTCTCCGAGCTAAAGGAGGAAGTTCGAACCCATTGCAAAGAAGTTAAAAACCTTGAAAAAAGATTAGACGAATGGCTAACTAGAATAACCAATGCAGAGAAGTCCTTAAAGGAGCTGATGGAGCTGAAAACCATGGCATGAGAACTACGTGACAAATGCACACACTTCAGTAGCCAATTCGATCACCTGGAGGAAGGGGTATCAGTGATTGAAGATCAAATGAATGAAATGAAGCGAGAAGTTTAGAGAAAAAAGAATAAAAAGAAATGAACAAAACCTCCAAGAAATATGGGACTATGTGAAAAGACCAAATCTATGACTGATTGGTGCACCTGAAAGTGATGGGGAGAATGGAACCAAGTTGGAAAACACTCTGCAGGATATTATCCAGGAGAACTTCCCCAATCTAGCAAGGCAGGCCAACATTAAAATTCAGGAAGTACAGAGAATGCCACAAAGATACTCCTCGAGAAGAGCAACTCCAAGACACATAATTGTCAGATTCACCAAAGTTGAAATGAAGGAAAAAATGTTAAGGGCAGCCAGAGAGAAAGGTCGGGTTACCCACAAAGGGAAGCCCATCAGACTAACAGCGGATCTCTGGGCAGAAACTCTACAAGCCAGAAGAGAGTGGGGGCCAATATTCAACATTCTTAAAGAGAAGAATTTTCAACCCAGAATTTCATATCCAGCCAAACTAAGCTTCATAAGTGAAGGAGAAATAAAATCCTTTACAGACAAGCAAATGCTGAGAGATTTTGTCACCACCAGGCCTGCCCTAAAAGAACTCCTGAAGGAAGCACTAAACATGGAAAGGAACAACCGGTACCAACCACTGCAAAAACATGCCAAATTGTAAAGACCATCAATGCTAGGAAGAAACTGCATCAACTAACGAGCAAAATAACCAGCTAACATCATAATGACAGGATCAAATTCACACATAATAATATTAACCTTAAATGTAAGTGGGCTAAATGCTCCAATTAAAAGACACAGACTGGCAAATTGGATAAAGAGTCAAGACCCATCAGTGTGCTGTATTCAGGAAACCCATCTCATGTGCAGAGACACACATAGGCTCAAAATAAAGGGATGGAGAAAGATCTACCAAGCAAATGGAAAACAAAAAAAGGCAGGAGTTGCAATCCTAGTCTCTGATAAAACGGACTTTAAACCACCAAAGATCAAAAGAGACAAAGAAGGCCATTACATAATGGTAAAGGGATCAATTCAATAAGAAGAACTAACTATCCTAAATATCTATGCACCCAATAAAGGAGCACCCAGATTCATAAAGCAAGTCCTTAGAGACCCACAAAGAGACTTCGACTCCCACACAATAATAATGGGAGACTTTAACACCCCACTGTCAACATTAGACAGATCCATGAGACAGAAAGTTAACAAGGATATCCAGGAACTGAACTCAGCTCTGCATCAAGCCAACCTAATAGACATCTACAGAACTCTCCACCCCAAATCAATAGAATATACATTCTTCTCAGCACCACACCGCACTTACTCCAAAATTGACCACATAGTTGGAAGTAAAGCACTCCTCAGCAAATGTAAAATAACAGAAATTATAACAAACTGTCTCTCAGACCATAGTGCCATCAAACTAGAACTCAGGATTAAGAAACTCACTCAAAACTGCTCAACTACATGGAAACCGAACAACCTGCTCCTGAATGACTAGTGGGTACATAACGAAGGCAGAAATAAAGTTGTTCTTTGAAACCAACGAGAACAAAGACACAACATACCAGAATCTCTGGGACACATTTAAAGCAGTGTGTAGAGGGAAATTTATAGCACTAAATGCCCACAAGAGAAAGCAGGAAAGATCTAAAATTGACACCCTAACATCACAATTAAAAGAACTAGAGAAGCAAGAGCAAACACATTCAGAAGCTAGCAGAAGGCAAAAAATAACTAAGATCAGAGCAGAACTAAAGGAGATAGAGACACAAAAAACCCTTCAAAAAATCAATGAAGCCAGGAGCTGGTTTTTTGAAAAGATCAACAAAATTGATAGATCTCTAGCAAGACTAATAAGAAAAGAGAGAAGAATCAAGTGGATGCAATAAAAAATGATAAAGGGGATATCACCACTGATTCCATAGAAGTACAAACTACCATCAGAGAATACTACAAACACCTCTACACAAATAAACTAGAAAATCTAGAAGAAATGGATAAATTCCTGGACACATACACCCACCCAAGACTAAACCAGGAAGAAGTTGAATCTCTGAATAGACCAGTAACAGGCTCTGAAATGGAGGCAATAATTAATAGCTTACCAACCAAAAAAAGTCCAGGACCAGATGGAATCACAGCTGAATTCTGTCAGAGGTACAAAGAGGAGCTGGTACCATTCCTTCTGAAACTATTCCAATCAATAGAAAAAGAGGGAATCCTCCCTAACTCATTTTATGAGGCCAGCACCATCCTGATACCAAAGCCTGGCAGAGACACAACAAAAAGAATTTTACACCAATATCCCTGATGAACATTGATGCAAAAATCCTCAATAAAATACTGGCAAACCGAATCCAGCAGCACATCAAAAAGCTTATCCACCATGATCAAGTGGGCTTCATCCCTGTGATGCAAGGCTGATTCAACATATGCAAATCAATAAACGTAATCTAGCATATAAACAGAACCAAAGTCAAAAACCACATGATTATCTCAATAGATGCAGAAAAGGCCTTTGACAAAATTCAACAGCCCTTCATGCTAAAAACTCAACAAATTCAGTATTGTTGGGATGTATCTCAAAATAATGAGCTATTTATGACAAACCCACAGCCAATATCATACTGAATGGGCAAACACTGGAAGCATTCCCTTTGAAAACTGGCACAAGACAGGGATGCCCTCTCTCACCACTCCTGTTCAACATAGTGTTGGAAGTTCTGGCCAGGGCAATCAGGCAGGAGAAAGAAATAAAGGGTATTCAATTAGAACAAGAGGAAGTCAAATTGTCCCTGTTTGCAGATGACATGATTGTATATCTAGAAAACCCCATCGTCTCAGCCTAAAATCTCCTTAAGCTGATCAGCAACTTCAGCAAAGTCTCAGGATACAAAATCAATGTGCAAAAATCACAAGCATTCTTATACATCAATAACAGACAAACAGCAAAATAATGAGTGAAATCCCATTCACAATTGCTTCAAAGAAAATAAAATACCTAGGAATCCAACTTACAAGGGATGTGAAGGACCTCTTCAAGGAGAACTACAAACCACTGCTCAATAAAATAAAAGAGGATACAAACAAATGGAATAACATTCCATGCTCATGGATAGGAAATCGTGAAAATGGCCATACTGCCCAAGGTGATTTATAGATTCAATGCCATCCCCATCAAGCTACCAATGACTTTCTTCACAGAATTGGAAAAAACTACTTTAAAGTTCATTTGGAACCAAAAAAGAGCCCGCATTGCCAAGTCAATCCTAAGCCAAAAGAACAAAGCTGGAGGCATCACACTACCTGACCTCAAACTATACTACAAAGCTACAGTAACCAAAACAGCATGGTACTGGTACCAAAACAGAGATATAGACCAATGGAACAGAACAGAGCCCTCAGAAATAATACCACACATCTACAACTATCTGATCTTTGACAAACCTGACAAAAACGAGAAATGGGGAAAGGATTCCCTATTCAACAAATGGTGCTGGGAAAACTGGCTAACCATGTGTAGAAAGCTGAAACTGGATCCCTTCCTTACACCTTACACAAAAATTAATTCAAGATGGGTTAAAGACTTAAATGTTAGACCTAAAACCATAAAAACCCTAGAAGAAGACCTAGGGAATACCATTCAGGACATAGGTATGGGCAAGGACTTCATGTCTCAAACACCAAAAGCAATGGCAACAAAAGCCAAAATTGACAAATGGGATCCAATTAAACTAAAGAGCTTCTGCACAGCAAAAGAAACTACCATCAGAGTGAACAGGCAACCTACAGAATGGGAGAAAATTTTTGCAATCTACTCATCTGACAAAGGTCTAATATCCAGAATCTACAAAGAACTCAAAGAAATTTACAAGAAAAAAACAACCCCATCAACAAGTGGGCGAAGGATATGAACAGACACTTCTCAAAAGAAGACATTTATGCAGCCACCAGACACATGAAAAAATGCTCATCATCACTGGCCATCAGAGAAATGCAAATCAAAACCACAATAAGATACCATCTCACACCAGTTAGAATGGCGATCGTTAAAAAGTCAGGAAACAACAGGTGCTGGAGAGGATGTGGAGAAATAGGAGCACTTTTACACTGTTGGTGGGAGTGTAAACTAGTTCAACCACTGCGGAACACAGTGTGGCGATTCCTCAGGGATCTAGAACTAGAAATACCATTTGACCCAGCCATCCCATTACTGGGTATATACCCAAAGGATTATAAATCATGCTGCTATAAAGACACATGCACACATATGTTTATTGTGGCACTATTCACAATAGCAAAGACTTGGAACTAACCCAAATGTCCAACAATGATAGACTGGATTAAGAAAATGTGGCATATATACACCATGGAATACTATGCAGCCATAAAAAAGGATGAGTTCATGTGCTTTGTAGGGATATGGATGAGCTGGAAACCATCATTCTCAGCAAACTATCACAAGGACAAAAAAACCAAACACTGCATGTTCTCACTTATAGGTGGGAATTGAACAATGAGAACACTTGGACACAGGAAGGGGAACATCACACACCAGGGCCTGTTTTGGGGTGGGGGGAGGGGGGAGGGATAGCATTAGGAGATATACCTAATGTAAATGATGAGTTAATGGGTGCAGCACAACAACATGGCACATGTGTACATATGTAACAAACCTGCACGTTGTGCACATGTACCCTAGAACTTAAAGTATAATAAAAAAATATATATATAAAATAATGCTGAGCATTTGCCATGCACATCCCCACATTCTCAGTAGAGAGGGTAGGGGTTACCTTTATATATGGATGAGGAAACTGAGGCTGAGAGGTTACTGCTGGCTTGAGGACACTCACTTTGCTGGTAGGTGGAAGAGATGGGTTGGAACCCTGAGTGTCTGAGCCCCAGCTCCATCATGACCCCTCTGCAGATGATGTGCTTGGCAGAGCAACCTTCTGAAGGCCAGAGCCCCTGATCGACTCTGCACATGGGCGCTTGATGATGCCAACATCTGCTTTCAGTTACTCAGCCAGGTTCCAGGAGAGACAAGAATAAGGATACGGCCGTTTTCAAACTGCCCTTGCCAGGTTGGCAAGATGGCTATTTCTGTGTCCTGCCCTGACCTGATATTTGGGACTCAAAAAGAGAGACAAATTTAGATTTAAAATCATGCCTATGTGACAATGATATTAGTTTGTTAATATATAATATTTACTAAGCAAAGCTATTTCTTACCTAAATATGAGGAATAATAGAAAAAAGAATAATCTATTTCTAAAAAGTATAGAATGGGCATTAGAAGAGTTTTATTTTTTCTGGATTAAAAATGTTGGGGTTAATAGATTATTGCTGTTATGATGTATTCTCTCATTTATTTTTAAAAATAACAGAGTTTATAATCACCACTCTTAACCTTAATCGTAAAAGATGTGAATCATCAATAAGTTTTAAAATAAAATAAGAACACTGTGGATTGTTGAGAATGTGGTATGGGTCTGACCCCTAGTGTACTGGGTCAGCAGGGGCAGCTGTGTTGGGGTCGGCGGTCCCTCCTGTCACAGACTCTCCCTGTCTCTGTCTGGCCTGAGCGGCTTGATGGTTCCTGATTCCCGCCCCTCCCACCGGGCTCCGTTGCCTTCTAGGATTGTGGTCATTTTCACCTACTGGGTGCTCCTTCCCTTGATGTTTTTGTTTCCGAGGCCAACTTTCCTCACTAGGAAGTAATCTTGTCTTGGTGTAAAATGAAGCTATTGTCACCACGGTGTTTCATTTTATCAGCTGGCACATATTAAGTGTTGTGTGTGTTGGGAGCCTTCCAACTACTTTTTTTTCTTTTTCTTTTTTCGAGACAGAGTCTCTCTCTGTCGCTCAGGCTGGAGTGCAGTGGTGCAGTCTCAGCTCACTGCAACCTTCACCTCCTGAGTTTAAGCGATTCTCCTGCCTCAGCCTCCTGGGTAGGTGGGACTACAGGCACGGGCCACCATACCCAGCTAATTGTATTTTTAGTAGAGACGGGGTTTCACCGTACTGGCCAGGCTGGTCTTGAACTCCTGACCTCCAGTGATCTGCCTGCCTCGACCTCCCAAAGTGCTTGTATTACAAGTGTGAGCCACTGCGCTCCACCCAATGACTTTTTTTGTTTGAGACGCAGTCTCGCTCGGGTCACCCAGGCTGGAGTGCAACGGTGTGATCTCGGCTCACCGCAACCTCTGCCTCCCAGGTTCAAGTGATTCTCCTGCCTCAGCCTCCTGAGTAGCTAGGATTACAGGCATGCACCACCACGCCCAACTAAGTTTTTATTTTTAGTAGAGATGGGGTTTCTCCATGTTGGTCAGGCTGATCTCGAACTCCTGACCTCAGGTGATCCGCTTGCCTCGGCCTTCCAAAGTGCTGGGATTCCAGGCGTGAGCCACCGTGCCTGGCCCCAACGACTTTTTAACATAGATCATCCCTAAGCTTCACAGCATCTTACAGGCTCTGTGCTGTCTCTGTTTTATGTGCAAGGAAGCCAAGCCCTGATTTGAACTCAATTTCTCAAACTCCAAGCCCTCCACTCTGCCACGCTGTCCTTGTGGAGCTCCTGAGCAGGACGGGCAGAGGTGGCATGCAGGTGACCAGGTGTGGGGCTGTTGGCCCCCTCATTCATGTCCTTGCTTCCTCTCCAGGTGGCAGATATGCTGTTGGAGCTCTGTGTCACCGAGTTGGAGGATGTGGCCACAGACTCGCAGAGCGGCCGCCTCTCTTCTCAGCCTGTGGTGGTGGAGAGTAGCCACCCTTACACCGACGACACCTCCACCAGTGGCACAGTGAAGATACCAGGTACAGGGGCTGGCCCCAGCGGGGAGCTGCAGCCTTTCCCACCTTCAGAATGATGTGATTCTGTAATTGCTTCAGTAGAAACAACCATCTCCATTTTATAAAAAGAAGTTACAGAATTGCTTTAGAATCACTTTTCTCCCCTTTTCTAACAAACTACTTTTGCACAATAAATCATGATATAGAAAGTCACACAAAGTAAATGTTTAGCTTCATGATAATCAGGCAGATGCCCTAGTCATCATGACCCAAGTCTAGACCTAACCTGTGGCAAATTCTGGAAGCCCTCAGTGTATCCCCTGATGTTCCTCTGAGTGATGCTGTCCTGATATTGATCCATCACTGACTTGCATTTCTGGACAGCTTCTGTTACCCATGTGTATATCTTTTGTTTTTAACAACTCAACAAAAATTATTAAGAAGAAAATTGTTGAGGCCCCGGCCTTTGATCTGGCGGGCTTCACTGCAGCCTGGATCTGCTGACTGGACACGTGTGCTGCTGTTCAGTGTGTTCCTCAGGCCCGTCCTTCTGCAAGGTGCTGCCCGATTCGGAGGCCCATAAGTTCCGCCCCTTTTGCCAGCTCCTTAGTGGTTGTGACTCAGCCTCAGCAGGCACCTCCTGCCTGCCTGTCTTTGCTTTGTGACATCAGCAGTCCCTGAGGCTTATTAGCACCCGAGGCTATTGGCCCATGAGGGGCTACAAATGGTGCTATTCTAGTGGAATCATTTCTTGCTTATTTGTTAGCTGGAATACTTTCCTGTAAAGAGGCATTTCCCTTCATCCTGTAGTTAGTTGTTCAAGGTGCTGTTTGCCTGAGAAAGACAAGATAAAAGCTTGATTCTTTCTTCCATTTACCAGAGAATGAATTGGTTTCCTATTATTTCTTGAAGGTGACCTGTTTTTTTTTTTAATGTTATTATGAACTCATGGATTGGAACATATGTGATTGTTTTACTCTATTGTTATTATCTTTGTTGAAGCTGAGATTATCCTGTTTCTAGACAGTGGCAGCCTCTTCAGTGTAGCTCCCGAAGTGATTCTGGTAGTCTTCAGTAGCGTCCAGGCAGTCTACACAAGGTGTCCTCGGTTTTTTGTAGGTTGCCACTCTTCACCTGGGGTCTGCCCTGGATTCTTTTGAGTTCATACTGATACTTAAAAATTTTTTCCTTTTATTTATTTTTTATATTTTATTTATGTATTTATTTGTTTAGAGATAGGATCTTGCTCTGTCATCCAGGCTGGAGTGCAGTAGTGCAATTATAGCTCACTGTAGCCTCGAATTCCTGGGCTCAAGTGATCCTCCTGCCTCAGCCTCCTGAGTAGCTAGGAGTACAGACACATGCCACCTTGCCTGGCTAATATGCTGATTCCTTCTACTCAAATTCAAAAGTATGGGGTCTGTACTTCTTCTGTTACATCTGTCTCTCCTTTCTTCCATATCAAATCCTGGTTCCAAGAGTGTTTGATAAAATATCTCATGATTTTTCATTTGCTTTACATAACCACATTTCATACACGACAGACTTAGGATATAATTTCAATACTGCCAACATCAGTATAATTACTGAAATTCTTAAAAATCTTAGAATATGCCCTAATTTTCTCGAATTTATTAAAATAATTATACTGCATCTACAAGAGCATAATAGCTGTTACATACTATACTTTCTTTCAGTCTTCAAGTCTTAGTTTTACTGACTGGTCCTCGTGGGGTCTGAAGTGGACTCTAGTGAATTCCTCATTAGTCCCTGAGATCAGACTTGTCCATGAGAGTTTTTGTCCTTCAAATTTGAAAGGTAGTTTTTCTGGATATTAAAGCCTTGGATCATGTCTTTTTCCTCTGTGAAAGTATGATAATGATAACATCTTTTCCCCTTAGAAGTCACGTGTGTTTTTTCAGTAATTTTACTAGAATATACGTTCGTGTGGCCATTCTCGGTGATGTTCTCGGTTAGTTAGAAGCCGCGTGTGTTTTTTCTGTAATTTCACTAGAATGTCTGTGTGGCCGTTGTTGGTGATGTTCTTGGTTAGGAGCCGTGTGTGTTTTTTTGGTAATTTCACTAGAATGTACGTTCGTGTGGCCATTCTCGGTGATGTTCTTGGTTAGAAGCCGCGTGTGTTTTTTTCGGTGATTTCACTAGAGTATACGTTCATGTGGCTGTTCTCGGTGATATTCTCGGTTAGAAGCTGCGTGTGTTTTTTTGGTAATTTCACTAGAATGTACGTTCGTGTGGCCGTTGTCGGTGATGTTCTCGGTTAAGCCAGTGTGTGTTTTTCGGTAATTTTACTAGAATGTGGGTTCATTCGGCTGTTCTCGGTGATGTTCTCTGTTAGAAGCCGCGTGTTTTTTCAGTAATTTTACTAGAATATACATTCGTGTGGCCGTCCTCAGTGATGTTCTCGGTTAGAAGCCGCGTGTGTTTCTTCGGTAATTTTACTAGAACGTACGTTCATGTGGCCATTCTCGGTGATGTTCTCGGTTAGCAGCCGCGTGCGTTTTTTTCGTGATTTCACTAGAATGTGCATTTGTGCGGCTATTCTCAGTGATGTTCTCGGTTAGGAGCCGTGTGTGTTTTTCGGTAATTTTACTAGAATGTGCGTTTGTGTGGCCGTTCTAGGTGATGTTCTTGGTTAGAAGTCACGTGTGTTTTTTTGGTAATTTTACTAGAATGTGTGTTCGTGTGGCCGTTCTCGGTGATGTTCTCGGTTAGGAGCCGTGTGTGTTTTTTGGTAATTTTACTAGAATGTGCGTTCGTGTGGCTGTTCTTGGTGATGCTCTTGGTTAGAAGTCGCATGTGTTTTTTTGGTAATTTTACTAGAATGTGCGTTCGTGTGGCTGTTCTCGGCGATGTTCTTGGTTAGAAGTCACGTGTGTTTTTTCGGTGATTTTACTAGAATATACATTGGTGTGACCGTTCTTGGTTGGAAGTCGCGTGTGTTTTTTCGGTAATTTTACTAGAACGTGCGTTCATGTGGCCATTCTAAGTGATGTTCTCGGTTAGAAGTTGCATGTATTTTTTCGGTAATTTTACTAGAATGTACGTTCGTGCAGCCGTTCTCGGTGATGTTCTCGGTTAGGAGCCGCGTGTGTTTTTTTGGTAATTTTACTAGAACGTATGTTGGTGTGGCCATTCTCGGTGACGTTCTCGGTTAGGAGCCGCGTGTGTTTTTTTGGTAATGTTACTGGAATGTATGTTGGTGTGGCCGTTCTCGGTGACGTTCTCGGTTAGGAGCCGCATGTGTTTTTTTGGTAATTTTACTAGAATGTATGTTGGTGTGGCCGTTCTCGGTGACGTTCTCGGTTAGGAGCCGCGTGTGTTTTTTTGGTAATTTTACTAGAATGTATGTTGGTGTGGCCATTTTCGGTGATGTTCTCAGGAGCTGCGTGTGTTTTTTCGGTAATTTTACTAGAACACGTGTTCGTGTGGCCATTTTCGGTGATGTTTTCAGTTAGGAGCTGCGTGTATTTTTCGGTAATTTTTCTAGAATGTGCGTTCGTGTGGCCATTCTTGGTGATGTTCTCGGTTAGAAGTCGCGTGTGTTTTTTTGGTAATATTACTAGATTATACGTTCGTGTGGCTGTTCTTGGTGATGTTCTCGGTTAGGAGTCTCGTTTGTTTTTTCGGTAATTTTACTAGAATGTACGTTTGTGCGGCCGTTCTCGGTGATGTTCTCGGTTAGGAGCCGTGTGTGTTTTTTTGGTAATTTTACTAGAATGTATGTTGGTGTGGCCGTTCTCGGTGATGTTTCAGTTAGGAGTTGTGTGTTTTTTCAGTAATTTTACTAGAATATACGTTTGTGTGGCCGTTCTCAGTGATGTTCTCAGTTAGAAGTTGCGTGTGTTTTATCAGTAGTTTTACTAGAATGTACGTTCGTGTGGCCGTTCTCGGTGATGCTCTCGGTTAGAAGCCGCATGTGTTTCTTCGGTAGTTTTACTAGAATGCGCGTTCATGCAGCCGTTCTCGGTGATGTTCTCGGTTAGAAGCCGCATGTGTTTCTTCGGTAGTGTTACTAGAATGTGCGTTCGTGTGGCCGTTCTCGGTTAGCAGCCGCATGTGTTTTTTTGGTGATTTCACCAGAATGTACGTTCATGCGGCCGTTCTCGGTGATGTTCTCGGGTAAGGGGTGCTCCTTTAGTCTGTCGTCCCAAGTCTGTTTTGCAGGACGTTCTCTTGAATTACAGTCTGCAGTGTTTGTTCTGTAGCCTTGCTTAGCAGTCTTTTCTGGGGACACTTGGTAACTCTCCATGCATTGCATAGTTCATGCCTTTTAGAGTTAATGTTGGTTACTTTCTCTTTCAAGTACTTTCTACCTCTGTTTCTTTTTTTAAAATTTCCTCCTTTTTTCCTATTTGTCTTAAGGTAGCATCTGCTGTGTTTATTTGATTTTACACTCTGTTTTAGTCTCCATTGGAATGTAGTTTTATTGTAATTCTGTCTTCAGCTTTATAAAATGTTTTGGTTTTTGTAAGTCTGATTTATGTGGTTCTTTCATGTCTTGTATCATTTTTCTAATTTCACTCAATTTGTTTTGAAATGTTCAGGGTTGATGTGTTTTGTGGGTGTATCTTTCTGGCCTGCTTTTATTGCCTGTGGGGATGTTATTTTGTTCCTTATTCTCACTTTTCTTTTTTTTTTTTTTGGAGACACAGTCTTGCTCTGTCACCCAGGCTGAAGTGCAGTGGTGTGATTCTGACTCACTGCAGCCTCGACCTCCCAGGCTCAAGCCGTCCTTCCCCATCAGCCTCCCGAGAAGCTAGGACTACAGGCTTGTGCTGCCACACTTGGCTAACTTATTTTTATTTTTTGTGGAGATGAGTCTCTCTGTGTTGCCCAATCTTGTCTCAAACTCCTGGGCTCAAGCAGTCCTCCCAGCTGGGCCTCCCAAAGTGTTGAGATCGTTACAGGTGTGAGCCACTGTACCCAGCCTATTCCCTTTTTCTAACAATAACTTTTTATTGTATTTGGTCTTATACTTTTATCTCACTCACTTTTTTTGTGAAATCATTTTTCTTCAACTTTTAGAATGAGGTGTGAGATTCAGAAAAGCTTTGTCACTTTGTCGCCCAGGTTGGAGTATGGTAGCACGATCGTGGCTCACTACAGCCCCAAACTCTGGGCTCAAGCGATCCCCCTTCCTTAGCCTCCTGAGTAACTGGGACTATAGGCCGTGCCCAGCTAATTTTTAAAATTTTATATTTTAAAATATATAATATATAATAAAATATATAGCCTGTTGTCCAGGCCTGTCTTTAACTCCTGAGCTCAAACAAGCTGCCTGCCTCGGCCTCCCGAAGTGCTAAGATTACAGGAGTGTACCACTACATCTGGCCCAGAAAAGCATTTTTAAACTTGAAGCTATTACTTCATGATAGAAATTTAAAGAACAAAGGGTATTTCTAGTCAGCCTTTTCCTAGACGAAAATCTTGTGACCCTTTTTCTCTTCTGTTTCTCTCTCGCTTTATATCTAGTCCACCAGCAAATCCTGTTTTCTCTGCTTTTAAAATATATTCCAAATTCAACCATTTTTCCCTCACTCTAGACATTCTGGGCTAGAGCACCGTGGGGTCTCACCCAGTTTATCATCCTAGCAACCACATACTAGCTGCCTCCCTGTGTTCCTGCTTCCACTCCCCACCTCCTGCGGCCCCCCCAGAATCAGCTCCCAACAGAGCATGCAGAGATAGTATCTTAAAACCAGTCCAAGCCTGTCAACCCTGTAACCGTAAGAGAGGACCTGAGCCCCTGCCCCACGTCCCTCCTTCTTCCCTCCTTCCTCCCCTGCCTCTTTCCCGGCCTCTCAGTGCCATCCTCTGCTAGATCTTCCAGCCTGAAGGAAAACTCTTGTGCCTCTGCTCGCACACCTCTCACACCAGATGTGCGGGTTCTCCACACCAAGCGGTTCTCCAGTTCTCTGGACACGCCAGAAGTTGAGGTGCTCCTCACCTCCAATGCCGCTCACTCCCCAGGTGACCCACAGCTGCCATCTGACTTGGCTGCACACTGGGCATTCCCACAGCCCCTGGTCAGTGTGATGTTCGCTGTAAAGCTTGATCAGGGGAGTGTGGTTGCAGTAGGAAAGTCTGCCCGGGAGTGACCGCACAAAACAAATTGGCCAAGTGGAAGTGTTTTCTGGCCTTCCAGTCCACAGACATGATCTTCAGTGGGGATGAGCTGGGGAAAGAGTGGTCAGTCTGAGATGCTTGTCTTTGAGGCCAGTTCTTTCTGACTTTCTGCTATTCATTAGCTGTTAAATGTGGTTTTAGTTTCACTGTTTCTACTTTGGGTGCTGATCTGGAGTGGTTGCTATGTTTTGTGCTTGCCTGTCCTTCAGGTGCAGAAGGACTCAGGGTAGAATTTGACCGGCAGTGCTCCACAGAGAGGCGCCACGACCCTCTCACAGTCATGGACGGCGTCAACAGGATCGTCTCCGTGCGGTCAGGTAAGGACAGGAGGTTGAGCAGGGCATGATCTACCCACCTGTGTCTCCGTAGACACAACCCTTCACATTTGTAGGACAGAATGCTGCCTTCGTATTCTCATGGAAGTCTTAAGGAAGGGACAATATGCTATTCAGCTGTGAAACACAGTGGGTTTGCTTGCCTCTTTCCCATACTTTTAAATACAGTAATTATCTGTGATGTATGTACCACATCCCTGTCGGATGGGCCCTGCCTCATCAGACAGTTGCAGAAGGTGCTGGAGACGTGTGAGGTGCCAGAGCTCGTGTAAGGTCATGGTTGGCATACTGCAGAGCTTCTTCAAAAGGTTTGTTTCTTACTGGCTGCAGTGAGGGCATGGCCATGTGTGGAGTGACTTCTGTATGTAGGTGGAGGCAGCCACATGTCCGGCTTATCTCTGCTGCTGGGCTCCATGAGGCCAGCTGGGACAGGTCAGGTCCGTCTTTGGGTGCTTGTGAAATGCTCTTTTACCAAGTATTTTAGAATTGGCAGTGCAGGGGTGTGTGTATGCACCTTTTAAGACCTCTTTATCCTTCATCTCGAGTGTTTCCTGTAAAGGGCCAGGTAATGCAGCCTCTGTCATAACAACATGCAGACTGGATGCCAGAGAATGGGCGTGGCTGTGTCCCAGGAAAACTTTATTCACACAGTGTTACTTAGTTAAGTAAAGCTTTGCATGAAATGGTATGGTCCCAGTGCGCGTGGGTTTTTCTGGTGCTTTGACAGATGTCTGCCAGTGTAGTTTTCAGTAGTGTTGTTGGATGTGAGTTTTTCTGCATCCAGTGGAAAGCCTTTATGGGCCATCCCTGAGCTGCTGGCAGATGGTCCTTCTGAAGCAGAAATCTGGCAGGGTTCTCTTGGCCTTCTAAGATCCTGTAGATCTTAGGTGTAGTACACCACCGCTCCTGTCCACAGCAGCCAGGCCCTCTGCTCCCTCGAGGGCGGCCTACTCTGGGCCGTGCTGAACCACACACATAGGCCTTTTGTTGGGAGAGCTAGGGTTCTTCCTTCTGCTGCCTGGTCACCTGGTTGTATCAGAGCTTTCCCGGGAAATGTCCCCATGGCCCCTGGCCTGGTGTGTGCTGGACACCTGGAGGCCACTCACTGTATCCTGGCTGGTGGGGTCATTTCCCCACTGGGTGGTGGCTTCTGCCAGGGCAGTGTCTGCCCGCCTGCCGCAGTTTCCTGGGTACCTGGTACAGGGGCTGAATGCGTGTTTGCTGAAGAATGGTATGTATTAAAATGTGAATCCCAAGAGTGTTGTGTCACTGTGCACTTCGGCTTGGGAGAGCTTGGATTGGAGGAACTTGCTCTTCACACGTGACGGAAATCATTCTGCTTTGCGTCTAAGAAGGTTTGTGTTGATTGGATGATGGAGTGAAGCTAACCCCGGGGTGCGCTTTCCTCCCGCAGGCCGAGAGTGGTCCGACTGGTCCAGCGAGCTGCGCATCCCAGGGGATGAGTTAAAGTGGAAGTTCATCAGCGATGGGTCTGTGAATGGCTGGGGCTGGCGCTTCACCGTCTATCCCATCATGCCAGCTGCTGGTAAGGAAGGGGCTTATGGCGATCAAGGTTAGATGACTGGCTGTGGATTGTTTCTGGAGCAACAGGGACACGTGCACATGTCCACGTAGTGCCTGACAGCCTGCCTTCTGCTGTGTTGGAGTGAGTGCTCTCACAGGCCCTGCTGAGGCGTGGAACAGAACACAGATCTGTCCCAGCCATCCAGCTGTCAGGCTCACACTCCTCCTCACCTGGTGTGGAAGGAGTTGTTGCTGGTGCAGTTCTTAGGCTTTTGGTTTACAGTGGAAATGTGAGTGTGAAGAGCGAGTCTCACCGACTCGCAGTGGCATGCATGGGCACACCAGCTGTTGCCTTCTGGTGGGTGGGGCTGGGTGGAGCCACCCTTGTTCGTTGGCGGCTTCTTATGGGGTGGTACCTAGCTTGTGAAACCCGGGGATGTTTACAGTGTTCATTCACAGGCCCTAAAGAACTCCTCTCTGACCGCTGCGTCCTCTCCTGTCCATCCATGGACTTGGTGACGTGTCTGTTAGACTTCCGACTCAACCTTGCCTCTAACAGAAGCATCGTCCCTCGCCTTGCGGCCTCGCTGGCAGCTTGTGCACAGCTGAGTGCCCTAGGTAAATGCCACCATTACAGTTACATCTGTCTTCCTGCTTGGAAGAAACCATCAGACTTCTGATACTTTCTCTCTGCTCATTTCAGCTGCCAGTCACAGAATGTGGGCCCTTCAGAGACTGAGGAAGCTGCTTACAACTGAATTTGGGCAGTCAATTAACATAAATAGGCTGCTTGGAGAAAATGATGGGGAAACAAGAGCTTTGGTATGGAGCATTCTAGTACAATTTCTAGATTTGTGACCCTTGGGGAATAAAATGTTGCTTTAGTAGTCTAAACCTCTAAATCGTTGAGAGGAGTTGGGGAGTTTCACATAAGAATAAGGAGGCCTTGGACCGGGCGCGGTGGCTCATGCGTGTAATGCCACCACTTTGGGAGGCTGAGGTGGGCGGATCACGAGGTCAGGAGATCGAGACCATCCTGGCTAACACGGTGAAATCCTGACTCTACTAAAAATACAAAAAATTAGATGGGCGTGGTGGTGGGCACCTGTAGTCCCAGCTACTTGGGAGGCTGAGGCAGGAGAATCGCTTGAACCTGGGACGTGGAGGTTGGAGTGAGCTGAGATCCCGCCACTACACTCCAGCCTGGTGACAGAGCGAGACTCCATCTCAAAAAAAATAAATAAATGAATAAAAATAAGGAGGCCTTTGTCCCATCCAGACTTCTCGTATGTTGCAGTGTATACTGAGTTCAAGTTGGACTTTGATATTCTGAAAATCTGTCTCGACAGCTGTGAACATAGGATTGTGTTGATTGGACTTTACAATGAGGCTAACTGATTGGCCTCCCCTTTATTTTGCTGACTAAAGTAGTCCCTTTTGATCCTACCCATGGGACGAGACAGGCAGCGTTTGTGGGCCAGAGAGGGGCTATTTCTCTGGAAGCGGATGTACTGAAATCAAGACCAAACATTCTGAGATGAGTCTTCAAACTCCTCTTTTTTATTTCAGTGTTTATGTTCTTTTAGCTTTTTTCCTACTTGAGAATTTTGATAAGCTTTTTTTTTTTAGTTTTTTTAGAAGAGTTAGTACCAACATAATAAAACATTTGACGGTAGAAACAAATGGTCAGCCTCCCCGGCACCTGGATTCCTGCGATAGAATACTGTTCTGTTGTTTCTTAGAGTTTTACAGGTAGTGCTCTTGCTGCTTTGGTGAAAGGTCTTCCAGAAGCTTTGCAAAGGCAGTTTGAATATGAAGATCCTATTGTGAGGGGTGGCAAACAGCTGCTCCACAGCCCATTCTTTAAGGTAATGTTTCACTTCTTTTTTAAAGTGACAATAGAGCTATTTGACTGAAAGAGCCACTGAGAGTTGTCATGTGCAGTGTGTGTGTTTTAGGCCTCTGAGGGCAGCTGTAGGTATTGCTGAAGTCAAATATGAAAAAATCTCAAGAAATGATCGTGTAATCTAAACCCTTAAACCATAAGCCTGTAACCGTTAGCATGCCTTGAGATGCACAGGTGTTCTTGTCACTTGATGCAGGCAACAAGTGTTGCAGCAGTTGTGTGGCACGTGGCTAGGAACTGTCAGAGGTCGCCACATCACTGATGGTGGCCGTATCCTTGCTGTGCCCATGGCCGTCATCCTGGAATAGGAGGTCCTGCGGAAGGAGCCACAGAAACCTTGGCCTGTTCACTGCATTTCTGAGTTTCCCTGAGTTTGTCATTTTTGGTGCCTGCAGGTACTGGTAGCTCTTGCTTGTGACCTGGAGCTGGACACTCTGCCTTGCTGTGCCGAGACGCACAAGTGGGCCTGGTTCCGGAGGTACTGCATGGCCTCCCGTGTTGCTGTGGCCCTTGACAAAAGAACACCGTTGCCCCGTCTGTTTCTTGATGAGGTATTGCATGATATTTTGGAATCACTTTTGGGATGCAAAAACATTATTTAGCTATAGTGTAACAAGATGCCAATATTACGAGACACAGAAAAATTTCGCTTGCCAAGGAATATCAAAGAAAATAACACATAGGTGAAAATGAGTGAACTGACACTGTGAATTTCAGTTAAAGTTTATTTTTAGTAAACTACAGGTAGAATGATACTGTCTAGACATTTCTAATATGTTAGACTTGATGCAGTCATTATTGGTTTTGCCCATGAACCATAACATTGCAATGTTGCTCTTCCCTCATATTTTTAGGCAGGGATTCCTTCTGTCTTTCCTTAGTATTTATCTATTTTGTTTGAGATAAGTGTTTGATTTGTAACATCATAATAATTTTGTTTAGGTGGCTAAGAAAATTCGTGAATTAATGGCAGACAGCGAAAACATGGATGTTCTGCATGAGAGCCATGACATTTTTAAAAGAGAGCAAGACGAACAACTTGTGCAGTGGATGAACAGGTTATTATATTAGAAACAAGCAGTAATGTCGATCGTGAGTGTGAGAGGCTGTGTGCATTGTTCTTGCCCATGGCAAATGCTCACTTGATGTGTATTGTAGGCGACCAGATGACTGGACTCTCTCTGCTGGTGGCAGTGGAACAATTTATGGATGGGGACATAATCACAGGGGCCAGCTCGGGGGCATTGAAGGCGCAAAAGTCAAAGTTCCCACTCCCTGTGAAGCCCTTGCAACTCTCAGACCCGTGCAGTTAATCGGAGGGGAACAGACCCTCTTTGCTGTGACGGCTGATGGGAAGGTAAGAGCTCTTTTTCTATGTCACAAGGTCATTGAGCCTGAGGCAGTTGTGGCTAAAGGTGCTGTGTGGTTCTTAGCACGTGCAAGGATCTGTACTAAAACGTTTCTCAGGATTAATGATACTGTGGTATGCAGGAAGCAGCTAGAGTTCTAAGATATTTTTGTATAATCTTTAAATTAAAAAAAAAAAAAGTTTAAGACAGTTTTGCTCTTGTTGCCCAGGCTGGAGTGCAATGGCGTGGTCTCGGCTCACTGCAACCTCCACCTCCTGAGTTCAAGTGATTCTCCTGCCTCAACCTCCCAAGTAGCTGGGATTATAGGCGCCCGCCACCACACCTGGCTAACTTTTGTATTTTTAGTAGAGACAGGTTTTCACCATGTCGGCCAGGCTGGTCTCGAACTCCTGACCTCAGGTGATCCACCCACCTCGGCCTTCCAAAGTGCTGGGATTACAGGCATGAGCCACCACGCCCGGCCAATTTATTTTTATTTTTATTTTGAAAATACGTCATGTATGCAAAAGTATTACAATTTTTATTTGCACATCACTCGTTAGATGTATTTCTTGTTTGCTATTGTAAATACTATCTTTTAAAAAATGTATTGCTGCTGACCCGGTGCGGTGGCTCATGCCTGTAATCCCAGCAATTTGGGAGCCCAAGGTGGGTGGATCACCTGATGTCAGGAGTTCGAGACCAGCCTGGCCAACATAGGAAAACCCTGTCTCTACGAAAAATACAAAAATAAGCCAGGCTCAGTGACATGTGCCTGTAATCCCAGCTACTCGGGAGGCTGAGGCAGGAGAATCACTGGAACCCGGGAGATGGAGGTTGCAGTGAGCCGAGATCACACCACTGCACTCCAGCCTGGGTGACGGAGTGAGATTCTGTCTCCGCCCCCAAAAAAAGATTGCCACTGATATATAGAAATATTGGATGTTTATATATTGACTTTATGTTTGGTGACCTACTTGACTGTCTCCATTCTAGTATATGTGAAGATTTCTTGTATCTTCTTTATAGAGTGCCGTAGTCTCTAAATGAATGCTGTTCCTTTCTGTCTAGCCTACCTCTCTTTTATTTTTCCCGTTTGTGTGGGAGAATGGGAGCTCATGGTGCAGGCTGGGGTTGCGGTGTGATTCTGGGTAGGAGTGGGTGGAGGCTCCTGCCTTGATCAAGACTGGAGCGGGTGCAGATGGAGCGTTCCCAGGCTTCCAGTGGGGTTTGAGTAGAAGCCCTTGATCAGATTAGGCATGTTTCCTTCTGTTTCTAGTCAACAGTGGACACTGATTTTTGTTCAACACTCTTTCTACGTGTTTTGAAATGTTCTTTCATAGATGTTTTCTTCTTCTTCTTTTTTTTTTTTGAGACAGAGTCTCACTCTGTCGCCCAGGCTGGAGTGCAGTGGCACAGTCTCGGCTCACTACAACCTCTGCCTCCTGGGTTCAAGCGATTCTCCTACCTCAGCCTCCCGAGTAGCTGGGACAACAGGCGCCCACCACCACGCCTGGCTAATCTTTCTTTTTTTTTTTTTTTTAGTAGAGATGGGGTTTCGCCATATTGGCCAGGCTGGTCTTGAACTCCTGACCTTGTGATCCGACCACCTTGGCCTCCCAAAGTGCTGGGATTACAGGCATGAGCTACCGTGCCCGGCCAGTGTTTTCTAATGGATTAGTATAGCCAGTTGGATTAATTGGTTTTCTCATATTAAACAAACTTACATTCTTTGGATAGATCCAGTTTGGTCAGGATATGTATCTGGCTTGTGTTTGTGATAGTTTTGTTTTAGATTTTTGGGAGATCCTATTCATGAGTGAGATACTCTCATGTAATGTACTGTCTCACACACATTTATTATTTCATAGTTTCTCTGGGTCAGGACTCTGGATGCAGCATAGCTCCGTCCTCCAGCTCAGAATCTCAGCAGGCTGCAGTCATCTTGAGGCTGTCCGAGCAAGGATTCAGTCCCTCATGGAACTTTGGGCTGAGGCCTCAGTCCCTTATGAGCTGTTGGCAGAGCCTCCCCTCACTCAGCCCTTTGCCACGTGTCCATAGAGCGTCTCACAGGGTGGCAGCTGACTCTGTCAGCGAGAGCAAGGGAGGCGCAGGAGGGAGCACCAGCAAGAGAGAGTGGAGGAGACAGAGCCCCGGTCCTGTGTAACTGAATCACAGAAGTGACCACACTCCAGTTCTTGCCCTATTCTGCTCATCAGAAGCAGGTCATTAAGTCCAGCCCACACTCAGGGAGAGGGAGCTGTAGGCATGCTTGGAGATATGCAGGCTTGGTTCTAAATCAACACAATAAAGCAAGTGTCTTCACAAAGCATGTCACACAAATTTCTTGGTTTCCCAGTGGATATAAAAGTACTATAGTCTATTAAGTCACATCTTTAGACTCCACTTCTAATTCTAGTTCTCTTGCTGTTTCCACCACATCTGAGGTCACTTCTTCCACTCGTGTTGAATCCCTCAAGGTCATCTGTGAGGGTTGGAATCCACTTCTTCCAAATCCCTGTTAATGTTGATATTTTCACCTCCTCCCATGAATCACAAATGTTCTTAATGGCATTTATAATGGTGCTGGCTTTCCAGAAGGTTTTCAATTTAGTTTGTCCACATCCGTTAGAGGAATCACTGTCTATGGCAGCTATAGCCTTATGAAATGTATTTCTTAAATAACAAGATTTGAAAGTCGAAATTACTCCTTGATCCATGTGGCTGCAGAAAAAATGATGTGTTAGCCGGCATGAAAACAACTTTAATCTCTTTGTACATGTTCATCAGAGCTCTTGGGCGACCAGGTACATTGTCAATGAGCAGTAATGTTTTGAAAGAAATCTTTTTTTCTGAGCAGTAGGCCTCAATAGTGGGCTTAAAATATTCAGTGAACCATGCTGTAAACAAATGTGCTGACTTCCAGGTTTTGTTCTATTTCTGGAGCACAGTCAGAGTGGAGTTAGCATAATTCTTAAGGGCCCTAAGATTTTCAGAATGGTCAATGAGCATTGACTTCAGTGAATTCAACTAATATAGTCATCAGCTGCATTAGCCCCTAACAAAATATTTGAAGCTTTGAAGGCAAACATTGACTTCTCTCTAGCTATGAAAGTCCTAGCTGGCATCTTCTTCCAATAGACGGTTGTTCCATCTACGTTGAAAGCCTGTTGTTTAGCGTAGCCACCTTCATCACTGATCTTGGCTAGATCTTCTGGGTAACTTGCTGCAGCTTCTACATCAGCACTTGCTACTTTCCCTTGCACTTTTATGTTATGAAGACGGCGTCTTTCCTTAAACCTCAGGAACCAATCTCTGTTACCTTCAGACTTTCCTTCAGCAGCCTTCTCACCTCTGTTAGCCTTCGTGGAATTGAAGACAGTTAGCAAGCTCTGGATTAGCTTTGGCTTAAGGGAATATTGTATCCGTTTTGATCTTCTGTCTATGCCAAACATTCTCTATATCAGCAATAAGACTGTTTTGCATTCTCATCATTTGTGTGTTTACAAGAATTGCACTTAATTGTGCTTCAAGAACTTTTTCTTGGGTAACTGGTGCAAGAGGCCTAGCATTCAGCCTGTCTTGGCTTTCAGTGTGCCTTACTCACTAATCTTAATCATTTCTAGCTTTTGACTTAAAGTGAGAAATATGCAACTCTTCCTTTCACTTGAACTCTTAGAGGCCACTGTAGGGTTATTAAGTGGCCTTATTTCAATAAGTTGTGTCTCAGGGACATAATAGGGAGGTCTGAGGAGAGGGAGAGAGATGGGAGAACAGCTGGTTGGCGGAGCAATCAGAACATACACATTTATCATTTAAGTTCACCGTCTTCTATGGGTGTGGTTTGTGGTGCCTCAAAACAAGTACAACAGTAACATCAAACATTACTGATCACAGATCATCATAACAGATAAAATAATGAAAAAGTTTAAAATATTTCAAGAATTATCAAAACGTGACATAGCGACGGTAAGTCAGCACATGCTTTTGGGAAAATGGCGCCGATAGACTTGATCAGTGTAGGGTTGCCACAGACCTTCAGTTTATAAAAAACAGTATCTGCGAGGTACAGTAAAGCGAGGCACAGTCAAATGGGGTGTGCCTGTATACAGGAGCACACATATTTAGAAGCAGGGATCATTGTGAACCGTATCAGAGGCAGACTGCTAGCACAGGTGTTGAAGTGGTCTAGCCTCATAAAAAGGTTTGAAATATAGCCCCTCTGTGTCAATTCTCAGGAGAATTCTGTTTCTTTTCATTGTTTCTCTGGTTATTTTAACATAGGTACTTAAAAACCTAAAGTTAATTAGTATTTTCCCCTCCTCCCAATCAGTGACCCCTTGTTACCCAGTGTTTGGGTTCTAACCTATTCCCCTCTGCCATAGACATTATTGCTGTTGTTTTGGTTGTTTTATATGGACTGTGGTTTTTTTTTTTGAGTTAGCTAAATGTTGCACATCTTTGCTTACTATCATTTCTTACCATCATTTGTTATGTCTCAGATCTTATAAAATCATTTCCTTCTCCTTTAGCATATCTTTCTCAATTTACTTTAGTGAAATTCTTTCGTTGGTTAATTCTGATTGTTTGTTTCAAAATATCTTCATTTTGTCCTTTTTCTAGGGTAGGGGTTGGTAAACACTTTCTGTAAAGGGCACAATGGTATTTTCAGCTTTGGGCCATATGGTCTCTGTTGCGACTACAAAAGCAGCCCTGGACATATTATAAATGAGTGGGTGTGGCCGTGTTCCCGTAAAGCTTCATTTACAGAAAGAAATGATGGGCCTGATTTGGCACATGGGCCATAATTTGCCAACTCCTGTTGTAGTTATGAATTCTCAGGAGCAAGCCTCTGTCTCCCTTTCAGTGCTGAGGCTGGGAAGGGCAGCTTTCTGTGGTGTTCTTCTTATTCACAGTCACTGAGGGGCAACCCTTTGGAGCCCCACTTTCTATAGGAAGTCCTGGGAGGCATGCTGCATTACCCTGCACCCTGTGCACCAGAGAGCCTCACACCCTCCCCGCCAGAAGCTGGCTTTGGGTGTGGGGCTCATTTATCCACCTGAGTTTGGGTTTCACTTCCTGCATTGGCCCTTGTGGCTTCCTTACTATTATGTCAGCGTAGCAGCACGTTTGAAAGATGTCTAAAACAGCATGGAACAGCATTTAAGTTTTTATCAGGAGGGATGTTTGCCTTCATTTGGAAAACGGCAGTCTGATTTAGTGTGTGTATGTTTTTAAATTAATCATTTTTTAAAATTAATCATAGATGTTTTGTGTCCTAAAACATTCCCACTTAGATTAAAAAAAAAAAAGGTGTTTTTTTCCCGTGTGGTTTATATGCTGCCCTGCTGAAATATTAAAATGTATTTGTGTTCTTTTATGGGTATGTTTTGTGGCTGTTATTGTCAGAGTTTTGCATATAGTAGATAATTAAATTGTTTTTTATTTTTCTTGGTGTTAATTGTAGTTGGTATTCTACACAAAAATGGAAGAGCTTCCAGCAAGAAGACCTTATTTTCACAATATGTTTTCTGAATTTGGAATTTCTAATAGTCATGTTTTTATTTCATTTCTAGAACTTTGATAGAGCATGTATAAAGGCATAAACTTATATTCCTGAGATTTTTAACTTTAAATTTTATTTCTATGTGGTAAAAATGTCTAAAGCATGGATTAGGTTTATGAATTAGTAAATTTAGGGGATATTGAGATTAAAAACTGATGTTACTATTGCTTTTTCTTTTCTTAGCTGTATGCCACTGGGTATGGTGCAGGTGGCAGACTAGGCATTGGAGGGACAGAGTCGGTGTCCACCCCAACATTGCTTGAATCCATTCAGCATGTGTTTATTAAGAAAGTAGCTGTGAACTCTGGAGGAAAGCACTGCCTTGCCCTGTCTTCAGAAGGAGAAGTTTACTCTTGGGGTGAGGCAGAAGATGGGAAGTTGGGGCATGGCAACAGAAGGTATGATGTGAAAAAATTATTTCAACATTCTATTTGTCTTTGTTTTTGTTTGTTTTAATGCTGCTACAATCTATTGGCGCTTTGTTTTTCAAGGCAACATTTACATTACTCTCAAACTAAATAATGTTAATGACTCATTTGGCAGAAATAGTTTTATGTTCCAATACGAAGGCTTACCCGTATGATTCCTCTGTTGAGAGGGAAAAAAAAGTCAATTCTGTGTTTTTGATGACAAGTACTAAGTAAGTGTTTTTTTGTCCTTCTCCCTTAAATCATCCACTGAATCACGTTTGGCATTTTGTGTAACGTGCATGATACTAGAACTGCAAATACAGAGGAAATAGCAGGGGTGAGGAAGAAAGAACGCACAATTGACACCATTTGTAAAAGAATGAACCAAACTCACAAGTATTAAAAAATTAATGAGAACTACCAGCCAGATTGGAGTAACAGGGGCCTTCTTATCCTAGGAATAACTAAACCACCATATAAAATATATTAAACAGGTCCGGCGTGGTGGCTCACGCCTGTAATCCCAGCACTTTGGGAAGCTGAGGTGGGCAGATTGCTTGAACTCAGGAGTTCAAGACTAGCCTGGGCAACATGATGAAACCCCATTTCTACAAAAAATAGAAAAAAATTAGCCAGATGTGGTGACACACACCTGTAGTCCCAGCTTCTCGGGAGGTGGAGGTTGCAGTGAGCCGAGATTGCGCCACTGCACTCCAGCCTGGGGAACAGAGCGAGACTCCATCTCAAAAAAAAAAAAAAAAGAGGAAAAAATAATTTGGCAAACTCCAACATCCATTTCTGATAAAAACTCTGAGTAGTCTAGGAGTAAGAGGTCTCTTCCTTTACCTGATCAAGGGCATCTCTGTTAACCTAGAGCTTAGGTTGTAGTTAATGGCAACAGACCAAAAGCTTTCCCCCTGAGTTGAGGATCAAGGCAAGGATGTCTGCTATCACCACTTCTCTTCAACATTGTGCAACAGGTTTAGTAAGTGCGGTACAGCAGTGCAAAGAAATAAAAGGCATCTAGATTGTAAAGAGAATTAAAACTGTCTTTTTTGCAGAAAACATTGTTTATGCAGAGAACCTGGTGGTATTTACAAAAAGCTGCTAGAACTGATAAGTGAGGCTAGCAGTGTTGCGGGATAGAAGATCAATAAATAAAAGTTACTTGTACATCTATACGTATACATATACGTAACCAGAAAGTGAAATTTTAAAATACCACTTAGAATACCCTCTCCCAGAATTGAAAAACTATGGGATAAATCTGACCCAAAAATGTGAATGACCCTGTAGACAGAAGACTACAAAGTATTGCTGAGATAATTTTTAAAAAACCTAAAGTCGTGAAGGGGCATGCTGTGTTCATGGAGCAGAAGAGTCAGTATTGTTAATTTGCTGGCTATCCTCAAATCTATAGATTCAACACCTTCCCAATCAAGATTTGTATAGAAATTGATAAGCGGAGCATAAAATGTATATGGAGATGCAGATGGCCTAGAATAGTCAAATCAACTTTGAAAATGAGGAAAAGGTCGGAAGACTTGCACTACCTGACTTAAGCCTCATTTATAGCTGCAGTAAACAGCATGGCTTGGTGCTGGCAAAAAGAGAGAGACAGATACATCAATGGAGCAGAATAGGGAATCCAGAAACCGGCTGGCAAATGCTGACAAGATGAGTGTGGAAAAATGAAACTGGACTTCTCACAGTTTCTAGTGCACAGTTTATACGAGTGCACAGCCAGTTCACTGGAGAAAATATACTATTTTCAACAAGTGGTTTTGAATAATTGGATAACCTATGGCAAGAAATGAACTTAAATTCATACTTTACACCATATCCAAACATTAATTCAAAATGAACCATAGTCATGAATGTAGAATGTAAAATGTAAAACTTAAAAGTTCTGGAAGAAAACATGAGAAAATTTTTGTGACTTTAGGTCAGAAAAGATTTTTAGATTGAACTCCAAAAGCATGATTCATGAAAGAAAAATATAACTTGGACTTCATAAAAATTATGAACTGTTCTTCAAAAGACACTATGAAGAGATTGAAACCACAAGCTGGGAAAGGATATTCACAATCATATAATCTGACTAAGGTCTGATAGCCAAAATATATAAAGAACTTCTTTCAGAACTTAATAAGAAAACAAAAAGTTTGTTATCAGTAGTCACTATGTTATAGACTAGTGACATTCATATGTTAAAACTCCTTAAATGAATTGTTAATTCATAGTGGGGGTGAGGTGCAAACTTTCCTTATAGGGCCAGATGGTAACTATTTTAGGAGTTGCATATGATTCTTTTTTTTTTTTTTTAAACCCGTTAAAATGTAAAACCTGTTCTCAGCTCATAGGCCTTTGAAAAATGGTCTGTGCTTCGAACTTGACCCAGTATGTGTGGTCACTTTCCAGCCTCTGAGTCAGAGCTGGGGAAGCCGTGTCCTCTGGCCTTGTACAGGAAGGAGATAGGAAGTGGTGACCTTTTGAGTTTAGGTCTGAATGATTCTTCTTGATTGATTTAACAATTAACTGATTAGGAAGGTGTAGATTGAGAGGTATTTAATACACTGAAAAATGTTTAAGAATAAAAATGTGTTTCCATTATATTTGGTGACTTTTTTGCAGTCCGTGTGACCGCCCTCGTGTCATCGAGTCTCTGAGAGGAATTGAAGTGGTCGATGTTGCTGCTGGCGGAGCCCACAGCGCCTGTGTCACAGCAGCCGGGGACCTCTACACATGGGGCAAAGGCCGCTACGGCCGGCTGGGGCACAGCGACAGTGAGGACCAGCTGAAGCCGAAGCTGGTGAGGAGGCGCCGTGTGCAGAGGCCAGAGGCTGCATGCTCCTCACTGCTGCTGTCAGATGGGGGCGGTTTGCCACCGTTGTTATGAAAAATGCTTTGGCTTCTAGAAGGCCCACTGTATTTTTGGGTGCAAGAAGTGAATAAACAGCCTTCATGGTGATGTAGGGTTGGCTCATCAAAGACGCTGATACCTCCTCCTGCGGTTTAGATGCATGTAGTTCAAATAGATGAAGGTGCTTTCTCTTTTGTCTTATAGGATTTTAGA
The DNA here is from genome assembly GCF_000001405.40 of Homo sapiens. NCBI lineage: Eukaryota > Metazoa > Chordata > Mammalia > Primates > Hominidae > Homo > Homo sapiens. Next base: position 265,829 of record NT_187660.1, on the reverse strand, counting down.
AATCACCTCTTTGTAAAGGCTTAAAACAGGTACCCCCATAAAAAAAGAATGGCAGTGTTGTGAAGCCAGTCCTGTGGCAAGCCTTCTTGTGTTGTGCTTGGCCAACCCAAGTCCCTTTTCTCTGAAGGTGGAGGCGCTGCAGGGCCACCGTGTGGTTGACATCGCCTGTGGCAGTGGAGATGCCCAGACCCTCTGCCTCACAGATGACGACACTGTCTGGTCCTGGGGGGACGGGGACTACGGCAAGCTCGGCCGGGGAGGCAGCGATGGCTGTAAAGTGCCTATGAAGGTATTTCCCATTCTTTCCCTGCCCAGTGCTCTCCCAGCTCACCGCAGTCAGGGGCCCCCAGGGCCCCTCTGGGAAAACACAGCCTCAGAGCCACCATTACTGTCCCCCGTGTGTGCTCCTTAGGAGCACTTTAACCTCCTCTTTACCTTCGTTCCAGTAAATATAATGGGTAATTGGCTAGAAAGTGTGTGGAGGGCCTAGAGGGAGTAAGGTGTTCTATGTGCTGTGTGCGTTCTCTTGAGAAGTGGATGGGATCATCCGGGCACCGTGGAGCCTCCTGGTTTATAGCATGTAGGCCTGTCTCAGAGAAGGATATCACATGGCTCACACTCTCTCAATTTACAGTGGTGTGGAGTTGCCACGGCACGCGCTTGGGGGTGCCAGTGCTTGCTAAAGGGACTGCATCTGGGTTAGCCGGGGCCATCTCAGGTGGGTGTCCTGTGAGGAGCGAGAGCAAGGCCTGCACAGCGCCTGAGTCCTGCAGTCCTGGTGGGGTCGGCGGCTCTGCTCCACTCAAGCCCGGTGGCTGCAGGCGATTTCTTATCTTTGCCAGAATGTCTTTTGCTCTTGTGAATGGGTGGCTGGTACGTGGTTCAGGTCCTGCACATGCTTCTCAGTGACCTCAGTGCATGCACACCACACTGCCGTGTAGCCCAGGTGCTCTGCTGGGTACTTGGGAGCCTGTTGCTGCGAACCTGTCTCTGCCTGGCCTCCTCTCTCGTGGGGCTGTGGGGTTGCAGGTGTGGCACAGGTGCTTCTGGAGCAGACCCTCATCAGTGGCATGTGTCAGAGGCCCCTCCTTGTGGGAAAGAGCCTGGGGTTTGCACTTCCAAGGCTGAGGATGCTGGGCATCAGAGGGGCTGGAGCAGGACGTCCCGATGCCATTGTGGTAGGGCCAGACACTAGAGCCCTACCACATTGTCTCATTTAGAGAATGAAGTCAGTTTTAATTAATTTGAGTTCAGAATTAAATATAAGAACTTACATATGAGAGCAATCACAGAGGTCATGAGGAGCAGCTTGCGGGATAGGGAAAGTTGGCTGGCAGGTGTGCAGTGTGGAGGGTGGGTGGGGCCCAGTGCTTTTGGCCATCCCTCCCCTTGCCTGCTGCTCCTCCCCCGCGGGCCTCTGCTCTGAGAGGGCTGGGGCAGGTGAGGAGAGACACAGGGATTGCTGGAGTTTGGTGCTCCTGCACAGAGAAGCATGGTTGCGGGAGGCCATTCTGGGGAGAGGCTTGCAGGCCTCACCTGCAAAGCTCCCATTTCTGGTGCCCTGTGCTGGGTCCCACCGGGCCACAGTGTGCCAACGGGTGTGCTGTCAGTCACGGTCCCGCCTGCCTCCTGAGAGTGCTGAGATTAAGTGGAATATGATTTTACGTTGCACTAATTATTCATCATGGGTACAAGTTTTCAGAATTCTTACTAGATTTAGTTAAATCTCAGTGTGGTTATAGCAGTCAGCAGGAGCCTTGTTGCTGTCTGTCTAATTGAACCTTTTCCCCCTCTAGATTGATTCTCTTACTGGTCTTGGAGTAGTTAAAGTGGAATGCGGATCCCAGTTTTCTGTTGCCCTTACCAAATCTGGAGCTGTTTATACCTGGTACGCAAGATTCTGTTTGTTTAAACCCACTAAAACCAGATTTTTATTGGGGTATGTGCACCACCTTTTCATGGATGGGAATGTAGCTTCTGCAGCAGGCTATGGTTGTGTCCTGAACAGCAGAGGCTGCCCAGGAGGCTGGTCAGGGTGGTCAGTGAGATCACCTTGCCCCATAATTTCCATGCTTCCTTTGTGTGCAGGGGCAAAGGCGATTATCACAGGTTGGGCCATGGATCAGATGACCATGTTCGAAGGCCTCGGCAGGTCCAAGGGTTGCAGGGGAAGAAAGTCATCGCCATCGCCACTGGCTCCCTGCACTGTGTGTGCTGCACAGAGGATGGTAGGTAGGGGCTCAGTGCCGCAGGACTGAGGCCTGTGAATCTAAGAGGGTTGAGCATGAAGGACATGCGCAGCCTTAAAAGGGGGCACAGGCCAGGTGTGGTGGCTCACTCCTGTTGCCCCAGCACTTTGGGAGGCTGAGGCAGGCGGATCACGAGGTCAAGAGATCGAGACCAGCCTGGCCTACACGGTAAACATCATCTCTACTAAAAATACAAAAATTAGCTGGGCATGGTGGCGCGCGCCTGCATCTCAGCTACTCAAGAGGCTGAGGCAGGAGAATCACTTGAACCCGGGAGGTGGAGGTTGCAGTGAGCCAAGATCGTGCCATTGCACTCCAGCCTGGTGACAGAGCAAGACTGTCTCAAAAAAAAAAAAAAAAAAAGGAGGCAAAGGCTTATACTGTGTCCTGAGAATCTATCTGCAGTCAGCAGGGCTTTGGCCCTGTCATCTTCAGCCCCTGCTGTTAAACCTGTGAATGAGTTCTATTTATTACTTATTACTGGGCTGTGCAGAACAGAGCTAGCAGCCAGCCTGAGACGTGTCCTTAGACAGACCTGCTGCAGGCTTGGCCCTCTGCTGGTGTCTGGGAACCTGGGTTTCGGGAGGGATCCCCTGTTCCCTAGGTGGTAGGTGTGGTTCACTGTGCCTGAACTGTCTGTACAAGCGACATGTTCTGTGCTGAAATCTGCTTTCCTTGGTCTGGAACTTGGTACGCGCCAGGCAGGGGGTGCCTGTGTGATCAGCCCTGATGGAAACCCTGGGCCTGGAGTCTCTACCCAGCTTCCCGGCAGACAGCACCTGACACAGCTCAGTGCCGGGGCAGTTAAGCTCGTCCTGTGTGGCTCCTGTGGGAGAGGACTCTGGAAGCTTGCTCCTGGTTCCCCCACTGCTTTGCCACAGGTCCCCATCCCTGTGCTGGTCTTACTCTGTGTCCTCTTGCCATAATACACTGTAACTGTGAGGAGGAGTGTATGCTGAGTCTTGTAAGTCATGCTGGAGAATCAGGAGCGTGGGGCGGTCCGGGGAACCCCAACACAATGGCAAAAGGGACTTTTCAGGTCAAATGAAGTTTGTGAGTCAGCTGACTTGATGATATGGAGATTATTCTGGATTATTTAGTGGGCCCAGTGTAATCACACAGACCCTTTGATCAGAAAAGGAGGCAGAAGAGTCAGTCAGAGATGTGACTGAAGAGGTAGTAGAAAGATTTTCAAAGTCTGAGAGCTCTCTACCCTCTGTTGCTGGCTTTCGTGGAGGAACAGGGCTGGGGAATGGGGTGGCCCCTGGAAGCTGGGAGTAGCTCAGCCAGCAAGGAACCTGGACCTCAGTCCCACAGAGAACTGAGCTGTGTCTGAATGAGCAAGGAAACTCTCCCCTGGGGCCTCTGGGAAGGGAGACAGACCCATGCGGGGCTTCTCACCTGCAGAGCGAAAGGATCCTAAGTGTGTGTTGTTTAAGCCAGCCGGGCTGTGGGGATGTGTTATGGCAGCAGTGAAAAACGTGGGCGCCATCTTTCATTAACATGGCCTTCGCACAAACTGTGCTCCTCGTTAAAGCCTTTGGTGAATTATATAAGCATGCACCCTTTAATCATTTCATTGAGGGAAGAGGCTCATGGATGAATGAGCAACTTCTGTGGCCTGTAGTGGAAGGACATTGTAGTTCTTGATCCAGAACTTTTTATTTGACTTATTTAATTCTTTTAAATTTTGAGACAAATCACAGTTGGAAGCAAACCAGTTGGAAGTACATTACCTAGAACTTGCTTATCCCAGTCCACATGAGAGTGAGTTGCTGTCCTGCTGCCGCGTCCTGAGCTTTTCAGTGTGTTTCCCACAAACAGGGAGGCTCGTCCTGCCAGCCAGTTCACACTCCCCCACCCCGCCTGACGCCCATGCCCATTTGCAGCACATTGCCTGCCAGTCAGCTGGCAAGCTGTACCCTCTGTCCTGTGACACTCTCTCAGTGCCTGGCGTCATCGTTTCACTTCCTCGTCTTCCTGGGCTTCTTGCAACTTGACACCAGTTATTTTGTAGCACATTCTTCTGTTTGGATTTTTTGCGATGTTTCTGCGTAGATTCGGGTTGTGTGTCTTTGATCGTCACAGTTCATCCTTGCAGGTGACATGCAGTTTGTCTGCTTGCTGATGATGCTCACTACAGTTGCTTGGTTACATTGTCTGCCATGCTTTTCACTGCGAACATTCTTTATAATTAACAAGTATTTAGTAGGGACATCCTGAATCTATTTAAATATTCCTTTCTCATGCAGCTTTGAATCAATTCATGTATTTGTTTTATCTGAGTGGGAATCATGGATCCTAATGTATTCATTGGGGTATATAGTCTATTTATTTTGATGCTCTAGTTGTGCTCTATTTGGCTGGCTCTGCCCCCTTTTTGTGTGTCCCCGTTGTCTGGGAGTACTTCCTTGCTCTGGCAGAAGAAGATGATTAGCCTCCACTTGTTCCCGCCATGCCCCACGCCTCGACCTGGCCATTTCTCCAAGGAGCCCTGGCATCTGTGGAGGAGAATGGCCTTGAGAAGACAAGGTCTGGATGATGGGTGTGCTCATTGCTATTGAGGCGTCACCGCTCCCCAGACCTCCTCAGTGGACAAAGCCAGGGAATAGTAATGTAAACAATACCCTGGTTTATGTTTGATGTCTGTTGAAAACTGTGAGTTCACACCAGTATCCCCAGGTCCAGTTTGGATCCACAGGGTTCATTCCAGTTTTCTCATGGCAACCTTGCAGATCCTTTCTTTTCTGGCGATTTGGCCACTCCCCCCGTGCATAACCAGCATCTCATCCTCCCCTGTGTGGCTCCTCCCCTTGCATGTGGGGGTCTTGGCTGACTCCCCTCAGAGCTAGCACCTGGGTGGAAGCCCTCCTCACTCTCACAGACTCATTCCCTATGCCCAGCTGCGTCTGCAGAGACACCCTCCTCACCTTGTGTGTGCGACACCCGCCTCGTGGCTTTAGGACCAACGTGTGGAGAGCAGGCAGGGGCAGGAGACAAGTACACTGCCCTTGACCACGCAGGCGTCACACTTTCCAGACACCCGAGGAGTCTCTCTGGATTTGACAATCCTGATGGTGTCTCCAGAGAACATGAGCCTTGTTTCCATCCTGGTCACCAGGGACCTTGCCTGAGAATATTTTCCGGTGGTATTTCTTGGTTGAGGTCCCACACGGTGCACTGAAAAGTGTGATGATTCTTGCGAATGGTGAATCTTATGTTTAGGATATGAACAGAAACGGCATGTTCTTTTTTTATGTTATTTTTTAAATTTATTTTTATTTCAACAAGTTTTTGGCGAACAGGTGGTGTTTGGTTACATGAATAAGCTCTTTAGAGGTGATGTCTGAGAGGTGGGTGCTCCCATCACCCAAGTAGTGTACACAGTACCCAATGTGTAGTCTTTTATCCCTCACTCCTCTCCTACCCTTTCCCCCGAGTCTCCAAAGTCCATTGTGTCATTCTTATGCCGTTGCATCCTCATCGCATGAGAACATATGGTTTGGTTTTCCGTTCCTGAGTTACTTTACTTAGAATAATGGTCTCTAGTCCCATCCAGGTTGCGGCAAATGCAATCATTTCATTCCTTTTTATGGCTAGTAGTATTCCATGGTGTATATATACCACATTTTCTTTATCCACTCATTGATGGATGGGCTTTGGAGCTGGTTCCATATTTGTGTAATTGCAAATTGTGCTGCTATAAACATGTGTGTGCAAGTGTTTTTTCAAATAATGACGTCTTTTCTTCTGGGTAGGTACCTAGTGGTGGGATTGCTGGATCAAATGGTAGATCTACTTTTAGTTCTTTGAGGAATCTCCATACTTTTCCATAGTGGAGCGTGGAAAATGCTTTCCATCACAACGCGTTTTCACAGATAGCTTGTTGTTAGTTTTTATCGCCCTCTAGTGGGGGAAAATCTCAATGTGTTGTACTGGTTTCTGTTCCCACCAGCAGTATAAGTGTTCCCTTTTCACCACATCCATACCAACATCTATTTTTTTTTATTCTTATTTTATTATGGCCATTCTTGCAGGAGTGAGGTGGTATCACATTGTGGTTTTGATTTTAAAAACATAGATTTTCAGGTGGATCACCAAGTCAGGAGTTCGAGACCAGCCTGACCCACATGGTGAAACCCTGTCTCTGCTAAAAATACAAAAATTAGCTGGGCATGGTGGTGCGTGCCTGTGAGCCTAGCTACTCAGGAGGCTGAGGCCAGAGAATCGCTCGAACCCGGGAGGCGGAGGTTGCGGTGAGCTTGAGATCGCACCACTGCATTCCAGCCTGGGCGACAAAGTGAGACTTCATCACAGTGGTTCATGCATGTAATCCCAACACTTTGGGAGATGAGGTGGGAGGATCACTTGAGCTGGGGAGTTTGAGGCTGCAGTGAACCGTGATCATGCCAGTTTACTCCAGCCTGGGCAACAGAGTGTGAGACCCTGTCTCAAAAAAAAAAGTATAAAATAAATAAAACAGACTTTTTCTTTTCTGTTTCGCATGCAAGAGCAATTTGGAATGTTAGGGATATTGCTATGTGTTTTAATATTAGATGGATTTGGGATGTTCGGGATATTGCTATCTGTTCTAATATTATTCTGATGGAGAACTGCTGCTGTTCATGCCTAGTCCTGAGAACTAACACTGTTGGAGGCTTAAGACCAGAGTTGTGTGTCTCTCACTAGAAGAGGCCTGGTGGCCAACAGGGGCTGTGGAGAGTCCTGGGAAGTACACTCGCCTCTTTGGATGTGTAATTAGCATGTATTCATGTTTAGGTCATACCTAAAGCAGACATTCATGTCTAGGTCATATGTAAAGTTGACAACTAGGTCAACACCAGCTGAAGGGCAGGGAGCGTTGGTGCTGTGTGTGGTGGGAAGACACTGGCAGCCATGCGTTTGTTGGCCCTAGTATACAGGTTCTGATTCTAAATTCACTTCATTCAGGTGAGGTTTATACATGGGGCGACAATGATGAGGGACAACTGGGAGACGGAACCACCAATGCCATCCAGAGGCCTCGGTTGGTAGCTGCCCTTCAGGGTAAGAAGGTCAACCGTGTGGCCTGTGGCTCAGCACATACCCTCGCCTGGTCGACCAGCAAGCCCGCCAGTGCTGGCAAACTCCCTGCACAGGTGAGTCCGGGCAGGTTGGGTGGGTCGGGGGCAAGCAAAGTGTGCTCCTGTCACATGCTGCATCCTGTCGTTGTGTGTTTACAGAGGCTTCTTGGTGAAAATAATTCAGGCTCAGTAAATGTTAACCACACAGTGCATTTAAGAACCTTGATATTTGGCTGGTTGTGGTGGCTCACGCCTGTAATCCCAACACTTTGGGAGGCCAAGGTGGGCGGATTGCTTGAACTCGGGAGTTCAGGACCAGCCTGGACAACATAGCAAAACCCTGTCTCTACAAAATTAGTCAGGCATAGTGGCATGCACCTGTAGTCCCAGCTACCTGGGAGGCTGAGGGCTGAGGTGGGAGGATCACTTGAGTCTGAAAGGTCCAAGCTGCAGTGATTGCACCACTGCCCTCTTACTTGAGTGACAGAGTGAGACCCTGTCTCAAAAGAACCTTAATGTTCATGCCAGCCAATATTCTGTGTGTACAGTGTGTATCACCTTCTATATCTTATAACCCACACCAAACTCTTCCACACCAAACTGTTCTGCTAGTACATGCCTCACATTTCTTAGTGAATTTATTTGTATAGACTAATTTTTTTTACAGTCAAACTGGACAGAATATTATTTTAAAAGCAGCACAGTGAGGTTGTGCAAACCAAACTCAGACACCATAGTGCTTCTCTGTATTTGAAACAATTGTTTTCAGAATCCTTAATGGATGCCACACTGGCCCCCGTGTGCCTTTGGTGCCTGAGGGGCTGAAGGCCATTTCTGTGTTCTAGGTCCCCATGGAGTACAATCACCTGCAGGAGATCCCCATCATTGCGCTGAGGAACCGTCTGCTGCTGCTGCACCACCTCTCCGAGCTCTTCTGCCCCTGCATCCCCATGTTCGACCTGGAAGGCTCGCTCGACGAAACTGGACTCGGGCCTTCTGTTGGGTTCGACACTCTCCGAGGAATTCTGATATCCCAGGGAAAGGTATTCAAGTGGCAATCTTTGCTCTAGGGGAAACTGGTGTCTTCAGTACATGTAACCCAATAGAATTCCTATACTGGGAATAGAACACATAGAATACAGCTCATTCAGCAAATGTTCACGGAATGCCTCCTGCATGCCAGGCTCTGTTCTGGGTACTTTATATCAATGAGAAAACAGACAAAAATCTATTCCCTTTTGGAGTTTATATTAAAAACAAACAGTAAGATGCTGCATCTCTCCTTCATAATCTCTGCCTCTCACTGCTCCAGAAGGATGAGGTGGGGCCTTCATAAACTAAGCCTTTGTTCCTGCGGTCCTTCTCTGCCTGCCTGGCCTTGTGGCTATGGCAAGTCCCCACTGACACAGGAAGGCCGGCGATTGGGCTGTTTCTCTCAGGATGTCCAGCAGAGGGGGCCAGGAGTCACAGATATATCACCTCGAAGGTCCGTGCCTGAATGTGTAGAGATTGCTGGCCAAGTGAGAATTAACAGGTGGTGAATAATACAGTCATGAGTGAGGGCATCTGAAAGTCACCAGGCAGGTTTTGACCTGTAGATGTTGCTAATAGTTGGAGCTTTCTAGAAGTTGGGTTAGTTTCTGGCAAGCAGCTTGACAAGATGATCTTGAAGGGGCTAATTACCATACGGTAGGGGCATCTCTGTATAGGGAAAAGTTATAGAATTGGATTGAGGACCACTAATCCTGATTGTGATTCTCTAATGTATTTTGTTGTCGAATATTATGGCCCATTCTTAGTGATTTAATAAAATTGCAATGTTTTGGAGTCCTGTCCCAGCAGGTTACTTTTTAAAGACCGGCTTTGTTTCCACTTGGCTAGAACGATTTCTGCTGAACAGGACTGGTACATTCATTTTACTTTCACGTGTGCCTGAGGGTGGAAGTGGTCAGGCTTGTGTTTAATGGAAAGACCATCTCTCTGATGAGAGAGGCAGAAGAAATCTTGGGCAGGTAAAATGGATAGGAAACATAATTTCAATTACTGTTCAATAATAAAAAGTAGCAAACGATTAATTTTACCTTCTTTTTTTAATCCTTCAAAGTGGTGATGATAATAGGCAGCACAGAGGAAAAAAACCTTTCTTTGTAGGGAGAAAAAAAGTGAGAGGCAGGGCACGTCCCACCTGGCCCTGTGTGAGCGTTGTGCAGGCTGTGAGCGGGGCATGGGTGGGAGCTGGTGTGTGGTAGGGGAGCGGTGGGCAGCAGCATCTGGCACCTGCTGGGGCTGCAGGAGAGCAGGGGAGTGCTGAGGGCGTCTGAAAGGTACCTCTGGTCAGGGAATGTGTAGGCAGCCTCGGTTCTGGTCCTGGTTATGGTGAGGATCGGCCTCAGAGAGTGGGTGTTACTACTCCCGGTCCAGAGCACCAAAATGGACTCTCCAGGAAGGTGGGCGGGCTGGTGACTGGGAGGAGAGGGGAGTGCTCCTGTGGAGGGGGAGCCGCCCTGAGGTCCAGGCAGGGCCTCTGGGAGCAGGATGAGTCTGGGCTGTGCGAGAGGCATGGGGCTGGGGTGCCGCCAGGATACCCTTTCTGGGTCTCCTCTGGCGCTTGGGGCCCTCACCTCCTGCCTTCAGGGCTTGGAGTTCTTAGGCTTTGAGCTGGGCAAGGGCTCAGCCTCCACTGAGGGACCCTTGTGCTCCCACAGCCCACCCCTAACCGAAAGAAGGCACGATTGCCTCCTTGGCCAAGAGAGCTGAGACCCCTGCTGACCTGTCTCATCCCTTTCCATTGGCACGGCTGCGTGCCGCATCCTCTGCCCTTTCCCCACGGGCATGGCCGACCTGCTCCCTCCTGGGGAACGGCTGGGTCCTCACTGTGGTGCTGATGTTTGGCCACGCCCTGCTGTCTTCACCCCAGGCACTCCCGATTTCTTTTAGTGTGATCCCAGCCAGGACCTTGTTCCCCTCCCCGGTCTGTCTTTTCTGTCCCGATCCAAGGTCTGGCTGGCTGCACGGTGCTCCCTGGCCCTGTGGCTGCTGTATGGCAGGCAGTGGCGATCCAAGGTCCGGCTGGCTCCGCGGTGCTCCCTGGCCCGTGGCTGCTGTATGGCAGGCAGTGGCGATCCAAGGTCCGGCTGGCTCCGCGGTGCTCCCTGGCCCGTGGCTGCTGTATGGCAGGCAGTGGCGATCCAAGGTCCGGCTGGCTCCGCGGTGCTCCCTGGCCCGTGGCTGCTGTATGGCAGGCAGTGGTTTAACAGCAATCCCTGCCACGGGTGGGCTTGCTTGGCAGGGAAACCTTGACTTCAAGACCTGAGTCAGAGCAGGTGCTTGCCAGGCCCAGCCCTCCCTGTTCTGTGCCCTGTGTGTGCTGGGCTCTTCCAGCCTCCGGAACGCTGCTGGGTGGAGGTAGTTTCCTGAGGGACCTGCCTCTTGCCCGGCCATTGGCACTACCTGCCTGGCCGTCTGTCCCTGTGTGCTTCGGGGCCAGCCTGTTCCCCTGCACCCTCACAACTTGAGAAAAGGGAACTGGCAGTTTTCTGTCCTTAAGAAGGTCTTCAACACAGATTTTAAACAAAACTATGTGATGATTTCTTCAGGAGTGATGCTTTCCATATCAGATTCTAAATTTTGTCTGTTTGATGTGTTTTAGGAGGCGGCTTTCCGGAAAGTAGTACAAGCAACTATGGTACGCGATCGTCAGCATGGCCCCGTCGTGGAGCTGAACCGCATCCAGGTAGCACATGGAGATTACTCTCCAAGTCTGACAGCCTTAGAAGTGATGCTTTCGTGGGTACCTGGGCTGGGACGAGAGCGCTGGTAGCCTGCCATCCTGTGCACCCCAACTTTAAAGAGCAGGTGCCACCTTCCTTTTTGTGGGCTTCCTGTATGTGATGTGCTGGGGCTTCCAGGAATGTCAGTGTGTTTCTTTATACAGAAGTAATGAAGATTTATGTCAGATAGTCCAAAAGCACAAACACAGGTCAGCAAGAATGGGGAAAATAAAATCAGCCCTCTTCCCACTGCATGATGATAACTGCTGCTGTTACATTGGGAGGTGTGTGTCTATTTGTTACAGCCAAAGCAGGATCACTGCCTTTTGAAATTTGCTGCTCTCCTCCCTGCCATGGAATAGGGTCCTGTGGGGCTGCTTGTGTTTGGCAGCTGCCTGCAGCCTGCTCCTCTCTTGCAGGGGTGTGTCCTGGTTTACTCTGTCAGATTTCTCTGATGGTGCTGGGGGGCCGTGCCCACTTTTCTGTGGTACAGGCAGGGCTATCTGGGTGTATCTTCGGTCACCCCTTTTGTTAAGTTCTGAGAAGTGGAGTGGGTCAGAGGCCCAGTGACAATTTGATGATACATCCGATTATAGGTTATAACAGTTCATGTTCCCACCATCCTCACACCCTCCCCACCACTGGTAGTTTTCTTTGCCAATTTCATAGGCCAGAATTACTAATACTGTCTCATGGGTAGTAATCAAAGAAACGACAAGTAGACCATTTCTAAATGTATACTGCTTCAAGTGTATATAAACTCACAGTTAAAAACAATTAATTAAAAACAAAGAGAAGCCTCGGCCCCTGATGATGATAGCGTGCAGAACTTGACACTTAATGCTCAAATGAAACTGGCCTCGCCTCTTGGATCAGACACAGAGAGCCATGAAGAACAAATTCTTTGTTCCTGTACCTTTGTATTAACACATGATTTTTACCCTGATGTTGATTACAAGACTAGAAATGTTTTCAGAGTTATACTTGGGGGCATTTTGAATTAAGACACGAAACTCTTGTCCTCTGTTGGACAGCTCATGTGACCACATTGATGGAGCTGGTCTCTTCACTGACGTCAGAGTGTTTAATGCTAAGCTGTACGTCAGTCACGTCCTCACATAAATAGGTTGTTTAACTAGGTTCATAAAAAAGCTTTTATTTCCCTACCTTGGACGATGGCTTCAGTTTGCTGTGCATCATAAACATTATAGCTTGTAGGCAAGGCCAGCTGATGGCTTCTGCGTTGTCTAACCCCCGCGATTGAGTGCACCTTGACTTGCACCTCCCTCAAAACCGCACGCAGACTTTTTGGGCCAGGGGCTCTCAGGGTGGGTATTCAAGCCTGGGGGACTCTGGGAATCAGTGAAGTTTTGATAAACTAGGATGCAGGTTAGGCACCCTTGTTTCTGTCTTTGTATCATCTGAAATTTTTAAGAAGTCATTACATGCTGAGCACCTCTTTCTTACTCATCTTGCTATCCCCAGCTTGTGTTACAAAAATGTTCAGTATGCAATTGAAAAAACAAACTGGGTAAATGGCAAACAAATTTATATTAGTCGTTGGTGGTGGCTCATGCCTGTAATCCCAGCACTTTGGGAGGCTGACGTGGATGGATTGCTTGAGCCTAGGAGTCTGAGACCATCCTGGGCAACGTGATGAAACCCCATCTCTACAAAAAATACAAAAATTAGCCTTGTGTGGTGGTGGGTGCCTGTAGTCCCAGCTACTTGGGAGGCTGAGGCAGGAGGATTGCTTGAGCCCGGGAGGCAGAGGTTGTAGTGAGCCGAGATCATACCAGCGTACTCCAGTCTGGGCGACAGAGCCAGACACTGTCTCAAAGCAAACAAAAAACGACAACTTATATTAGGCCTTTTTTTTTTTGAGAGGGAGTCTTGTTCTGTCGCCCAGCCTGGAGTACAGTGGTGCAATCTTGGCTCACTGCAACCTCCACCTCCCAGGCTCAAGCAATTCTCTTGCCTCACCCTCCTGAGTAGCTGAGATTACAGACGTGTGCCACCATGCCAGGCTAATTTTGTTTTTTGTATTTTTAGTAGAGACAATTTCACCATGTTGGCCAGGCTGGTCCCAAACTCCTGACTGCAGGTGATCCACTCACCTCGGCCTCCCAAAGTGCTGTAGGCATGAGCCACCGCACCCAGCCTTTTTTGTATTTTTAGTGGTGACAGGGTTTCACTGTGTTGGCCAGGCTGGTCCTGAACTCCTGACCTCAGGTGATCCACTCACCTCAGCCTCCCAAAGTGCTGGTATTATAGGCGTGAGCCACCGTGCGTGGTGTCAGGCCTTCTTAAGAATCAGATAAACACCCTTCAGCCTAGTGTGCAATGTGGATTGACGTCTGGGGGCTGCCCTGGCTCAGCCACGGCCCCGGGTGCCAGAGGTGGCTCCTTCCCGTTCAGGGTAGCATGCCCCTCCCAAAGCGAGGAAATTTTCTACAGATGTAGAAATAGAAGTGATTTTCTGCCTAAAAATGAACATGGAGAAAAACATTGTTTGAATTCAGGGTGTGCACAGGACACCAGCACGGAGCCAGGAAGGCTGCACAGGCGCCTCCAACCCGCCACCCCATGGCTGCGATGATGGGCTCAGGGACACGCCTCCCAAGAGGATGCCATGGGAGGGACTCTCACAGCTGTCTGGATAGTTTCAGAGACTCCAGAACACAGGTCATCTTACTGGAAGGTTTTGTTTGTTGGGAATTTTATTTAGTTTTATAGCAGGATCTGAACATCACTACATAAAAACTTTTTTATACTTAAAAATTTATTACAGAGTTATTGCATGCACATTTCTGAAAATTTAGGGAATTCAGATTAAAGACAGTTAAAATCATCTGTGTTTCTATTGAGCAGAGAAAGTGCTGTCCCGCAGGAGCCTGTCTGCCTCCAGCCTTATGGCTGCTGTTTTCTGCAGCCTCTGAGTGCAGACAGCCTCTACTAGTGGGTGTCGTCATGGAGGAGAGGCAGCCCCGTGGGCTTCGGGGAGCTGGGTGCACCTCTCCTCTCACACAGCCGCCGTGACATAGGGCATGTCCTGTTCTTTTCTTGTAGCCTAGTCTCCTCTGGGCATGATGGAGCCTTAACAAGCTGCCGCGAGTTTCCAGGAACTCACGTCTGTGAACACTAGCCGTGTGTGTGGCACGCAGACAAGTTCATTCTACAGGCAACTGTGGCTCCTGTCATTCTTCTTGTATTTTTAGTCTTGGTTATGGCAGCCTGCGCTGTAAGCTGTTTAAACTCAACTTTAAGTGAGCTAAAGGTGAAGAGAGCTTCACTGGAGGAGTCATCAAAATACATTCTCAGGACCATTTTTTCTTCAATTTTTCTTTTTGACATCCTTCCAGACTGGGCTTCCCAGATGATTCTGATGCACAGCCTCGGCCACCTGCCCTCCGATGTGCCGAGGTCCTGCTGCGGCGGGGCCCTAGGGCTCCTGCCCTGGTGTCTTTGGGAATTGGAGGCCCCTGAGCCTTTAGCAATTGTAGCTTAGGATGAGAAGGATGGGCAGGGAGTGACTGCCTGTGTTGGGGAGGCTGAGTGGCCCCAAGGCTTGGAAATGGGATGGGTGGAAGCAGATGTGGGGAAGGGCTGGTCCTGGCTGAGGCACTCACTCACTGTGTCTGCTTCAGTCTCAGGGGCATTGGGTTGAATCTTTGAGTGCCGGGAGTCTGTTCTGGTCTGCTGGGGGAGCTGCTTTTGGAGTTCCTGGTGTCTTATTTCATGAGGTCGTGGCAAGATGGTGAAGTAGCAGCAGTGCTTAGGGTGTGAGGATGGTCCGTGCCAGGGTGGTGCTGCCGGGCCGCAGCTGTGGACGTGGTGGTGGTGTGTGTCGTGTTGGAAGGTGTGTTTGTTCAGACACACTAGTCCTGGGGGCTGCTGGGCACATCACTGGCGACATGCCCAATGGGGTGAGGCAGCGGTCTCGGGTGTCCACAGTCGAGCGCCCCAGATGGCAGGGTCTGCCTGGCGTCCACACAAGCAGGTGTGTGACCAGGGAGGGGCCCATGCACGGTGCCTCCTCCTCGTGCATTCGCCAGTGCCGCATATCCCCGACTGTGTGCTTCCTGCTGCGGCAGCGGCCTCACGCTTGCTTGCTTCCTCCTCTCCAGGTCAAACGATCAAGGAGCAAAGGCGGGCTGGCCGGCCCCGACGGCACCAAGTCTGTCTTTGGGCAGATGTGTGCTAAGATGAGCTCGTTTGGTCCCGACAGCCTCCTCCTTCCTCACCGTGTCTGGAAAGTCAAGTTTGTGGGTGAGAACTTGCCACGTGCTGGAGCACCTGTGTCCCCGGCAGTGGTCGCCTGAGCCCACAGGGAGCACAGAGGCCACATGGTGTGGGAGCGTTGGGGCTCTCTTTACACAGGACTGTGTGAGGGGACTTCGAGTGGCTGCTTCTCCCCTGCAGGTGAATCTGTGGATGACTGTGGGGGCGGCTACAGCGAGTCCATAGCTGAGATCTGTGAGGAGCTGCAGAACGGACTCACGCCCCTGCTGATCGTGACACCCAACGGGAGGGATGAGTCTGGGGCCAACCGAGACTGCTACCTGCTCAGCCCGGCCGCCAGAGCACCCGTGCACAGCAGCATGTTCCGCTTCCTGGGTGAGCTTCTCGGCCGCTTGAGACTGTGTCGCTGTGGCCTGTGCCTACTCTTGAGTTAAAATGTACTATCTGTTTGAGGAGTGACAGTAGATATCTTGAATATCTGCTTTTAGTTTTTGAGACTGTTACCAATAAAAATGACTTTTAGGGTGAGGCGCGGTGGCTCACGCCTATAACCCTAGCACTTTGGGAGGCTGAGGCAGGCAGATTGCCTGAGGTCAGGAGTTCGAGACCAGCCTGACTAATGTGGTGAAACCTCGTCTCTAGTAAAAATACAAAAAAAATTAGCTGGCTGTGGTGGCATGCACCTGTAGTCCCAGCTACTCAGGAGGGTGAGGCAGGAGAATTGCTTGAACCCGGGAGGCGGAGGTTGCAGTGAGCTGAGATCGTACCATTGCACTCCAGCCTGGGCAACACTCTGTATCAAAAAAAAAAAAAAAAGAAAAAGAAAAGACTTTTAATATTGATCGTGCCTTTCACCAACATTGTGGAAGCGAACGAGGTGCTGTTGACTTCCGTGCCTAGCATTGAGGGCCTGACGGTGGTGGACCGTCGGAAGCTCTGTGCACAGCTGCAGGCACTGGCAGAGCCAGCCCCGGCCACGTGCTGAGGACTGGAGACTGCCTCGGGTACTCAGAAGATGGGAGATTCTGTTTCTGCATCTTCAATGTTTATCTGAGACTTGGGATCAGAGTGGGGTGAGGTCTTCGCCATTGGCCAGTCCCTCCTTCCTGTCCCACTGAGGGTGTGCAGGGTGTCCTCGGCTGTGTGTCCCACCACAGCCAGCACCTCCTGGGCAGGGCTGTAGCTCCCTGGAGGACACTCCCGTGGGGAAGTTCCAGCTCTTTGCTGTCATAAGAAGAAGAATTGGCCACTGTGTGGCTTAAACTAGTGTGCGTGCAGAAAGGATGTGAAGAGTTAAGAGGCTTTTAGGCACAAAAGGATAGATTTAGAGCAGGACAGGCGGTCTTGAGGAAGGGCCTAGACCTATGATGTGGGTGTTGCTGCTTCAGAAGGCTCTGAGTCCTGAGTGTGGAGCTGCTGTCAGTGGCGTGTGTGAGTGAGCGGGAAGTTTTGTCATCCTTTTGAAGTGTCCTCTGTCACTTGTGTCCTGAATGATCAGGTGTGTTGCTGGGCATTGCCATCCGAACCGGGAGTCCCCTGAGCCTCAACCTTGCCGAGCCTGTCTGGAAGCAGCTGGCTGGGATGAGCCTCACCATCGCGGACCTCAGTGAGGTAACTCCCTGGGGCGGCAGGCGGGGCCTCTAGGGTCTTGTTAACAGGCACAGTCTGTTCTGCGGGTCCGGTCAGGCTGTGAACTCTGGCCTAATCTCAGTGCCCAGGTGACGCAGAGGCTGTTGGCTGTGGACCACCTTTGAGTAGCAAAAAAAAAAAAAAAAAAATAGACCATCTATTTTCTGGTGTTTTGTAACATACACTGTCTTGTCAGATAAGGAAGCTCACTGCCTCCCCTGTGAAGAAGCTGAGCTTTTGGGCAGCTGGGGGCCGTGAGTCAGGCTTGCACGGGAGGCTCTGTCCTGGGGCGACCACAGCCAGCTCATTCCCCATGGCTGTGTTGTGCCTCGGCTGCAGGGAGGGAACCCTTGCTAGCCAGTTGCTGTAACTTTCTCGGTGGTTAGTTTTAAGCATTTGGCTGAATTGTGAATTCTTCGTTCAGCTCCTTGGGTGAAGTACTCTCTCGTTGCTCCTCTTATATCTTGGTGTGTGCCGTGCACTTGCAGCCTCGAGATGCACTTGAGGCTGACCCTGGTTCCTGCTTGACAGAGTGTGCTGGGTGGACTGGAGTCTGGGATGGAGATGAGCCGTGAGTCGACACATGGGCTTTCTTTTTCTCCTTAAAAGGTTGATAAGGATTTTATTCCTGGACTCATGTACATCCGAGACAATGAAGCCACCTCAGAGGAGTTTGAAGCCATGAGCCTGCCCTTCACAGTGCCAAGTGCCAGTGGCCAGGACATTCAGTTGAGCTCCAAGCACACACACATCACCCTGGACAACCGCGCGGAGTACGTGCGGCTGGCGATAAACTATAGGTTGGTGGTCATCTGTCTCTGTTGCATTGACATAAATAGCAAAAGTAGCAGAACGTGGTTGTGTGGACATGTGTGTTTTTCAGGAGTGTCATACACAGTAAAGTAATGGATTTGGCTCCAACTATTGCTGATCTGTGGGTATAAAGCTTATTTTGTGATCAGGGTCGGTATTTATTACTCTGACATTCCTGGCTCTAACCAGAATACCAAGATCAACAAAATCCACCCATTTGGGTCACTGCACCTGGAGAGGCCATAGTTTTTGCCCCTGTGTGCTTTCTTTGTTGGCTTCCCTGGGACAGGGCTGTGTCTGGGGCTGTCTCAACCCCCTCCAGGCTGCTTGAGTGACACAGAGCAGCCTTTGCCAGGCGCCCAGGTGTGACTGTGCACGGTCCTTTGGGTGCCGTGATTCAGGCTTGGCAGGTCATTACCACCACCCACAGCTTCCACTGCTTGTCCCATGTCCCCTGGAAGCACCTGAGAGTGTCTGGGTGAGGCCTCGTGTGGCAGGTGGGCCCTGTGGGCTCTGGTGGGGGTAGTCCTGGCAGGTGTCCTGGGCGGTGCTGTCCCCCGTATCGTGTCTGCTGTGGGTCAGCACAGTGTCTCGGGCCTGGGGCGGATGCACATGTGTTTCCCCTCTTGGTGCTGGCTTCTCCTGGGGTGTCCTGTGGGTACTGAGAGTGGCGTCTTGGGGTGTGCATAGCTGTAGGTGGTCATTAGGCCGTACCCTGTCGGCTGGACGAGATGAGCCCAGTGTCAGGAGAAGCTCTGCAGTGCCGAGCTGCTAAGCATGCTCATGCCATCTGGAGCTGCTCCCTCTGTTCTCCCAGCTGGGACGTGTGCGGCCACAGTGCTGCATGCCAAGGCTTGGTGTGAGCAGCATAAAGTCAGTGTCACTGAAGACAGAAGTGTAAAGTGAGCTTTTTCTTCCAGACTCCATGAATTTGATGAGCAGGTGGCTGCTGTTCGGGAAGGAATGGCCCGCGTTGTGCCTGTTCCCCTCCTCTCTCTGTTCACCGGCTACGAACTGGAGACGATGGTATGCCGACCCCCAGGTGGGGCTGCCCTGCAGCTGCCTTTTGCCTGCTGACCCACAAATCAGTGACAGCAGTTAGAGTCAGAACCTTGCCCTGTGTGTTGACTGAAGGGAGTGCACTCTGAGCGCGTCCCTCCACCCGCCTGCAGGAGGCTGTGTGTGGGCCCACCCAGAGCCCCCAGACCTTTCCCCACCCCAAACAGGCCTTGGTGTAGAGAGGGAGCGTGACGGAGTCTTGCGGAAATGCCAGGGTGGGAAGCATCACGCGGCCCTGACAGACATCCTCCCGCAGGTGTGTGGCAGCCCTGACATCCCGCTGCACCTTCTCAAGTCGGTGGCCACCTATAAAGGCATCGAGCCTTCCGCATCGCTGATCCAGTGGTTCTGGGAGGTGATGGAGTCCTTCTCCAACACAGAGCGCTCTCTTTTCCTTCGCTTCGTCTGGGGCCGGACGAGGCTGCCCAGGACCATCGCCGACTTCCGGGGCCGAGACTTCGTCATCCAGGTAGGCTCCTGGCTGGGCTTGCCGGCCCTGGGCTGATGTCGGCCGACGGTGGGTGGCTGGCTCCTCACCCACAGTCCTGCAGCACATGGAAAACGAGCCTCTTGAGTCTTTACAGAAATGAAAATGGAAAACATCGAACTTCTCTGATGTGAAGGCTCAAAATGTTATGATTATGTGTTTTGGGTACCATTACCTATTTTTTAAAAATGTATCTGGCCATCCCCAGAATACATCACTGCTGTGTCAGCCTGCTCTAGATTTCAAACACACGTAAAGCACTCATTCAGTTATCTGGTCGAATTAGGTGAGTCACTAAGTAACATCCTACATACCGAGAAAAATGAGGCCGCTCGTTGGATTGAGAACAAGGGTTTTGCTTTGGGTTCCAACTCTGTGGGCCGGTGGTCAGAAACAAGCTCAATGGACCTGCCGGGTCACTGAGAGGGGATGGCCTAATGCCCCCACTCTCTGTTGGGACCGTAACAGCAGTGCCTGGGCGGATGGATCGATGGGGTCCACTGTTCCCAGCATGTGTCCAGCACAGCCTGACCTGCGTCTCTGCCAGGGTTAGAAAAGTGGCCGTCTTTCAGGGTCACCTTGGAGAGCATGCATAGTTTTCTATCTTAGAAGGTCAGTAATTCTTAGTTTTTGTCCATAATTCTTGCCGTTTCCTAGTATCTTAATCTGTAGGGGTCAAAGTTGGGCTGGTAGACTCATGAAGAGCTCTCCCGTGGTCACGTGCCTGGTCCTCCGCCAGCCAGGCCGCCCCGCATCCACACAGGTGGTGTGGTCCTCGGGCCCTCTTCCCGGGATGACAATAGAGAGCCATCATCTCCATAGTGAGGTGCTGTTTCTTACTCCAAGTTCTAGGAATTAATTGCTCCTCGTTACTCCTAAAGTTGTTTGGATTATGTTTTCTGCTGTTTTGTTCTTAGCAAAAAATATGGTTTTGTGAGCACGAAGAGTCTAATGAGCACAGTAAAGTAGACTGCAGCCGTACTCAATTTCTAATCACTTCATGTTTCTGCTCAACAGGTGTTGGATAAATACAACCCTCCAGACCACTTCCTCCCTGAGTCCTACACCTGTTTCTTCTTGCTGAAGCTGCCCAGGTATTCCTGCAAGCAGGTGCTGGAGGAGAAGCTCAAGTACGCCATCCACTTCTGCAAGTCCATAGACACAGATGACTACGCTCGCATCGCACTTACAGGAGAGCCAGCCGCCGACGACAGCAGCGACGATTCAGATAACGAGGATGTCGACTCCTTTGCTTCGGACTCTACACAAGATTATTTAACAGGACACTAAGATGGGGAAACGTCCTCGTGAGATGAGAGCCTGAGCCAGGCAGCAGAGCACTCGCTGCTGTGTAGACTGTAGGCTGCCTGGTGTGTCTGATGAGAAGCGTCCGTCCTCGAGCCAGGCGGGAGGAGGGAGTGGAGAGACTGACTGGCCGTGATGGGAATGACAGTGAGAAGGTCCGCCTGTGCGCGTGGAACACTGTGGACGCTCGACTTCCAAGGGTCTTCTCACCCGTAATGCTGCATTACATGTAGGACTGTGTTTACTAAAGTGTGTAAATGTTTATATAAATACCAAATTGCAGCATCCCCAAAATGAATAAAGCCTTTTTACTTGTGGGTGCAATCGATTTTTTTTTCTTTCTCCTTTCTTTCAAGTGTCGTGAGTCGTCTTGATTGTATATTGGAAATAACTGTGTAACAAATCGTATTATAAATATTTCAATTAATTTTACTCTGAATTTGTTTATTAAAAGACTTTTGAACATGAAATGATTAGTATTACTTGAATGCATCCAGAGGATATTTAAACCAAAATGAAAAACCAGAAGGCCATTTGGTGTCCCCTCTCCCAGGTGTCCCCTTGTAGCATATGCATTATGTCATCTGAATTGAGGCCTTTCTGTGAACAGCATCATAACTTCTATCATGGAAAGTGTACTATATATAATGTTTGTGTCATGTATATGCCTAAATTTTAATTATCTATAAATAAAACATCTGACATAAAAGTGTAGGCTGAGCTTTCTTAACCAGTACAACCAAAAAATCAATTAGTTCTTGATACAGCAGTAGTAAAGATTTCAGCCAAGTTGAGATTATTTTTTTGTTAAACCAAACTCAAGTCACAAAGAAGTGATTAGGAGAATGGAAGATTCCACGGGACCAGCTGGTGGCAGGGGCTGAAGGGCTCTGGAGCCTTCAGGGTTTCCTCCGACTTCCTCCCAGCCCCATCTGTCTGCACAGCCTTGGCTTCTGCTTTCATTGGCCTGGGCTGAGAGTCTTCCGTCCAGGCAGCCATGGTACACGGTTTGGGCTGCTTGTGTATGGCACGCACTCTGCAAAGGGTAGAACTGAGAACAGGCTAGGAAAACTGGCTGGCAGGTCTAACGCATTAGAGCTTGAGCTGAAGACTATCAGATTGAGGCAAAACTATGTATTTCACGTTGGGAGACAGTTTATTCAGGGACACGATGTTTAGCACTGGCACAGAAGATCCAAAGAGGGAAAGTTTTATTTTTTTTCTGGGAACCTTTCCAGGACTGAATTGGTAAATGCCAGGATTAGTCTATTTTCAGCTTAGCTCAAAACGTCCATAAGCTGTGTGGTATTATTTTTGTTAATATCACCAACCCTTTTGTTGTCAGCTTTTGCGGCATAACAGAATTGCCCCTGAAGTCAGTGAGAAGCAGCGTTTCTCACTCGCGCGCCTGGCTGGGCCGGCCTCTGCTGAGTGGCTCTGGGCCCGCGGTTAGGAGGTGTCAGGCTTCACATCTCTCTTCTCGCTTTGGGCGTGTGTATCACGGTGGTGACACAGGTGTAAGAGGGCCCAGAGCTGCACTGTCCCCTCCACCCACTTTCCATTGGCCAACCCCCAAATCAGGCTGGCAAATGCCTTCTGCCTCTAGAATGTGGGTTCTCAAAGTCCTGGCTGAGGACCCCTGGAGTTCCTGAGGCCCTTTCAGGGTGTCCATGAGAGCCTCTATCTCCTACTACGTCTCTCTGTGAGGCCAGATTTTCTTCAGCTCCTTCCACCAAAACTTCACAATGTGGGGATGCACAGACAGAAATGAGAATTCACCTGTCTTCTGTGAAAGGAAAGAAAATCTCCACCCGCAAGCCCACTAGGCCAGAAGAAAAGCGTGAGCTTGGAAACGGTCACACGGGAAACTGCCTTTTCATTGTGTGCCTGAACAGGTATCTCCCCAGGTGGCCTCCCGGACCCAGACTATGTAAAGTCACAGCTCATCGCTCCGTAAGGGATAGAGACTAGAAATTGTCTGTACGCCCATTCCCAGACTAATGCATATTTGACTTCTTCCTCGACTCTAGGTTGACTTTATCTGATGTAAAGTGCAGATTTACTGAGCGTGAGCCGAATGTATAATTGACTCTTCCTCTGCCCCCTGCGATTCAGCGAGCACTCATCAAAACCTCACAAGGGTGTGCCCCACTTCTCTCACTTTTCCTACCCTCCCTCCTTTTTATTCTTTCCTCCTTCCCCTCCTGCCTTTTTCCCCTTTAAATATTGAAATCCTCAAAGCTCTTTGGAAGAAGCCCCGGACACAGAGCCTACTGTGGCTTGTCTCTTTCCCTGGCACGTCCTCAGCTGTGGCAAAATCAACCTCTAAGTGGATTGAGGCCTGTCTCACTTTTTTTTTGAGACAGAGTCTCGCTCTGTCGCCCAGGCTGGGGTGCCGTGGCGCGATCTCTGCTCACTGCAAGCTCCACCTCCCAGGTTCACGCCATTCCCCTGCCTCAGCCTCCCGAGTAGCTGGGACTACAGGCACCCGCCACTACGCCCAGCTAAATTTTGTATTTTTAGTAGAAATGGGGTTTCACTGTGTTAGCCAGGATGGTTTCGATCTCCTGACCTCGTGATTTGCCTGCCTCAGCCTCCCAAAGTGCTGGGATTACAGGCGTGAGCCACTGCGCTGGGCCACTTTTTTTGGTTTACACTTCCATTAAGCCAGACAGTTAAAGAGGCTAATAAAAGTATTAATGCCATTGTCACTAATTTGTTTTCGTTTTGGAAAACGATTTTTCAAAATTGTGTCCATGTTAACAAGTCATGGGTTTGTTTTTATTCTAAACGTATTCAATATTTTAAATTTTTTCAGTTGTAATTTCCAATGTGATAGGTAAAACCCAGACGAAAATGATTGAGGATTGAGAGCTTTCGTATAAGAGTCCTGAGGGGGAAGCTAATGTGCCAGAAGAGGCCGGCCGCAGACACCAAGGCGGGACCCCCATGCAGCTGCCCTGCGGGGGCTGTGTCTCTGCTTTCTGCAGTTAGAAGCAATGGCGTAAGTGTTATGGTTTTTTTGTTTGTTTGTTTGTTTGAGACGAAGTCTCACTCTGTCGCCCAGGCTGGAGTGCTGTGGCGCCATCTCGGCTCACTGCAAGCTCCGCCTCCGGGGTTCTCGCCATTCTCCTGCCTCAGCCTCCCGAGTAGCTGGGACTACAGGCGCCCGCCACCACGCCCGGCTAATTTTTTTTTTTTTTTTTGTATTTTTAGTAGAGACGGGGTTTCACCGTGTTAGCCAAGATGGTCTCCATCTCCTGACCTCGTGATCCGCCCGCCTCTGC
Source organism: Homo sapiens (assembly GCF_000001405.40). Taxonomy (NCBI): domain Eukaryota; kingdom Metazoa; phylum Chordata; class Mammalia; order Primates; family Hominidae; genus Homo; species Homo sapiens. Next base: position 241,925 of record NT_187660.1, on the reverse strand, counting down.
CTCCCGAAGTGCTGGGATTACAGGCGTAAGCCACCGCACCCGGCCTTTTTTTTTTTTTTCTTTTTTTCTTTTTTTAACTAAAAGCATACTAGAGGGCACTTCATTCCCACAAAAAAAAAAAAAGTGATTTTTGTAGCCACAGCTTCTTCATGTTTGGACAGGAGGACTCTCTCGGACAGTTCCATGTCACCTTCAGTTTAACTTTTTACTCTCATCCAACTTCCAAAGCCTGAAGTTATATAGTTCACTTTGACAGACAAATGTGTGCAGCCGAGACCATTAAACTGTAGAAAAGACAGACGACCCATCTGTGCTAGGAGTGGAAACTTGTCACATTGACAATTGTTTGGAAGCTCACCAGCATTGTGAATTGTGGATTAATTGTGGTTTCCTGCCTGTTTGCTTTTCTGCTGATAGAATCGGTGACAGTGGCTGTGCCCTTATGATGTGCATGAAACTGCAGTCTGCTTAGAGTTAGGAGAGCTTTACATGGTGCCCGACACCGTGGGCACCCTTAGCGTCTCCGACAGGAACTTCTGGTGGTGTCCGAATACGGCCCCCCGCGTTGTCCCCAGGGGCGGACTGCCTCCCCTCCAGGACTTTCTCCTGAGCCGGTGGGCCATGCCTTCTCCCCGCCTGTCGGGCATATCTTTGTGCACAGCCCGTGCGGCCTGGCCTGGCTCTGCGTCCCACGCTGCCGGTCCATCTTTCCCCCCAAATGCAGCTCCACAAGCGAGGCGGGATCGGCGCCAGTGCCCAGCCCGGGATAGCCCGGGGCAGGCGGCCACCCACCAGCAGGCCCTGGCGCGGAGGCATGCGGGGTGGGCTGAGCGCGGGGCCCCTGCGCGGAGGCTTATCCACGACCTCAGAAGGGGCTTCCGGCGCTGCTGTCGCTGGAAGGCATTTTGTGCTGGGCCCTGGCTGGCCCGGGGCTGGCCCCTGCGGCTGCCCGGGCTGTTGGAGGAGGGAGAGGTGGCGGCCTGGCCGGCGCGCACTTGCTGTTTCCATTCTCAGCGGACCCGCGCTGGGGTGGCCGCCGGCGGCAGCGGTCTTTCGGGCTCACCCTCAGGTTTAACCAGAAATCCGGGAGTAGCTGAGAGAGCTTCGGAGCTCCGTGCACTGTGCGCTGTCCTGACTTGCCAAAAAAGAAAGCAGAAAAACACCCAAAGCACGTTCGAGAAGAGAAGGGGGAAATCTGGGGTCTGCCCTTCCTTTAGAAAAGCCGAGGTTCAGGGTGAGAGCCCCTCTGAGCGGTCCTTGGTTGAGCTAGCGGAGCGGGGAGGCTCCCGGCGCCCCTGCGATGAGACCCCACCCTCACGCCGGCTGCGCCCCGGGACCTCCGCGAGGATTCGTCCGGCGGGCGCGCGAGCGAGCGGGGTCTCTTCGGGTTTCAAGCGGCCCCGGGGCCGGCGCCTCGTGACCCTGCCGGACTCTCCCTCCCCGCGCGGCAGCGAAGCGCATCACCGAGGCTGGGGCCGGGCTCACCGTGGGGCCAGAGCCCGCTCCCAGCAGGATCTCGGCGAAGACCAGCCCCCGCACGCCAGCCCGCCGGGTGGAAGCCCGGGGCACCAGGACAGGCCCGGAGGCGGCCGCGGGGCCCGGTACTGCCTGCGAGGAAGTCGCCTCTGCCCGGCCACGCCGCTCCTCCCGCAGCGGTGCTCCCGGGGTTGCGACCACAAACCTCGGCGCTCTCGGGGTGATGCCTGCTCCGCCACCAGGGCCCCCGCGCGCACAGCCCCCTCCCTGCGCTCGCTGTTGCCGGCAGCCGTGGAGGTTCAGGCATTTGGCGTGGCCGTGGTCGTGGGGAAATTCCCCGCGTGCGCCCGGTGCCCCCACCCTGCTGTGCGCTCCCCGCTCCTCATGCCAGGCGGGGCCGGAGGCCGGGGCCCGGAGGGTGGAGAGACCCTTGGGGACAACGAGGTCTCAGAGCACAAACGCTCAGCACTGCGGGTGACACCCCGGGTCCCAGCCCGGGAGCCCGCGGGTGGAGCCGCTCAGCCTTGCTCCTGGCTTGGCCCAGTCTGGCAACACTGCCTTGGGTACAGCCTCCTCCTGGGTGAGGGAGTGAGAGGCAGAACCCCCACCACACGCATGCTCCCCGCACCCCAGACGCGCACACACACCCACACACATGCATACACACACACCCCCAACACATGCACACACGCGCGCGCACACACACCCCCCACACGCACACACACACCCCCGACACATGCACACACACACACCCCACACACACATGCACACACACCCACACACGCACACACACCACCCCAGACACATACATACACACACCCCACACACACACGTGCGCACACACACACCCGAGGCACGTACACACACCCCTACAAACCTCACACACGTGAACACACCCCACAGAACTCCCCACACACATGCACACACACATACACTTCTCACACCCCACATGCACACACACCCCAGACACACATGCACACACACATCACAGACATGCACACACACACCCACACCCCACACATGCACACACACTCCACATCCCAGACACATGCACACACACCCCACATCCCAAACACATATGCACACACACCCCACACCCCAGACACACATGCACACACACCACACACATGCACACCCCCCACACCCCGACACATGCACACACACCCCACACACCACATATGCACACACACCCCACACACCACACATGCACACACCACACACATGCACACACACACCCCAAAACACACACCCCCCCCCCCCGGTCCCCCAAACCCCAAAACACCCGGTCACCCCATTCTATACACATACACATATACCCCCCACACACATACATCCCTTACATACAGCCCGTCACACACACCCCCCACAGACATACACACCTCCTAAACACATAAATCTTGGCCCCTTCACATACACTCACCCTCACACACACCGTCTTCCCTACCCTCTCCCCACCCCATCCCCCTCCCCATGCTGCCTGCAGCTGGGCAGGTGGGCAGGATGCGGAAGGAGAGCGCTGGGCCTCTGAAAAATTGGAACAAGGAAGGCCCCTGACAGGCCTGCCCTGGGTGGCCTGGACAGGAGGGTCGGGGCCTGAGGACATTCCTTGTCACTGCCAGGGACATGCCATGATGGCTCACCATGTCAGGAAGGGCCAGGCCCACTGGCAGCCAGTCTGGCGAGTGAGTCCTACTCAGGGTCCTCCAGGCCGAATCGCGCAGACCTCACTCCTCCCCGATAGTCAAGATAGTCAACACTTCAAACAGGGAATCGCTCAGGGCTACAGTGAGCTATGACCATGCCCCTCCCTGCAGCCTGGGCTGCACAGAGGGACCCCGTTTCTAAAACAAGAAAATACAAAAGATCGTTTTAAAAAGGTCTTCGAATGGGTCCATTCTGCATGGAGGCCAGCTCCACAGGGTGGGAGGCTTTTGTCTGCAGGACCTCCTGGGCCTCATGTCTCATGGGATCCAAATGCAAATGGAAACACACACGCACAGAGATACCAACTACTCAACATCCAGAAGCAATAGCAGGCACCTTCGTCCCTCAAGCTGCAGACTCCCGTGTCCAGCTTCGCTCCCCGCTGGAGCACCAGCTCTCAGGACCCCACTTTCTTCCCACCCCCACGGGCCTGGCCTCCCCATTCTCCTGCCACCCAGGGCCGCCCCTCCGCATGGAGCCTTCAGCTCAGGATGACCCGGGACTTGGGCCAGCCCCTCCCAGTCACAGGACCCACCCTCTTCAGGATGAAGTTTATAATCGTTTTTATTCCTGAGTCAGTCCTGGAGTTTTTGCCCATCCCACTCACTTTTCAAAATTGATTTTTTCCCCACAGACAAATGAGACTTTCTATTTTCCTCTAATTCATTAAAAGAAAGACATTATCGATCAGATGGTACAGAGAAGTCCCATATACACCCACCCCACACATGTAGCTTGCCCCAGTGCACATGCTGCCCACCAGATTGGCCCATGGGTTACACCAACACACCAGCATTATCCAGAGGCCTCGGGTTACATCGAGGCTCACTCGGGCAGTGCCTTCTGTGGGTTTGCACGAATGTTTAATGCCCTGTATCCGCCTTACAGTATCATACAGACTAGGGCCGCTGCCCTGAAATCCCCTCCAGCTAGTCATCCCTCCGCTCCCCACTAGCTCCTGACAGCCACCAATGTTTTTACTGTCTCCATAGTTTTACCTTTCTAGAAAGTCATCTAGTTGGAATCAGGCAGTATGCAGCCTTTTCCGATTGGCTTGTTTTACTTAGTAATCTGCATTTAAGGTTCTTCTGTGTCTTTTCATGGCTTGATAACTCATTTCTTTTTAGCTCTGAATAATAAATATTCCATTGTCTGAATGTACCCTAGTTTGTTTATTCATTCACCTCCTGAAAGGCATCTTGGTTGTTTCCAAGTTTTGGCAATGACAGATAAAACTGCTATAAACACCCGTGTGCAGATTTTGGGTGAACATAAGTTTTCAAATCATTTAGGTAAATACCAAGGAACATTGGTTGCTGCATCATATTCTAAGAGTGTTTAGTTTTGTAAGAAACGGCCCAACTGTCTTCCAAAGTGGCTGTACCATCTTGCGGTCCCACCAGCAATGAATGGGAGTTCCTGTGACTCCACAGCTCATTACATTTAAACATGTCTTTAAAGTCCGGAATTTAAGTTCAGAAGGTAGCATCATGCCCTCATGTTATGCAGCTCCTGCCTCCTAAAGCCGTGGTAACTTTAAAACATGGCTCTGGCCGGGCGCGGTGGTTCACGCCTGTAATCCCAGCACTTTGGGAGGCCGAGGTGGGCGGATCATGAGGTCAAGTGATCGAGACCATCCTGGCCAACATAGTGAAACCCCATCTTTACTAAACACACAAAAATTAGCTGGGTGTGGTGGCGCCCACCTGTGGTCCCAGCTTCTCAGTAAGCTGAGGCAGGAGAATTGCTTGAACCCGGGAGGCGGAGGTTGCAGTGAGCCAAGATCACGCCACTGCACTCCACCCTGGCGACGGAGCAAGACTCCGTCTCAAAAACAGAAACAAACACAAAAAACATGGCTCCAATGTTCTTTGACATTCCTCCCCTCAAGAACTGGTGTCTGTGTCCTTCCTTGGGCTCCTTGACTGCTTGGCCAATAGAATATGGCAGAAATGACACCTGCCAGTCCTGGGTGCAGGCCCTAAGGAACTGGTGGCTTCTGTTTCCTGTCTCTTGGGCCCCAGCTGCCATGCTGTAAGGAAGTCCAAGAGCTGGTGCAGGGGCCACGTGGCAGAGCCGACAGACCCGCCCTAGAGTGAGCAAGTGCACCTCCGGATCCTCCAGACTCCAGTCATTTCCAGCTTTCACATTGCCCTGGCTGCAGTGGGGAGCAGACGAGCTGTTTCCACTGTGCCTTTCTGAATTCCAGACCCGCAGGATCTGGGAACTTGACAGAATGCTTGCTGAATCAAGCCAACTTCGGGCAGGGGTGGGTGCATAGGGTTTGTGGGCTGAACCATGGCAGGAACAGGCAGAGACTGGGGACTGCAGAGGCCTGCACAGCAGGTGGCCCCGGGGACCCCTGGGGAAGGATTCATAAAGGGAAGCTGTAGACAGATTTCCCCATGACGGGGCTGGAGGGCTGGGCTGGGAGGCGCTTTCTTCTCTCTGGATGCTGTGGTCTGGGGAGGCAGCGCTTTCCTGCACCCTCAGGCCTGCCCAATTCTGAGAGCTTCTCACTTTCCTGGACCATTGTCCTCTGAGTCACAACTGCCTGTCCAGGGCAAGAAGCCAAGGGTGCCTTCACTGGGTCACCCACAAACATAAAATATGCACATACACGTACACAAAAGCGACACCGCATCCCAGCCCTCTGCTTGGAAATAGCCACCTTTGGCTTTTATATCTGATTCCAATGGTGCTGTTCTTTGCCAAGAACATTTAGGGGGACCTTATTTTGGGATTTCCTTCTGGAATTTCCTTGGCCAGCCAAAAAAGTTAATTCTATATCATATCTTGTTTGGGACCCAAATCTTCATGCTCAGGAGAAACCACATCATTTCTGAGACTGGCCCCAATCACTTGTAACTGAAGAAGCACGGTGCCCCTTGAAGGCAAGTTTGGCTGTTCGAGTCACACACAGGCTTCCATTGATGCATCTGCAGGCAACACTCACTCTCAGCCACCAGGAAAGGAAACCCCATCTGGCCCTGAGGGTCAATCAACCAAGGGGACTGATTGACGGCAGCTAAGAAGCCCAGAGACAGTGAGCATGTGGCTGTGCTGGGTGTGGGTGCCTGTCTGCTCGCGGGGGGGCTTTGTCACCCCTCAGCTGCCGCCAGGGCTGGGACACATAGATTTGGCTCACCCGAGCCAGTCCCTGGCATGGAAGTTGGGTTTCCTCCATTACTGTGGCCACTCAGGGTCTATCCCTGGAGCTGGGGTAGGGTTGCTCCTTCCCCATACATTCAGCAGTTACACAAAAACAACTGTGACCTGCAAGGCACAGAGAGCCACACGCTTGGCCGCAGCTGTCCTGCTGGCGTTTCAAAGCCCGCATTTCGACAGATCTGCGTGCACACCAAGAGCCTTCTGCCCACTCAGGGAGCCTCCCCCGGGCTCTGTGCCCCAGCCCCTTCCCGCCCTGTAACAGTGTCCCTGAGGCACTGGGAGGGGAGCAGGTGCAGTGATGAGCGAGGAGGAGACAGTATTTCTGGGACGGGAACTGGTGCATCGGTGGTCACAGGCTCCCTGGAGCCGCCATCCCACAAGGATGGGGTCACCATGCAGGCTGCTTGCCAGCCATATCCACACCTAACGCACACGGCGGTCTGAACTGAGGGGTCTGCACATGCGACAGTGAATGTGGTCTCAGAGATCTCGGGCTCTCCTGCTGTCAGGGCCCTGGCTGGGAACTTCAGTGTCCTGGAGCCTGCCATGCCGAGGACATCCTCGGTCCCTGCTACCAGGGCAACCCCTGGCCCACCCTGTGGCTGTGCAATGTGCTCTGTTATAAGGCATGAGATCTCTTTCAGCTCTGCTGTTACACTGTGGATGGAGCCTCTTACTTCCTGCCAATTCCTGTGCAGGGCCTGGCCACTGCAGCTGTGTGTGTGTCTGTAGCTGTGTTGTCTCCATGTGTTTGTGCGTGTATCTGTGTGTGTGTCTGTATCTGTGTGTGTATCTGTGTGTGTCTGTGCGTATATCTGTGTTTGTATATCTGTATATGTGTATCTGCGTGTGTGTCTGTGCATGTATCTGTGTGTGTGTCTGTATGTGTCTATGTATCTGTGTATCTCTGTGTCTGCGTATCTGTGTGTCTGTGTATCTCTGTGTGTAGATCTCTGTATCTGTGTGTATCTGTGCATGTGTGTATCTGTGTGTCTGTATCTGTGTGCCTGTGTATATCTGTGTCTGTGTATCTCTGTGTGTGTCCGTGTGTGTATCTGTGTGTGTCTCTGTATCTCTGTATCTGTATGTATCTCTGTATCTGTATCTGTGTGTCTGTACCTGTGTCTGTGTATCTGTGTCTGAGTATCTGTATATATTTGTGTGTGTCTGTGTATCTGTGTCTGTGTGTATATCTGTGTATCTGTGTGTATCTCTGTGCCTGTGTGTGTGTCTCTGTGTATCTGTGCATGTGTCTGTGTGTATCTGTGTATGTGTGTCTGTGTATCTGCATGTGTCCTTGTGTGTCATCTGTGTATCTGTGTCCTGTATCTGTGTGTCTGTGTATTGCTGTGTCTCTGTGTGTGTCTCTGTGTATGTGTATCTGTGTATCTGTGTCTGTGTATATCGTGTCTATCTCTGTATCTGTGTGTGTGTCTGTGTGTATCTGTGTGTGTCTGTGTATCTGTGTGTGTCTGTGTATCTCGTGTGTGTGTCTGTGCTGCAGGAGGGGCTGTCGGCAAGTGTAACCTTGGCGTCCTAGCTGGAGGGCCTCTCAGTGCCCGCTGGGAGAGCTCTGAAGGGAACAGAATGTTCACTGAGCATTTCCCCGTTCTTGTTCATAGGGAAAAGCCTGTCCGCAGTCCTGGGCCGCCTCTTCAGAGGTAAAGCTGGAAACTATCCCCGCGGAGAGCGCTGTCGGGGACGCCGGGGCGGCGTGGCCTTAGACGGAGCTGCTCTCAGCCCGCGCCGCCGGGGGCTGGGGAGCTGAGGGGCCGGGGGTGCGGAGCGGGCGAGCTGTGGGCGGGGCCATGTGGGCAGCTTTGTGGGCGTGGCCGGGAGGGGCGTGCTACGGGCGTGGCCGCACTGTGGGCGGGGCCGAGTGGGGAGTGCTGTGGGCGGGGCCGGGCCGGGGGCGTGCCTGGGTGGGGGACCCGCTGCGGGAGCGCCGAGCTCCCTCTGAGTTCTTACTTCGAAGGCTGTGCTCCGCTCACCATCCAGAGCGGAGGTGCGGACCTTAAACTCACTCCTGGAGAAAGATCTGCAAGTGCGCAGGTAAAGTGCACGTGCTCCGCGGTCGGGAGGAAGGAGGCGAGGAGCCAGACTAGCCTGGGAACAGGCAGGGAGGGTTTACACAGCCCCGGCTGAGTCGCGGCTTAGGAAGCAAGGCAAGTTCCCCTAAAGGTTAGTGTGCACAGACGGGTGCGACGGAGCCGACCTAGCGCGGCTGAGTCCGCCTGGGCCTGCAGCAGCTGCCCCCTGAGCACCCCCTCCGGCTCTCTGCCAGGCGACCCAGGAAAAAGTCGCCCCCTGGTGGGCCATGAGGTCATGGGTGGGGGGAGTTTGGAAAGGTTCAGACAGCAAATGTTCCACTTGAACTCCAGGGCAGCATCTGGCACTGCGGGGCCTCCTAGCCATGAGCCGTGGTCAGGCGTTTCCTTAGAATGGAATGCACTGGAGTGAAAACACTAAATCCCTCAAAGCTGCTTCTCTTTACTGTGGTCACACACAGTGAAATCAATGGGCATTAGTGCAGCTAGCTCTTTTCAAGGACACAATGTTAAGCACAGGAAGCCTGGTATGTGGACGCTCTGGGTTTGCAGAACCAGGCAGGGGCCAGGGGCTCAGGACAAGTGCCCGGTGCTCCCTTCCCATTGGGCGAATCAGAGCCTGGGGCCCGGCGGTGAAGCTCCCCAGGTGACTCTAATGTGCAGTGCACTTTGAGGAGCACTACTTAGACCAATGTGACAGTCTACAATGTGTAGATTTAGGGTGAGTGATTCTGAGGAAAAGAAACCCGAGGCTGTTAGCAGTTGTGGGCAGCTGCTGTCTACCTAAACCAGCTGCGGTTTGCTTGCTTGGTGAGCCTGAGCTTCGCGGGGCGGGCATGGCATCTGCCATCCAGGACCCTGGGACGGGGCCTGCCAGGGCAAGGAGCTGAGCATTGAACGCATCTGGGGATAACTATCTCTCATAGAAGAACTAATGAGGATTGAACCTGAACACAGAGATGAAAGAGCTGAGTAGACTGCAAAGAATTGCACAAAAACTGCTTGTTCTGCAAATTTAGTTTACAACAATTTGAGTGCAGTTCACATTGGTGTAATGTGATTTAGGATCATAAGTCCCTAAAGTTTCATTACACTGATGAAAAGCAAATGCCTATACTGTTCTTGTTTTATGAGAAGAACGCAACCTCCAGCCCCTGGAGCAGCTGAGATCTGAGGATATCAGGAATACCAGGAATGGGGAGGTCCTGGCTGTCCCTGGAAACCCAGCGGCATGACACCTGTGTCACCTGGGTCCCCGTTTCTATGCTGGAGTGGCAGGCAGCAAGGAAATATTTTGAGTTTGAGGCCATATGCATTTTGGAAAGATCACTGTGGCTGGGGGGTTGGGAGCAGCTGGGGAGTTGAAGAAAGCCACTGCCAAGGCCTTCCCACTGAGTGTGGTTGCCAGGCCGGGGCAGGGAAGCACTGGTGAGTTGCAGGGGGGATTCCCAGTTGGTGATGGGTGATGGATGGTGGGATCAGTGGGCCCCTGGGAAAGGCCAGGTGTGGCTTCAGCACTCTGGGAGTTTTGGGTACCTTTATGTCTAGGGACACAAAGAGGTAGATGGACACAGTGGTTTGAGCTGCAGAAGAGAGTTGGGCGGCCACCTGTCCACAGGTGAGGATGAGGTTTCTTGGGAGAGTAGAGAGAAAGGGGAGGCTTTTAACTGTTAGTAGTGGAAAGATGGCTTGCAATGGAGATAAAGGCTACCACAGAGGGGAGGAAAGCCCAGAGCCTGGAGGCCAGGGGGCAGGATCTGGGGCAGGGGCTGACCCAGTGTGGCATTCTCCATATGCTGGAAATGTGAGAAGAGACTCCACAAGCCGGAGCTCCCTCAGCTCCTTGGGGCCGCTGGCTCTACCAGCTCACTCGCTGGTTGTTGGGTTTCCGCAGTTTCCATTTGGGGTTCTGTCACTGACCTGCAGGCAGCCGGCTTGTCGCGGGCTGTGGCTCTTGCGCCGGCCACCCGCGGGACCCGCGCAGTTTCGGCGGAGCGCGGCGGGGTCCGTGTGGGTCCGACCCGTGGGGAGGTGTGGCTGGCGCGCCTGTGCTCTCGGCCCGGCCACCCACTGAGGCGCCAGGAGGCGCATTCCGCAGGGCGGCGGGGAGCAGGTCCGGTGTTTCGAGGAGCATGGGACACAGTTTCCAAGCTGGCCTGCAGGATGGGCGAAGGGACACCGAACTACAGCGGCACAGCGCCGGGCCAAACTGCCCGCAGCTGGGGTAGCAGAGGAGGCTTGCGGCAGCGGCGCCGCGGGGAGGGGTCCTGGCCCCGGGCTGGGAGCGGGGCTGGGCGGCCGCGTGCCCGGCTGCGCGTTTGCTGGCGCTGCTCGTTTCTCCCCGAGAGGTGCGCCTGGCCTGCCGCGGGGCCGCCAGTCCCGGGGGGCCCTGCGAACGCGGCCCTCGGCAGAGCCCACCCGCGGCCTCCCGAGGCCCTCTCCCGGGCCCCGCCCCTCCTCCCAGGCTGGAAGGAGGCGTACTCTTTCAAACAAGAACAGAAAACGGATGGAAAGCCACGATGTTTGGCTTAACGTTCTAGAAGCTTTTAACCAAGTTCACATGTTGAAAAATCCACCTGAAGGGATATACGGTCACACTCGCGGTCTCGGTCCAGGCCCGAAGTGGGGTGGGGGCACCGCACCCTACACTGCCCTCAGCGGGACACCCCTGTCTCAGCCCAGGACCGGCTGAGGAGGAGGCTGACCCCTGGACGGGCTTCTTCAGGCCTTCTTGGCCGCAGGGCTTCTCCTGCCCCCTCCCTGGTATCCGGGAACTAGAAGGAATGCTTCAAATGCAACGGTCACAGCATCGCTCCTGCGGACACCGCCAGGCTCCCGAGACACGGCTACGCCTCCGGCTCACAGTCACGCCCGACACAGACAGACCACCTCCAACGAAAAGCCACGCCCCCGGAGACACGACCACACCTCGGAGACAGGCCATGCCCCCGGAGACACTACCAAGCCCCAGAGACACGACCACGCCCCAGGAGACACAACCACGCCCCGGAGACAAGCCATGCCCCCAGAGACACGGCCACGCCTTGGAGACAAGCCACGCCCCCGAGACCAGCCACCTCCCGGAGACACGACCACGCCCCGGAGACAAGCTACGCCCCCGGAGACACATTGACGCCTTTGCAGACGCAGCCAGGCCCCCGGAGAGAAGGGCCGTGCTCCGAGAGACACAGCCATGCCCTGTGGACCCAGCCAGGCCCCTGCAAGCATAGCCAGGGGCGGTTTCTCGCTCAGAGGGACGCCTTGGGGCTGAGCAGCGCATTAGGGACGATTTGGGGCCAAGCAGCGCTTTGTGGGGAGGGGAGCGTTCAGTGACGGGTGTTTTCTCTGGATGTTAGACACTGTCCACCAGAGGGGAGTTGGCTGCAGAGGGACTGCCTTTCAACAGCCAAATTTTCACCTCAGCGCCTAAACCTGGTGCTTCTCGTTCCTTGCCGGTATTATGTCAGATATTTAAAGAACTCGAAGAACAATGTTCTTTTTTTTTTTTTTTTGAGACAGTTTCGTTCTTGTTGTCCAGGCTGGAGTGCAATGGCGCCATCTCGGCTCACCGTCACCTCCACCTCCCTGGTTCAAGCGGTTCTCCTGCCTCAGCCTCCCGAGTAGCTGGGATTACAGGCACGCGCCACCACGCCCGGCTAATTTTTGTATTTTTAGTAGAGACGGGGTTTCTCCATGTTGGTCAGCCTGGTCACGAACTCCTGACCTCAAGTGATCCGTCCGCCTTGGTCTTTCAAATTGCTGGGATTACAGGTGTGAGCCACCGCGCCCGGCCACAATGTTCTTAAGATTTACGAAGAAGCTGTTTTCCACACGCTGTTGATCGCCGCCACTGTGAAGTCGGCGTGCGGCGCCTGCTGCCGGCTGTCGTTTCACAGGGGCGGGGTGGGAGGGCCGCGGTCCCCCGGGCGCACCCGGGCGGGGAGTGCGCAGGGCGGCCTGGCTGGGCCACTCCTGCCCTCCCGCCGGGCGCCAACCGGGGATCCGCCAGCTCGAGCTCTGCTCCGAGTCCCGCAGACCCACCATGCCCGGAGCACTCAGCCGTGCGGCCACGGGCGTGCCAGTACCAGCGGGAAAGGCCGGGGCTGCCTGGACCTGGGCAGGAGGCGGTGACCCGGCCTAGCTTGAGCGCCGGCAGCACCGCTCTCTTGGCTGCTGCTCATTCACACCCGCAGGCCTGGAGCCTTTTCTTGGGCCGAGCAGGTGACCCAGGCTCCTGTACGCAGTGGAGAAGGGCCCAGGCGTGGAACGCCGTCCCCTTCCCGGCAGGGCAGGTGTCAGGACCACGCCCGGCGCCGCGCCCTGGCCTCTGTCGGTCCTGGCACCGGTGCCGTCGCCCCACTCCGCCCTGGGCACGGCTGCGGGAGGCGGGGCTCGGGCAGGCTTGGTGAGCGTCTGGCGCGCTCTGAAGGCCACGGCACGGCGGGGCGTTGAGGGCCTCGGAGAGAACGGTGCTGGCAGCAGGGGCGGCAGGAGGGGCCCGGGCCCACCCCCACCTCGCAGGGCCCGAGTTCGGGGGCACGGTTGCAGGCAGAAAGAGCGCAGAGCCGGAGAGAGGGCCGGCAGTAGCCCACACGAACGATTTGGGGTTGAGTGTGAGGACTGGAAGGTTCCACCGACTCTGAACCATCTATTTTTTTTTTCTAAAAATAAGCCACAACTATCTATTTTTTCTTTCTAAAATTTGGTGACTTCGGTGTGAGTCTTGCTTGGAAGGAGGGTCCTGGGCGCCATCGCGGGGAGGACCTGGAGGGGTGGGTTGGGGCTGTGGCATACTCCGCCCTGTGCCGCCGGCTTACAGCTCCCCTACCCCTCTCCCGCCAGCTGCAGGTGTCCCTACGGGCGGGAGCTCTGCCCAGGGTGGCCCTGCCCTAGGCAAGTCAAGCGCATGGGGCCCAATAAAGCAAAGCCAGGCTGAAGCTGTGGTTCCCGTGAGAGTGCAGCCACGGGCTGGGGTGAAGGGAGGGTCACCCCAGAGGACGGGCTGTGTGCTAGTGTGTTGGGGTCCCCCAGAGGTAGGCTGTGTGCTAGGGTGTTGGGGTCCCCTAGGAGACAGGCTGTGTGCTAGGGTGTTGGGGTCCCCTAAGGGACAGGCTGTGGGATTGGAGTGCTCCATCATCTGCATGAGAGGCGATGACCAGGTGGGACTAGGAGGAGTTAGGATGTGTTTGGAAGAACTGGATGAGGAATGTGTGAGAAAGAGGGAGAGTTCTGGGTGAGCAGAGGCCTCTGTCTCCCAGGGAAGAGGCAGGAAGTGAGGTGGAACGAGAGCCCCTACTCAACCCCGGACAACCACTAACCTGTTCCCCATTGATATAACTTTGCCGTTTCAAGAATGTTGTAGTCATGGAATCAGAGTAAATAGTCTGTTGGAACTTGCTTTTTTTCACTGAGGATTTTCACTCTGGATTCCTCTACGTTGCTGTGTATGAATTGTCTGTTCCTTTTGATTGTGGCGTGGTCTTCCCGGCATGCATGCACCGCAGCCTATTTCACACTCCCCTACGGACAGACGGCTGCGTGGCTTCCAATTTTTCATATAGCTTCTATGACCATTTGCGTGTAGGGTTTTGTGTGAATGAAAGTTTCATTTCTCTGGGATTAATGTCCAGGAGTGCAATTGTTGGCTGGTAGTTGCAATTGTAGTTTTTTTTTAAAAACTGTCAAACTGCTTTCCAGAGTGGCTGTACAATTTTACATTCCCATTGGTGATGCAGGAGTGAACCAGCCTCTCGAGTCCTAGGCAGCTGGCGGTGTTGTCTCTGTTTTCTTTTTTCTTTCTTTCTTTTTTTTTTTTGAGACGGTGTTTTGCTCTTGTCGCCCAGGCTGGAGTGCAGTGGCTCACTGCAACTTCCACCTCCTGGTTTCAAGTGATTCTCCTGCCTCAGTCTCCTCGGTAGCTGGGATTACAGGCGCCCGCCACCACACCTGGCTAATTTTTGTATTTTTAGTAGAGGCGAGGTTACACCATGTTGGTCAGGCTGGTTTCGAACTCCTGACCTCAGGTGATCTGCCTGCCTCGGCTTCCAGGTGTGAGCCACTGCGCCTGGCCTGTTTTCTATCTCAGCCTTTCTGATAGGTGTGCAGTGATAGCTCATAGTTTTAATTTGCATTTCCCTAATGGCTCACGATCTTGAATGTCTTCTCACGTGCTTAGTTGCCGTGTGCATATCCTCCTTAGTGAAATCTTTGCCCATTTTACTTTTTTTTTTGTTTACTTTTGAATTTTGAAAATTGTTTAGGAGTGGTGAGAGGGAACATTCTTGCCTTGTCTTCCTGAGAAAGCTTCAGGTTTCTCACCATTAGGCGTAATGTTAGCTCTATGTCTTTTGCAGATGTTCTTTAATAGGTCTGAGGAAGTTCCTCTCTATTCCTAGTTTTCTTAGAGTTTTTGTTTTATCATGCATAGGTGTTGAATTTTGTTAAATGCTTTTTCTGCATCAATTGATATCACCATGTGATTTTTCTTCTTTAGCTTTTAATATGGTAGATTACATTGCTTGATATTTTTCACAGTTCTATTGAGATTATAATTAAATACCATATAATTCACCCATTTAAAGTGTACAAATTCATACCTGTAATCCCAGGACTTTGGGAGGCTAAGGTGAGAGGATCACTTGATCCCAGGAGTTTGAGACCAGACTGGGCACCATAGTAAGACCCCATCTCTACTAAAAATAAAAAATTAGCTGAGTGTGGTGGTGTGTGCCTGTGGTCCCAGCTACTTGGGGGCTGAGGTGGGAGGATCACTGAGCCTGGGAGGACAAGACTGCAGTGAGGCGTGATTGCACCACTGCACTCCAGCCTGGTTTACAGAGAGAGACCCTGTTTCAAAAAAAATGTACAATTTAATGTTTTTTTTCAGTATATTCACTGAGTTGTGTGACCATCACCATGATCAATTTTAGAGCATTTTTATTAACCCAAGTGAAACTCCACATTCATTAGCATTTGTTCTTCATTTCCCTCCAACCCTATCCCCTCCCCTAGCCATAAGCAGCAACTAATTTATTTTATTTTATTTCCCTATGGATTTACCTGTTCTGAAGATTTTATATATACATGGAGTCAGGCAATATGTGGCCTTTTGTGACTAGCTTCTTTCACTGAGCATGTTTCCAAAGGTTATTCATGTTTTAGCATGTGTCAGACACCATTCATTTTTATTGTCAAATAATCCACTGTGTGTATATACCACATTTTATTTATTTAGTAATGGACATTTGGGTTGTTTGTACTTTTGTTTTTTTGAGATGGAGTCTTGCTCTGTCACCCAGACTGGAATGCAGTGGCACGATCTCAGCTCACTCCAACCTCCGCCTCCTGGATTTAAATGATTCTCCTGCTTCAGCCTCCCAAGTAGCTGGGGTTACAGGTGCCCATCACCATGCCTGGCTAATTTCTGTATTTTTAGTAGAGACGAGGTTTCGCCGTGTTGGCCAGGCTGGTCTCAAACTCCTGACCTCAAGTGATCCTCCTGCCTCAGCCTCCCAAAGTGCTGGGATTACAGATGTGAGCCACCGTGCAGGGCCGGGTGCTTTCCACTTTTAGGGTATTATGACTAATGATCCTATTAATGTTATTGTACACATTTTTGTGTGGACATATGTTTTCATTTCTCATGGGCATATTCCTACAAGTGGAATTGCTAGGTCATATGGTAGCTCCATGTTCAACATTGATTGATTTTTGAACATTGAACCAGCCTTGCATTCCTGGAACAAACCCTACTTAGTTATGTGTGTAGCTCTTTTGATATATTACTGAATTCCCTTTGCTAATATTTTGTTAAAGATTTTTGCACCATATTCATAAGAGATATTGGCCTGTAGTATTTTTTCTTTGTACTGTATCTGATTTTGGTATCAGGGTAATATTGTCTTCATAAAACTCACTGATGAGGTATACCTCATTTTCTATTTTCTGGAAGAGATTGTATAGAATTGGTGTTAAATGTTTGGTAGAATTCTCTAGTGAAACCATCTGACCCTAGAGATTTCTTCTGTAAAAATTCAAATTTAATTTACTTAATAGAAATTACAGAGCTATTGACATTACCCATTTTATATTGGGTGAGTTATAGTAATTTGTGCTTTTTGAGGAATCACTAAGTTTTCCAAGTTATGTATGTAAAGTTGTAAAATGGCAATCTGATATACCACTATTATTCTTTGATGTCTTCAGGGTCTGTAATGGTATTTCCTGTTTCACTCCTGACATTAATAACTGTCATTCTGTTTTTTTTCTTTGCCAGTCTTGCTAGAGGATTGTTAATTCCATTGATATTTTCAAAGAAGTAGCTCTTGGTTTCATTGATTTTTTTCTACTGTTTTTGTTGATTTGTTTTCTATTTCACTGATTTTTAATCTCAGCTTCATTATTTCTCATTTCTGCTTGCTTTGGGTTTATTTTCCTCTTCTTTTTCTAGGTTCTTGAGATGAGAGCTTATATTATTTTTGAGACTTGCTCTCCTTTTGATACCAGCATTTATGCTGTAAATTTCCTCCCATCACTGATTTAGCTGTGTTCTGTCAATTTTGATATGTTATATTTTCACTTTCATTCAGTTCAATATAATTCTGATTTCCCTTGAGACTTTCTTTTTGAATCCTGGATTATTTGGAAGTATGTTTAATTTCTAAGTGTGCAGATTTTCCTCCTCTCTTTTTGTTACTTATTTCTGATTCGATTGCATTGTGGCTACAGAATACTCTGTGTGATTTCAATTCTTTTAAATTTGTTGAGGTTTGGTTTATGGTCCAAAGTGTAGTCTATCTTGGTGTATGTTCTGTAGGCACTTTGTAAGAATATTCTGCTGTTGTTGGATGGAGTGTTCCATAAATATTGATTATATTCTATTGGTTGATGGTGTTGTTCAGTTCTTCTATAACTGCACTGATTTTCTGTCTAGTTCTATTAATTGCTGAGAGATAAATGTTTAAGTCTCTAACTATAAAACTATACTATAAATGTGTCTTTCTCCTTTTAGTTCTATTAGTTTTTGTGTTAGATATTTTGCAGCTCTGTTGTTTTGTGCATATGTGTTTAGGATTTCTATGTCTTCTTGGTAAAGTGACCTTTTTATCACTACAAGATGTCTCTCTCTGTGCCTGGTAATTTTCTTTGCCTTGAAGTTTAGCATATATTACGTGAATATAACCGCTCCTACTTTCTTTGGATTGATGCTTGAATGATATATCTTTTTCCATCCTTTTACTTGCACCCTACCTATATTGTTATTTAATTTTATTTTTCAACTTTTATTTTAGATTTGGGGCTACATGTGCAGGTTGTTACAAAGGCATGTTGTGTGACACTGAGGTTTGGTGTACCACTGAACCTGTCACCCAGGTAGTGAGCACAGTCCTCAATAAGTAGTTTTTCAAGCCTTGACCTCCACCCTCTTTCCCTGCTCCAGTAGTCCCCAGTGTCTGTTGTTCCCATCTTTATGTCCATGTGAACCCATATACTGTTATTTTAGAAGTAAATTTCTTATAGACCTTGCATAGTTGAGTCATATTTTTAAATTCACTCTGCCAATCCGTCTTTTAGTTGATGTATTCAGACCATTTACATGTAATGCATTTTTTTCTGATATGTTAGGGCTATGGGTAAATTGAACATTTTTTTTAGAATTCCATTTTGATTTGTTGTTGCGGGAAGTCAGGGACCCCGAATGGAGGGACCAGCTGAAGCCATGGTAGAAGAACATAAATTGTGAAGATTTCATGGACATTTATTAGTTCCCCAAATTAATACTTTTATAATTTCTTACACCTGTCTTTACTGCAATCTCTTTACATAAATTGTGAAGATTTCATGGACACTTATCACTTCCCCAGTCAATACCCTTGTGATTTCCTATGCCTGTCTTTAATCTCTTAATCTCATCATCTTTGTAAGCTGAGGATGAATGTCACCTCAGGACCCTGTGATGATTGCGTTAACTGCCCAAATTGTTTAAACAATATGAAATCTGGGCACCTTGAAAAAAGAACAGGATAACAGCAATGTTCAGGGAGCAAAGGAGATAACCTTAAAGTCTGGTGGCCTGTGGGCCGGGAGGAACAGAGCCATATTTCTCTTCTTTCAAAAGCAAATAGGAGAAATATCGCTGAATTCTTTTTCTCAGCAAGGAACATCCCTGAGAAAGAGAATGTGTCCCTAAGGGGAGGCCTCTGGAATGGCCACTTTGGGGACGTCTGTCTTTTACGGTTGTCGATGAGGGATGAAATAAGCCCTGGTCTCCCGTAGTGCTCCCAGGCTTATTAGGATGAGGAAATTCCCACCTAATAAATTTTGGTCAGACCGATTGTCTGCTCTCAAACCCTGTCTCCTGATTAAGATGTCATCAAAGACAACATGTGCCTGAAACTTCATTAGCAATTTTAATTTTGCCCTGGTCCTGTGATCTCGCCCTGCCTCCATTTCCCTTGTGATATTTTATTACCTTGTGAAGCATGTGATCTCTGTGACCCACACCCTATTCATGTACTCCCTCCCCTTTTGAAAATCACTAATAAAAACTTGCTGGTTTTACGGCTCAGGGGGCATCACGGAACCTACCGACATGTGATGTCTCCCCTGGATGCCCAGCTTTAAAATTTCTCTCTTTTGTACTATTTCCCTTTATTTCTCAGACCAGCCGACACTTAGGGAAAATAGAAAAGAACCTACATGAAATATCGGGGGTGAATTTCCCCCGATAATTTATCCATAATGTTTCTTGGTGTATCTCTTTTAAAGTCATTGTTCTAGGTATTAAAGTATATATACATGTTACTTGTCACAGTCTACTGATGCCATCATTTTATCAGTTTGAGTAAAATCAAGAAAACGTACCTCCTTTTACATCCTTTACCTCTCTCATTTGTTATAGAATTGTCTTGATGATTCCCTCTGCATACATTAATAAACACATCAAGGAGTGTTAAAATTTTTGCTTCAAACATTCAACAGAATTTAGGAAAATCAAGAGGAGAGGGAAAACATATTTACCTACGTATAAATGTTATTCAATAGCATGCTATCAACAGTAGATGACAGAATTATTTCCATTAAGCACTTGCATTCTCTGAATGAAAACAGCACATGATGCATCTGTTAAGAATCTTGCTTGGACTTACCTTTTTTTTTTTCCTTTGAGATGCAGGTTCGCTTTCGCTGCCCAGGCTGGAGTGCAATGGTGCAGTCTCAGCTCACTGCAACCTCTGCCTTCTGGGTTCAAATGATTATCCTGCCTCAGCCTCCCAAGTAGCTAGGATTACAGGTGTCTGCCACCACGCCTGGCTATTTTTTGTATTTTCAATAGAGATGGGGTTTCACTATGTTGGCTAGGCTGGTGGCAAACTCCTGACCTCAGGTGATCCACCCACCTCGGCCTCCCAAAGTGCTGGGATTACAGGTTGTGAGCCACCGTGCCCAGCCTGGACTTACTTTTTATTTTATTATTATTTTTTGAGATAGGGTCTCACTCTGTCACCCAGGCTTGAGTGCAGTGGCACAATCCTGACTCACTGAAGCCTCGACTTTCCTGGCTCAGGTGATTCTCCTACCTCAGCCTCCTGAGTAGCTGGGACTATAGGCATGCACCACCATGCCTGGCTAAGTTTTTGTGTTTTTAATAGAGATGGGATTTTGCCATGTTGCCCAGGCTGGTCTCAAACTCCTGGGCTCAATGAATCTGCCTGCCTTGGCTTCCCAGAGTGCCAGGATTATAGGCGTGAACCACCATGCCTCTCCTTACCTATATTCTTTTACCTTCCTGATGTTCTAAAATGTATTCTTTCATTTTCCCTTTCTATTTAGAGAACTTCCTGTAGCCATTCTTTCAGGGTAGGTCTGCTGGCAATAAATTTTTAGTTTTCTTTGAAAACATCTTGATTTTTCTTTCACTGGATATAGGCTTCTGGCTTGACTGTTCCTTCCTCTCATTACTTGGAAAATGTTATGTCATTTTCTTCTGGCCACCATGGTTTCTGTCATCTGAATTGTTTTTTCCCTGTAGGGACATTTTAATTTCTCTCTTTAAGACTTTTTCTTTGCTTTTAATTTTTAAAATTTTGCCCACTATATATGTTGGTGTGGATTTCTTTGGGATTATCTTGTTTGGGGTTTGCTCAGCTTCTCAAATCTGTAGGTTTATGTCTTTTGCCACATTTAGGAAGTTTTCAGCCATGAGATCGTCAAATACTTTTTAAGCTACATACTCTTCATCATCTTCTTCTGGCATTTGGATTATATGAAAGTTAGGTCTTTTGTTATGGTCCCATAGGTCTCTGAGGTTCTGATAAATTGTTTTAGACTATATTTCTCTATTGTTCAGGTTGAGTAATTTCTATTGTTCTATCTTCCACTTATTGATTCTTTTCTCTGTCCCCTCCATTTTACTGTTGAGTTCATTTTTGCATTTTGAATTTTGCTATTGTGTTTTCAGTTTCATTTGAGTCTTATTTGCTGAGACTTTCTGTGTTTCATTTGTTTCAAATGTGTTTATTTCTCTTTGAAACATTTTTATTTTGGCTGATTTAAAAATATTTTTTCAGATAATTCTAACATCTCCATCATCTTGGTGTCATCATCTATTTTCTTTCAAGTTGAGATTTTCCTGGTTATCACTATGACAGGTGGTTTTGAGTGAAACCTGCATATTTTGAGTATTGCTTTATAAGACTCTAATCACCACTTAAACCTTCTGTTTAGGTGCCTTCCTTTGACACCACGCCAGCAGAAGGGCCTGACACTGTCTCATTGCTGCCAGATAGGGTTAGAAGTTCAGGTTCCCCAAGATGGGGAAGGATTCCACCTTATTGCTGGGTGGTTGTGGGACCTCTGCCTCTCGCTAGGACTCTGCTGATATCACCCTGGCTGAGTGGGGTGGGACACCTCATTACTGCTCATTACTGACCTCTAGTGACACCACTGGGGAGTGGCCTCATTACTGCTGAGCAGAAGTGAATGCCCTGACTCTCCATTTGGCCTCCTCTGACACCCTGTCAGCAAGGAAGGAGAGGGGTCCCTTTTCTGCAGGGCAGGGATGAAGTCCAGCCTCCTCACATGGTGGTCCCCACTTAAGCCATTGGGGGAGGAGTGTGTAGGGAGGAGGTGGAACTCCCTAGCACTCAGCAACGGTGAATGTCCAAACTCCCTACTCAGCCTTTTGCGAAGCATCCCTGTGAGGACTGGGGGCCAGGCACTGTGTAATAGCCTTTGGAGGGTGCCCACTCAGCCTTTGCTCTCCTGAGTGGATGTGGGTCTGCAGTATTAGGCTGCAGTAGAACAGATATTGTCTAAAAGCTTTCTGTCTTGCTAGGCTACTCATTTCCTGGTCCTTTGGCTGGGGGCAGGCTTCTTTGGGGCTTTTTGTTCTAAACATCAGGTTTTTAGTTGTACTTAGCAGGAAGAACAGGGAAAAGTAGGTCTTCTCTGTCTTCCTGAAGGCACCAGTCCTGAGCTGTATATTTTTAGTGTTGGCAGATAGGACAGTATGTTTGCATGCCAGCTTGTGAGGTTTGGGATGGGGAGGAATGCAACAGTGCAGTCTGGGCGGGGGTGGGAGCAGGTGGGCTCCACTGTACCTGGCAGGGCTGTAGACAAGTGTGTCCTTGAGAGGCTGGGCTTTTATTCTCATTGCTTCTAGTTTTGCCAGCACAGCCATTCTGGGACGTTTTGCTCTTGGAGACATTCCTCACTCTTGCCCTACTGTGTTCTGAATCCCAGTGTCTGACTCCAGCTTGGGCTCTGGCTTGAGTTCAGCCAATAGGAGACTCTTCTAGAAGATTAGGGGAGGGAGGATGCCCCACTCTTCTTTGGGGCATCTCTTCTGGGGCTCCAGCTCCTTCTAGAAGTTCTCAGAGTAGCTTCTATTTCCTTCTTGGACCCCGGCTGATTCAGGCAGTGAAGGGAGCAAGAGGCAGAGGCAGCAGCTGGGAGTGAAAGGGGGAAGGGTGTGTGGGGTTTAAGTGGGGAGTGAAGGAGAGCAGGCGCGTACACTGTCTGGGGAGGTGCGGTGGGATTGCTGGGCAGTACTGGGGCCCACCTGGGGTTCCTAATATGATGTCATCTGCAGGCATAGGCAGCAAGGAAGGTTTTCTACAGCCATGTTCAGCTGCTGAGCAGGGTTGGGATTTGGCCACAGGTGGCAGACTCTAGGGGCCCATGGTCCCCACCTCCTGGTGTTCACACCCTGGTTTAGTCCCCTCCCTTTGAGTGTAGGCAGGCAGGACCCAGGACTGACCTCCAGCTGACAGAATACAGCAAAGTGGTGGATGTCCCCCTGACACGTAATAGCCTATAAAACTCTGCCTCACTGCTGCTCGCTCTCCAGATGCTCCTTGTTGCCTGAAAAGGCAAGCCAACATACTGGAGGAGCCCACATGGTGAGGATGCAGGAGCCTGTTGGGGTGAAGGGGGCCTCTGAGGGGGCCTCCTGTAACAAAACACCATAAACTTCTTGCTGGCCCACAGCCAGCAAGAAGCTGCAGCCCTGAGTCATGCAGCCACGAGGACATGGATCCTGTCTGCACTGAGTGACCTTGGCAGCAGATTTTTCCCCAGTTGAGCTTCCAGATGAGATCACAGCCCAGTGGCCCCTTGAGATCCCAAGCAGACAACCCAGTTGAGCCACCCTGGCCTTGACCCACAGAAACTCTGAGATTATACACGTGTGTGCTTTTTAACAGGTACACTTTGTGGTGATTTGTTTTGCAGCAATAAAAAACTCGTTTATCAGGTAAGTTTGAGAGAATGAGTTGGGGCAAGTAAGAGGAGGGTGTTTGCTGGACCAGAGAGGCTCCACTGGGAAAGAGGGGAGTGAGGTCTTGGAGAAGGGACATGGCCTGAAAGAGAATGGACATTTGTTGCACTAAGGGTGGGTGGTATGTTCCTGTGTGAGTCCATTCATGCTGCTGTAACAAAACATCATAAACTGATGACTTATGCCACAAACATAATTTCTCACAGTTTGGGAGGCTGTGAAGTCTCAGATCACAGCACCAACAGATTCCGTGTCTGGGGAGGCCCACCTCCTGGTTCACAGACAGCATCTTCTCGCCGTGTCCACACATGGTGGAGAGAGGAGCTGAGCTCTCCCACGACTCTCAGAAGGGTCTGGAGCTGATTCATGAGAGCTCTACCCTCAGGGCCTCTCCAAATCCCAGTCACCTCCCTGAGACCCCACCTCTGAATACCATCCCATTACAGGGCAGGGTTTCAGCCTCTGAGTTTGTTGGAGGGCACATACACATTCAGTCTGTGGCAATTCCAATGGCATGTTCTTCTAAAGAAGCTGGGTGTTTTAGGAGGGGCAATGGCGCCCTGGAATTGTCAATGGAGAGCAGGAGGACCCCCTCTAAAGTCTCAGCAGGACCAGTTACATAATTTGTGAGGCCCTTTGTTCAAAAACCAGGGAAAATGCCATTAATGGTAAGGATAAAGTTTTCTCCTTTCTTCCATAGTCTCTCTCTCTTGGCTTGTCATGGTGCTTTTAAATTGGTATTTAATGTCATTATTCTAAATAAAAAAATTTAAATTTTAAATTGTTAGCATTACTTTTACTAGTCATCTTTATATCATGCCACATCAGTTTCAAATGCAAATATTGAAACATTTAGCTCATGCGTGGAATTTGTGAAATCAGACAACTTTTTTATAGCTGGTATGTACATTTGTACTTTGTTCTTACCAGGTAGTGGAGCCACTGTCTAAAACCAATGCAACTGTTTTATCTCACTTTTATGATACAAGAACATTCTGCCGACATGGCCTGCCTTCGGCTCACTGGTTTGTGAGTGATCACTCTCAGCATAAGTGGTTGGTTAAAGCAGGGAAATAACAATGGTGAGAAGGATATATGGACTTCCTTGGTCGTTCAGGTTTCTTCGAATGTCATGTTTTTCTATATTTGAAGTAAGTTCTGGCTCCACCAGGAAGTGTGCGTCTGGGGCTGTCAGTGCTTGGCTTACTCAGCTGTAGCCATCACACGTCTTGTACTTGCTTTGAGTCACAGCAAACTCCTTTCATCCTGGGTCCACTGGAATTCTGTGCTCATGGGGCATTGTGAAGACTGTATGTGAAACAGGCGATTAGGAGTGGTGATACACTACTGTGCTAACTCCAGCCCCAGCACGTGCCTCTGCATCTCAGCGCCAGACATCCTGCATGGCCAAAGTGCACAGTCAGTCCTGGCTTCCCAGCAACCCTGGACAGCAAACCAAGTGGCTGCAAGGCCAAAGGTCATTTCTGGTGCTGTCGGCTGCTTGAAAATGCAAAAAATAAAATGGTGAGTGGTTTGAAATATAAGCCCCAAAGTAGGACAGCATTACTTTAGAGGTATAGGAATAGTTCTTACTTTTATTGTAGGTATTATTATATTCTCACCAGAATAGTATTAATTTGCTAAATGCAAAAAATGTGAAAATCATAGATCAAACAAAACCAAAGAAAAAGGACCCCCGTGGGCACTTTCGCCATCCAGAGGTAGCCATGTTTTGGAGGGTGTGTCTTTTGGGCCTCTGTTGTATGTATGTAATTTATACATATTTATTTCAATAAAAACATCACAGTGTACCACTTGTCCTTATTCTTTACACATCCATAGCATTTCCCAATAACAAGAACCATCTCTTAGATCATTTTAAATGTAGCACAGAATTTCATGCTGTGCACACATCACAATCTACTTAACTAGCTCTCTGTTGCTGAACACTTAGGCCACTGCTAGGGTGTCCGGAGTTGGTTCCTTCTGGTGGGTTCTTGCTCTCACTGACTTCAAGAATGATGCTGCAGACCTTCCCGGTGAGTGTTACAGCTCTTAAAGGTGGCACAAACCCAAAGAGTGAGCAGCAGCAAGATTTACTGTGAAAACCAAAACATCGAAAGTATCCACAGATTAGTAGGGGAGTCCAGCGTGTTGGGGTAGCCAGCCTTTTATTCCCTTATTTGTCCCCGCCCACGTCCTGCTGATTGGTCCATTTTACAGAGTGCTGATTGGTCCACTGTACAGAGTGCTGATTGGTCCATTTTATAGATTGCTGATTGGTGCATTTACAATCCTCTAGCTAGACACAGAGTGCTGATTGGTGCATTTACAATCCTTTAGCTAGACAGAAATGTTCTGCAAGTTCCCACTCCACCCAGGAAGTCCAGCTGGCTTCACTTCTCACTAGGGTGAAATGCTCTTGCGTGGTTAGGATGCTGGAACTCTGGGACCGCCTCCGAAGAAGCAACCTTCCTATTGTACGGACTCCCAAGGTGCAAACGTTAGTCTCAGTGTGCCTTTCATGAAGAGTGGTTTCTTTCTGGCTGCCCTAGAGAGAAGACTGGCAGTGGAGCATGCATCTGGAGGGCAGAGACGGCAGGCGGTACCCCGGCGCGCCGGCGGTGGAGCTCCTGCAGACGTCCGTGCCCAGCGGACTCGCTGAACTTGTGGCCGGCAAGCGCAGGCTTCCTCGGGGAGCCGGTGGAGCTGACCCCTCGCACTCCTGCCCCAGGGGGGCTGCCGGGCAGAGCTCTTGGGCTCCTGCAGGCCAGGAGTTTGCTTCATTCCTCACAAAAGGGAGGTGAGTTTAAAATAGTGCCATCTTGTAAATGTGGACTTCACACAGATTGGGTTTCCATGAGCATCGTTCCCCCACGTTTGTTGTGGGAAAAATTTCCAGAAATTTTGCAAGAATTTTTCCAGCATTAGATCACTTTCCTGGCTTAGTTTTTGATGACTGATATTTGTAAAATATGATGAACTTAATTTAGCTCCAAAAGATAATAAAAATAGAAAAAAGAGTTTGTAGCATGAAGACTTAACACTTAATATATTATTTAAAGTATTGCAATTATTCTGCAATTTTGGAAAGCGTATGTCTCTGAGGGCATGCCTTATTTCTATACATATAGCAAGTGAATTAACTGAGTATTGTTTTTCATGTCAGAAAAGTCAGAATTTACATAAAAGGAAATTTAAAAATAATTTCAACTTTTATTTTAGATTCAGGGGTTAAATGTGCAGGTTTGTTACCTGGGTATATTGTGTGATGCTGAGGTTTGGGGTACGACTGATCACCCGGGTAGTCAGCATGGTACCCAATAGTTACTTTTCCACCATCCCTCCTCCCGCCCCTGTGTGGTCCGAGTGTTCCCTGCTGCCTTCTTTATGTCCATGTGCACCCGGGGGTTAGCGCCCACTTGTCGTGAGAATATGTGGTATTTGGTTTCCTGTTCCTGGGTTAATTCGCTTGGATAATGGCCTCCAGCTACATCCATGTTGCTGCAAAAGACATGATTTCATTCCTTAAGAAAAAATTTGATACATCTTTAAATATTTACTTATGTAAAGACAATGAATGGTTTTTACATGTCAATGCTTATACTGCAAACCCATAATTTGCAGTTCACATAGATGTCCTTGTAATGAGAAAAGCAGCATCCTATGAGTAGGTGTCTCTGACTGTCTTTGTTGGGCCATATCGATTACATGGCAGATCTGAGGATCCTCGTTCCCACAGCCAGAGCTCCGACCCCTGCAGTACTGATGGTCTCTCCAGCCTTTAACAAAGCACCACAGAATTGCATGCGGGTGTGGTGCATGCTGCTGCTGTCATCCTGCCCGCTCCAGGGGGAGCTCCCCAGCTTGCGTGCTCATGCTTTCACTGAATGTTTCTATTGACTTACAGTCTATGCTGTCCTTTTGCAAGTGGTGAAACTTTGAGTTGCTCTCTTTGGCAATGTGTTTTGAGGTTTCTTTGTGCTGATGCCTGTAGCTCTCGTTCATTCGTGTGAACTCCTTGCATAGAATTTCATTATGTGAATATGCTACCATTAATACATGTTCTCCTGTTGGCGGCTTTTCAGTTTCTGCTCCTCATCCCCCAGTATGTGCTATTAAAAACAGCCTGCAGCAAATGTTCTCTGTTATACACTGAATGTGTCTGTTCCCCCCAGATTCATATGGAATATTCTGAGTATTAACTTTCTCTGGTCCCATGTTGCAGGATCTTCTCCCAGCGAGGAGCTTGCCTTTTCCTTTTCTTTAAAGAGTGTTTTGTTGGGAAGTGTCTAATATGGCCGGAAGGACTGTGTGGCCTGTGCATGGGGAGGCAGATGAGGCAGCAGGATTGTCCCAGCCAGGATGTGAGTGATGGAAGGTAATGTTCAGCTTCCAGTGAGACAAGAATTGGGAAAACCAGAAGAGCATATGTTGCATATGTTCCAAGTTCTTTGACCTCACTTCTTGCTTCGATGTATGGTGTACCAGGGGCAGACTGGGGCCTGTCATGAGCTCCACAGGCAGGAGGCCCTGGGCAGCCAGGCAGGATTCCAGGTGGAGGAGGAAGGAGAGCGTGGGGAGGTGCTGACAGGTGCAGGCACATGGGGGCAGGAGCTGGCAGGTGTGGTGGTCCAGTGAAGGGAGGGTGAGGGTGCCCTGACCCCACAGCCTGCGCAGGGCACGGGGAGGGGGTGTCGGGATGGCACTGGCAACTACCTAGGCTGAGTGTGGAGATGCCAGAAGGTGCCACCCTTGTCCACAGGCATGAGCCCTCATGAGTGAGCCACACCTCCCATGCGGAGCTTCTCCCAGGAGGAGGAGCAACAGGGAACCGCAGCCTCAAGGGGCAGCTCTCAGCACCATGAGGAGAATGGTGTGTTGGCCCAACCCACCCACAGTGCGGGCTCTCGGGGGAAGGGCTCACTGGTGTGAATGTCTGAGTGTGGAGGGCACAGGCTGTTGCCCACATGGCCCTAGGTGAGCCCCCTGAAACAGCACACTCCTGGGCAGGTGTGTGGCCATGTCGCCTGGTGGCCATGTACACAGTATCCCAGCACTGTCATCTCAGGCTAAAGGTTACTGAAGAGTTTTATTACATTTTGCCCTTCTTGTTTCATGAAAATAGGCAGAAAATGAAAAAAAAAAAAACAGTAATCTTATCAGAGAAAAGATACGTAAGTCTTTGAATCTACCATAGGTGGGAGTCTCAGGTATGTGGAAACCAGCAAACCCCTTAGCCTCAATGAAGTCAAACTCATCTATTATGGGTTCAGTTGTGAAGAGAATGAGCAGAACGAAAGAACACTATGAGATGCTGCAAATAGATTGCTTCAGACTGCGTTGAAAAGGTAATTTGGGGGACTGTACTGGCCTATGTTTTAGCTCTCAGGGAATCATCCCCTTGTAGCCTCGTTTTCTGTTGTTTCTGCAGGAGAGAAGCAGGCAGAGGCTGTAGCCTGCCGTGTCCCCTTTTTCCTTTGGCTCCCAGGCAGCTCAGGTGCAATTTCTTGGGTCAGTTACATCACCTGTGCACAAACTGGTTACTCGGTATTTTCTTAAAATGATTAAAATCTGTGTGAAACAAGGCAGGATATACATATAAAGAAAGCTGGAAGGAAGAGTGAATTCAGGATCTATTGCCAGGTAACAAATTTCTCCCAAACTTAGCAGCTTAAAAGAGTACATATTTATTTTCTCAGTTTCATGGGTCAGAAATCTGGGCACAGCTGACCTAGGTCCTCTGCTCAGGGTCTTCACAGGCTGGGACAAGTTGTCATGTATGGCTCTAACCATAGCATCTCAGTGTTCAGCTGGAGCAAGGTCTGCTTCTGAGCTCATCTGTGTGGTTGTTGGCCGGGTGTGGTTCTTCCTGGGCTGTTGGATGGATGGCCTCAGTTCCTTGCCAGCTGTTGACTGGAGGCCATCTCAGCTCATTGCCAGGGGCCCACTCCATCTGGGCAGGCACAAGGGATAGTCTTTTGTGACCTAATCATGGAGTGACACCATCCCTTCTGTATTCTGTTGGTTAGAAGCCAGTCACTACTAGGTCCAGCCCACTCTCAGGGATGGGATTGCTGGAGGCTGTGAGTAGCAGCAGGCCAATTCCTGGGAGCCACTCAGGCATCACCAACCCCAGAGATGAATAGTGATGAAGGAAATTGTTGTGAAAAAGTTGGAAATGGAACACAAAGATGATTGGTGTCTTTTATAGGAAGTGAAGGGAAGTCTGGAGTCCTTCCAGGTTATCTGCATCTTTCACTGTTTGCAACTGATCAGAAAGCTGACAATAATGCAAATAACTCTTTTCCCTAGAAGTAAAGTTGGATTGTGTCCGTGGAATGCATTGTCCAGTTTTGCATTTATTTGTAAGTTCAATTCAACGTTGTCACCCAGGCTGGAGTGCAGTGGTGCAATCTCGGCTCACTGCAACCTCTGCCTCCCAGGTTCAGGCGATTCTCCTTCTCAGCCTCCCGAGTAGCTGGGACTACAGGCACTCGCCACCACATCCGGCTAATTGTTGTATATTTAGTAGAGACGGGGTTTCACCATGTTGGCCAGGATGGTCTCGATCTCCTGACCTCGTGATCCACCTGCCTCGGTCTCCGAAAGTGCTGGGATTATAGGCATGAGCCACCGCTTCTGGCCCAATTCAGCATTTCTAATTGCCCATGTTTGTGTGGTTTTTTGCGTCTTATCAGTTTCTTCTAATTGATGAGTTAAACAAAATATTGACCTGCATTCATTTTATATTGGGACGTGAGTCGCAGTTTTACCCTCCTTTAATAGTAGTCCTATAACAGAGGGAACCAACCACAAAGACATATGGAGAAAGCAGACTTCATTCTCTGGGCACCTCAACCCTTGTCTTTGGGACCCTGCGCCTGCTCTGTATGTCCAGCCCTGGAACGCTGCTGGACATTCCTCAGGGCTGTTTCCCCTGTCCTAGCTGAGGACTTCCACCCTTTTGTTAGAGGAATACGTCTTGTCCATACAATCGTAATGACATGGAACAAACAAAATTGCCAAATTAAAGATGAATTTTTTAATCTAATATGCTAATTTTATTCATAAAAAAACTAAGCACAGGGCTGGGTGCGGTGGCTCATGCCTGTAATCCCAGCACTTTGGGAGGCTGAGGCAGGTGGATCACCTGAGGTCAGGAGTTCGAGACCAGCCTGACCAACATGGAGAAACCCCGTCTCTACTAAAAATACAAAATTATCCGGGCCTGGTGGCACATGCCTATAATCCCAGCTACTCTGGAGGCTCAGGCAGGAGAATTGCTTGTACCTGGAAGGCTGAGGTTGCAGTAAGCTGAGATCTCACCATTGCACCGCAGCCTGGGCAACAAGTGTGAAACTCTGTCTCAAAAAAAAAAAAAAAACAAATTAAGCACAGAGTGACACACAGACTTCCCCACTCTCTCCACTCTCTCTTTCCCATTTGCTTTGCCTAATTAAATCTCAGAAAATTTTGAATCAATTTTTTTTGTATCTCAAAATAGTATGTAAGAATGACAGATGTACTTAAATACAATTGGTTGTCAGATTGACAGACTTAAATTATCTATTTTTTTTTTTTTTTTTTTTTTGAGACGGAGTCTCGCTCTGTCGCCCAGGCCGGACTGCGGACTGCAGTGGCGCAATCTCGGCTCACTGCAAGCTCCGCTTCCCGGGTTCACGCCATTCTCCTGCCTCAGCCTCCCGAGTAGCTGGGACTACAGGCGCCCGCCACCGCGCCCGGCTAATTTTTTGTATTTTTAGTAGAGACGGGGTTTCACCTTGTTAGCCAGGATGGTCTCGATCTCCTGACCTCATGATCCACCCGCCTCGGCCTCCCAAAGTGCTGGGATTACAGGTGTGAGCCACCGCGCCCGGCCAAATTATCTATTTTTTTTAAAGGCAAGATTGTGTGGGAAGGTTTATTTCTAATCAGTGGAAAATGTAATTAATTTTTTCTAATTGTTTTCACAAATCAGGAATTAATTGACCTTGAAATTTGCCCTTTCAAAATTAGCTAATTACCTTTTGGTCTTCCACTTAGCAGGAATATATTTGATGGCAGATTGGACAGGGAAGCAAATTAGAGAGAATATGTTAAAAATAATGAAGATAAATTATTTAAGGCAGCGTTTACATCTGTCATGGATTGGTTACTGTATTTCATTATCAAGTGAAAATAAATATATTGCTGAAAATTTGGAGGTCGAAGGGAGAACACAACATCGTGCCTCTAACACAATCATTACTGTCTGCTTGCATTTATCTGTGTTCCCTTCTGGTCTTTCCTATATGTAATACAAGTTTTTACATAATTGTGCTCAGAGTGTATCTCTTGCTTTGTAGTTTCTTAAATGTAACAATATGTTGTAAACACTATCAGTGCTGTTGCAGATTGCTCAAAGCTATTATTTTATGTATTTTTAATTGAGGTATAATTTCACCAGAAATGGTGAGTAGATCTATGAGTTTTGACAAATGCATACAATTGTGTAATTGTCAGCAAATCAAGATCTGGAATATTTCTATCACCCCACAAAAACTCCTTTGGCTGCTTCCTTTTCCCGTCAGCACTTGTTAACCATCAATCTGTTTTCTGTTTTTACATTTTGGCCTGTTTCAAGCATGTCAAATAAATGGAACCATTGAGTTTGGTTCTTTTACTTTGTATAATGCATTTGAGCTTCATCCAAGTTGTGTTTCTTTTTATTGCTGAGTGGAGTTGTGTGGACATATCACACTTTGTTTATTCATTCTCCTCTTGAAGGGCACTTGGATTGTTCCCAAGTTTTGGTAATTATGAATAAAACCAGTATAAGCATTGGCATACAGGTTTTTATGTGAATGTAAATTTTAATTTCCCTTGGATAAATGCCTAAGAATGAGATTGCTGAGTTATTTGATAAATATATGTTTAACTGTCTAAGCAAAGGCCAAATTGCTTTCCAAGGAAGCTGTACCATTTTGCATTTTCACCAGCAATACATGAGAGCTCCAGTCCTCTGCGTCATTGTCAGCACTTAATATTGACTGTACTTTTAATTTTAGCCATTTTAATAAGTATTTAGAGGCACCTTATTATGGTTTTATATATTTGGAGAGTGAGGTCTGCTTGTTTTCCTATTATGGGGTTTGTGATTCATTATATATTCTCAACACAACTTTTTTTTATAAAATGCATTTTTCCCAATTATCTTCTGACAGTTTGTGCTTGTCTTTGCATTATTATTTTTTCATTTCTTTTGGAGAGCAGAAATTTTTAATTTTGATGTTGTCCAATTTATCAATTATTCTTTTATGGAGTATACTTTTGGTGTTGTATCTAAGAAATCTTTGCTTAACCCAAGATCACAAAGATTTTCTTCTGTTTGTTCTTTTAGAAGTGTTGTAGTTTTAGGTTTTACATTTAGGCATATAATCCATTTTGAGTGAATTTTTGCATATGCTGCTGGGTTTATTTATATTTTGCTTATAGATGTCCAATTGTTCCAGGACCGTTTGTTGAAAAGACTCCTTTGTCCATTAAATTGCCTTGTATCTTTGTCAAAAATACATTGTCCATTTATCTGTTGATTTATTTCTGAACTCTCTATTCTTTTTTGAGACGGAGTCTCGCTCTGTGCCCAGCTGGAGTGCCGTGGTGTTATCTCGGCTTACTGCAACCTCTGCCTTCTGGGTTCAAGCGATTCTCCTGCCTCAGCCTCCCAAGTAGCTGGGATTATAGGTGCCCACCACTGCACCCAGCTAATTTTTTTTTTTTTTTTTTTTTTTTGAGACGGAGTCTCGCTCTGTTGCCCAGGCTGGAGTGCAGTGGCGTGATCTCGGCTCACTGCAAGCTCCGCTTCCCGGGTTCACGCCATTCTCCTGCCTCAGCCTCCCGATTAGATGGGACTGCAGGCGTCCGCCACCACGCCTGGCTAATTTTTTGTATTTTTAGTAGAGACGGGGTTTCACCATGTTCGCCAGGATGGTCTCGATCTCCTGACCTCGTGATCCGCCCGCCTCGGCCTCCCAAAGTGCTGGGATTACAGGCGTGAGCCACCGCGCCCGGCCATTTTTTTTGTATTTTTAGTAGAGACGGGGTTTCACTATGTTGGCCAGCTGGTTTCAAACTCCTGTCCTCAAGTGATCCACCCACCTCGGCCTCCCAAAGTGCTGGGATTACAGGCGTGAGCTACCGTGCCTGGCCCCCTGAAATCTCTATTCTGTTCCATCAGTCTATGTGATTATCATGTCATGAATATCACACTATCTTGAATCTTTATGAAGAGTTCTGAAATCAAATGGTGTGAGCCCTCTAACGTGGTTCTTTCTCAAGATTGCTTTGGCTATTCGATGCCACTTGCCTTCCCATATAAATTCTATCATCATTTTGTTGATTTATGTAACATTCCTGCTGGGATTTTTTTTTGTACTGTGTGTGTGTGTGTGTGTGTGTGTGTCTGTCTGTCATTTTATCACTTGGGTAGCTTTATGTAACCTCTACTATAATCAAGATATAGACCTATTCCATCGTAATCTCAGATTCCGTACAGAAATCCCTCACACAACCCTTAAGTTACATACCCCTCCCCCTGCCATCTTTAACCCCTGGAAATCACTGATCTGTTTTTCATCTCTAGAATTTTGCCATTTTGATAATGTTATATACATGAAATCATACAGTGTGTGTAAAAATTTAAAATTCAACGTTTATTTTAGATATGGGGGTACCCATGTGCAGATTTGTTACATGAGAATATTATGTGATGTTGAGGTTTGGAGTATGGATCCCGTCACCTAGGTCATGAGTCTAGTACCTGATAAGTAGTTTTTTATTTTTTTAACCCACTCCCCCTTCCTTCATCCTCTAGTATTCCACAGTGTCTATTGTTCCTACACTCATGTCCATGTGTGCTCAATGCATAACTCCCATTTATAAGTGAGAACATGAGGTATTTGGTTTTCTGTTCCTGCATTAATTTGTTTAGGGTTATAGCTTCCAGCTCCATCTATGTTACTGCAAAGGAGATGATTTCATTCTTTCTTTTTGAGATGGAGTTTCGCTCTTGTTGCCCAGGTTGGAGTGCAGTGGTGCAATCTTTGCTCACTGCAACCTCCACCTCCCGGGTTCAAGCGATTACCTCGCCTCAGCCTCCCAAGCAGCTGGGATTATAGTTGCTCGCCACCACGCCCAGCTAATTTTTGTATTTTTAATAGAGACGGGGTTTCACCGTGTTGGCCAGGCTGGTCTCAAACTCCTGACCTCAGGTGATCCGCCCACCTCCGCCTCCCAAAGTGCTGGGATTACAGGTGTGAGCCACCGTGCCCTGCGGATTTTACTCTTTTTTATGGCTGCATAGTATTCCATGATGTATATGAACCACATTTTCTTTATCCAGTCTAGCATTGATGGACACCTGGGTTGGTTCCATGTTTTTGTTATTATGAATAGTGCAGTGATGAACATATGAGTGCATGAATTTTTGGTAGAATGATTTTTCTTTTGCATATCTACCCAATAATGGGATTGCTTGGTTTAATGGTAGCTCTGTTTTAAGTTCTTTAAGAAATCTCCAGACTGCTTTCCACAGTAGCTGGGCTAATTTGCATTCCCACCGGCAGTGCATAAGGATTCCCTTTTCTCTGTAGCCTCACCAGCATCTGTTGTTTTTTGATTTTTAAAATAATAGCCATTCTGACTGGTGTGAGATGGTATCTCATTGTGGTTTTAATTTGCATCTCTCTGGTGATTAGTGATGCTGAGCGCTTTTTCATATGTTTGTTCACCACTTGTATGTCTTCTTTTGAGAAGTATCTGTTCACGTCCTTTGCCATTTTTTAATGGGGTTACTTGTTTTTTTTTTTTTTTTTTTTGAGACGGAATCTTGCTCTGTCGCCCAGGCTGGAGTGCAGTGATGCGATCTCAGCTCACTGCAAGCTCTGCCTTCCAGGTTCACGCCATTCTCCTGCCTCAGCCTTCCGAGTAGCTGGGACTACAGGCACCCGCCACCACGCCCAGCTAATTTTTTTATATTTTTAGTAGAGATGGGGTTTCACCGTGTTAGCCAGGATGGTCTTGATCTCCTGACTGTGTGATCCTCCCGCCTCGGCCCCCCAAAGTGCTGGGATTACAGGCGTGAGCCACCGCACCCGGCCTGCTCCACTATATTCTAATAGTCAGTGTGGTGGAGATGGCAGCCCAGATTCAACACTCTGCCCTGCCTCAGAAGACCCAGCCCAGCTAATTTTTTTGTATTTTTAGTAGAGACGGGGTTTCACCATGTTAGCCAGGATGGTCTCCACCTCCTGACCTGGTGATCCACCCGCTTCGGCCTCCCAAAGTGCTGGGATTACAGGCGTGAGCCACTGTGCCCGGCCGGGGTTACTTGTTTTTTGCTTGTTGATTTGTTTAAGTTCCTAATAGATTCCGGATATTAGGCCTTTGTCAGATGCATAGTTTGTAAGTATCTTCTCTCATTCTGTAGGTTGTCTGTTTACCCTGTTGATAGTTCATTTTGCTGTGCAGAAGCTCTTGAGTTTAATTAGGTCCCACTTGTCAATTTTTGTTGCAATTGCTCTTGGGGACTTAGTCAAAAATTATTTGCCAAGGCTGATGTCAAGAAGAGTATTTCCTAAGTTGTCTTCCAGGATTTCTATAGTTTGAGGTCTTATATTTAAATCTTTAATCTATTTTGCGTTACTTTTTACAAATGGTGAAAGGTAGGGGTCCAGCTTCAATCTTCTGCATATGGCTAGCCAGTTATCCCAGCACCATTTATTGAATAGGGAGTCCTCTCCTCATTGTTTGTTTATATTGGCCATGTCAAAGATCAGATAGATGTAGGTGTCAGGTTTTATTTATGAGTTTTCTATTCTGTTCCAGTGGTCTGTGTGTCTGTTTTTGTGCCCATACCAAGCTGTTTGGTTTCTGTGGCTCTATTGTGTAGTTTGAAGTTGGGTAACGTGATGCCTTCAGCTGTGTTCTTTTTGCTTTAAGATTGCCTTGGCAATTTGGTCTCTTTTTTTGGTTCCATATGGATTTTAGAATAGTGTTTTTTCTGAATCTGTAAAGAACGTTGGTAGTTTGATAGGAATAGCATTGAATCTGTACATTGCTTTGGGCAGTATGGACATTTTTATGATATTGATTATTCCAGTCCATGAGCATGAAATGTTTTTCTATTTATTTGCGTCACCTCTGATTTCTTTCAGCAATGTTTTGTAGTGCTTATAGAAATCTTTCAACTCCTTGGTTAGCTGTATTCCTAGGTGTTTTTCTTTTTTTTTTTTTAATTTATTTTTTTATTGATAATTCTTGGGTGTTTCTCACAGAGGGGGATTTGGCAGGGTCATGGGACAATAGTGGAGGGAAGGTCAGCAGATAAACAAGTGAACAAAGGTCTCTGGTTTTCCTAGGCAGAGGACCCTGCGGCCTTCCGCAGTGTTTGTGTCCCTGATTACTTGAGATTAGGGATTGGTGATGACTCTTAACGAGCATGCTGCCTTCAAGCATCTGTTTAACAAAGCACATCTTGTACCGCCCTTAATCCATTTAACCCTGAGTGGACACAGCACATGTTTCAGAGAGCACAGGGTTGGGGGTAAGGTCACAGATCAACAGGATCCCAAGGCAGAGGAATTTTTCTTAGTGCAGAACAAAATGAAAAGTCTCCCATGTCTACTTCTTTCTACACAGACACGGCAACCATCCGATTTCTCAATCTCTTCCCCACCTTTCCCGCCTTTCTATTCCACAAAGCCGCCATTGTCATCCTGGCCCGTTCTCAATGAGCTGTTGGGCACACCTCCCAGACGGGGTGGTGGCCGGGCAGAGGGGCTCCTCACTTCCCAGTAGGGGCGGCCGGGCAGAGGCGCCCCTCACCTCCCAGACGGGGCGGCTGGCCGGGCGGAGGGCTGACCCCCCCACCTCCCTCCCGGACGGGGCGGCTGGCCAGGCGGGGGGCTGACCCCCCCACCTCCCTCCCGGACTGGGCGGCTGGCCGGGTGGGGGGGCTGACCCCCCCATCTCCCTCCCGGACGGGGTGGCTGGCCGGGCTGAGGGGCTCCTCACTTCCCAGTAGGGGCGGCCGGGCAGAGGTGCCCCTCACCTCCCGGACGGGGCGGCTGGCCGGGCGGGGGGCTGCCCCCCCCCCACCTCCCTCCCGGACGGGGTGGCTGCCGGGCGGAGACGCTCCTCACTTCCCAGATGGGGTGGCTGCCGGGCGGAGAGGCTCCTCACTTCTCAGACGGGGCAGCTGCTGGGCGGAGGGGCTCCTCACTTCTCAGACGGGGTGGTTGCCAGGCAGAGGGTCTCCTCACTTCTCAGACGGGGCGGCCGGGCAGAGACGCTCCTCACCTCCCAGACGGGGTCTCGGCCGGGCAGAGGTGCTCCTCACATCCCAGATGGGGCGGCGGGGCAGAGGCGCTCCCCACATCTCAGACGATGGGTGGCCGGGCAGAGACGCTCCTCACTTCCTAGATGTGATGGCGGCTGGGAAGAGGCGCTCCTCACTTCCTAGATGGGATGGCGGCCGGGCGGAGATGCTCCTTACTTTCCAGACTGGGCAGCCAGGCAGAGGGGCTCCTCACATCCCAGACGATGGGCGGCCAGGCAGAGACACTCCTCACTTCCCAGACGGGGTGGCGGCCGGGCAGAGGCTGCAATCTCGGCACTTTGGGAGGCCAAGGCAGGCGGCTGGGAGGTGTAGGTTGTAGTGAGCTGAGATCACGCCACTGCACTCCAGCCTGGGCACCATTGAGCACTGAGTGAACGAGACTCCGTCTGCAATCCCGGCACCTCGGGAGGCCGAGGTTGGCAGATCACTCGCGGTTAGGGGCTGGAGACCGGCCCGGCCAACACAGCGAAACCCCGTCTCCACCAAAACCAGTCAGGCGTGGCGGCGCGTGCCTGCAATCGCAGGCATTCGGCAGACTGAGGCAGGAGAATCAGGCAGGGAGGTTGCAGTGAGCCGAGATGGCAGCAGTACAGTCCAGCTTCGGCCCCGCATGAGAGGGAGACCGGGGAGAGGGGGAGGGGGAGGGGGAGGGGGGGGGGAAGGGGAGGGGGAGGGGGAGGGGGAGGGAGAGGGAGAGGGAGAGGGAGAGGGAGAGGGCAGGTGTTTCATTTTCTTTGTGGCTAGTGTAAGTGGGATTGTGTTCTTCATTTCACTCCCATTTGGACTTTATTGTTGTATAGAAATGCTGTTGATTTTTGTACATTTGATTTTGTATCTTGAAATTTTACTAAAGTCATTTATCAATTCTAGGAGTCTTTAGGATTTTCTAAGTATAGAATCATATTGTCCGTGAAGAGAGATAGCTTGACTTCCTCTTTTCTTGTTTGGATGGCTATTACTTCTTCCTCTTGCCTGACTGCTTTGGCTAGAATTTCTAATACTCTGTTGAATAGGAGTGGTGAAAATGTGCATCCTTGTCTTGTTCCAGCTCTCAAGGGGAATGGTTTGAGCTTTTGCCCATTCAGTATGATGCTGGCTGTAGGTTTGTCATAGATGGCTCTCAGTATTATGAGGTACATTCCTTCAGTGCCTAGTCTGTTGAGGATTTTTATCATGAGGGGCTGTTGGATTTTATCTAAAGCTTTTTCTGCATCTATTGAGATGATCATACAGTTTTGCTTTTGATTCTGTTTATGTGGTGAAACACATTTATTGATTTGTGTACATTGAAACAGTCTTGCATCACAGGAATAAAGCCTACTTGATTGTGGCATATTAACTTTCCGATGTGCTACTTGATTTTATTTGCTAGTATTTTGTCGAGGACTTCTGCATCTATGTTCATGAGGGATATTGTTCTGAAGTTTTCTCTTTTCACTGTGTCTCTGCCAGATTTTGGTATCAGGCTGATGCTGGCTTAATAGAGTGAGTTGGGGCAGAGCCCCTCCTTCTTGATTTTTTGGAATAGTTTGAGTAGTATTGATATCAGTTCTTCTTTGTACTTCTGGTAGAATTTGGCTATGAATCCATCTGGCCCAGGGCTTTTTTTGGTTGATAGGTTCTTTCAGATGTTGATACTGGTTTATTCAGGTTTTCAATCTCTTCCTAATTCAGTCTTGGGAGATTGTGTGCTTCCAGGAATTTATCCATTTCCTCTAGATTTTATAATTTGTGTACATAGAGTTATTCATACTCATCTCTGAAGATCTTTTATAATCCTGTGGGATCAGTTGTAATGTCATCTTCGTCATTTCTGATTGTGCTTATTTGGATCTTCTCTTTCTCACATGTAATGACACCCACAGGCTCAAAATAAAAGGGTGGAGTAAAATCTACCATGCAAATGGAAATTAAAAAAGAGCAGGAGACTCTATTCCTACATCAGATAAAACAGTCTTTAAACCAATAAAAATTAAGAAGGACAATGAAGGGCATAACATAGTAAGGATACAATCCAACCAGAAACCTTAACTATCCTAAATATTTGTGCACCCAACCGTGTAGCACCCAGATTCATAAAACAACTTCTTGAGCTGTAAAAAGACTTACAGTACCACACAATAATAGTGGGAGATTTCAACACCCTATTGACAGTGTTAGATAGATCACCAAGTCAAAAAACTAACCAAAAAACTCTGGACTTAAACTCAACACTTGACCAATTGGACCTAATAGACATCTGCAGAACACTCCAACAACCACAGAACATACATTCTTCCCATCTGCATATGGAACATATTCTAAGATTGACCACATTCTCAGTCATAAAGCAAGTTTCAATAAATTCAAAAGAAATCGAAATAATACCAAGCACATTCTGAGACCATAGTGCAATGAAAATAGAAATAAATACCAATAAGATCTTGGAAAACTACAAAAATACATGGAAATTAAACAACTTACTCCTGAATAAGTCCTGAGTGAACATAAAAATTAAGGTAGAAATAAAAAATGATTATTTAAAATTAATGAAAATAAGGACATAATCTTCAAAAATCTCTGAGATACAGCATTAGGAAGAAAGATTGTAGCCCTAAATGCCTTCATCAAGAAGTTAGAAAGGTCCCAAATTAACAATCTAACTTTACACCTAAAGGAACTAGAGAGAAAGGAACAAACCAATCCAAAGAAATAATTAGAGAAGAACTTAATAAAATCGAGATGCAAAAATCCATACGAAAGATCAATGAAACCAAGTTTGTCCTTCAAAAAAATAACTAAGATTGATAGACTCCTAGCTAGATTAACAAAGAAAGAGAAAGAGAAGATCCTGGTAGGATTTTTATTGGAATGGCATTGAGTCTATAAGATGAATTTATGGAGTTGACACCTTAATAATATTATTGATGAGAAAAGTCAAACACTGTAAAATATTTGAAGAGATTTATTCTGAGCTAAATGTGAGGACCATGACCTGTGGGCACAACCCCAGGAGGTCCGAGGTTACAGCTTGATTTTATACATTTTACGGAGACAAAAGTTACAGGCAGACATCAATCAATACATGTAAGGTACACATTGGTTTGATCCAGAAAGGTGGGACAACTTGAAATGGGGGTTTACAGGTTGTAGGTAGATTAAAAGATTTTTTGATTGGCAATTGGTTGAAAGAATTAAGTTATTATCTAAAGCCATGGAATCAATAGAAAGGAATGTCCGGATTAGGATAAGGTTGTGGCGACCAAAGTTCTTTTTAAGTAGATGAAATCTCATAGGTGGCCACCTTTAGATGCAATAGATGGCAAATGTCTCCTGTTTAGACCTTTAAAAGGTGCTAGACTCTCAGCTAATCTCTTCAGGATCAGAAAGGGAAGGGGATTCTCTACAGAATTTAGATTGCCCCCACAAGAGACAGCTTTGTAGGGCCATTAAAAATGTGTCAAAGAAATATATTTTGGGGCAAAATACTTTTCTTTTAGGGTCTGCTGTCTGTCATGTGATGCTATATTAGGGTGAGGTTGGAATTTGGTATCTTATTGCTACAAAGAGTCTGCTTCATCAGTTTTAATGTCTCTGTTTTAAATGTTAATGCTAATCAGCTGTGCCTGAATTCCAACGGGAGGAGAGTATAATGAGGCATATCTAACGCCTCCCACCCCCCTCTCCCATCATGGCTTGAACTGATCGTTTAGGTTTCTTTGAAACTCCCTTGGCCAAGGGGAGGATTCCCATTAGTCAGTGAGGGGCTTAGAATTTTATTTTTGGTTTCAAATATTGAATCTTCTGCTCTAGGAACATGGCTTATCTTTCCATTTGTTTGGGTATTATTTAATTTCTCTAAGCAAAATTTTATAGTTTTCAGTGATAGGTGTTGGACATATTTTGTAAGATTTATCTCCAAGTGACTCATTTTTTGGTGTTGTTGTAAAACATCAATTTACATTTGTTCAGTGTTGGTACATAAAACAGAATTGATTTTTGTACATTGATCTTGTGTTCTGCAAACTTGCTAAAGTAACTTATTAAGTATAGCAACTTTTTTGTTTGTAGATTTTTTTGTGGGGGATTTTCTAAGTAAATAATCATGTCTGTGAATAAAGACAGTTTTATAAATCAACATACAAAAACTAATTGTCTTTATATGTTAGTAATGAATAATCTGAAAATAAAATTAAGAAAACTGTTTCACAAAATCATTAAGAAGAATCACATTTTTAGGATTAAATTTAATAAAAAGTACAAGATTTATAATTGAACAACACAAAATATTGCTGAGAGAACTTAAAGAAGATTTAGATAAGTAGAGAGCCTTCAATGTTCCTGGATTGGAAAACAACATAATTAAGATGACAGTTTCCCCCTAATTTATCTTTAGATACAAAATAATCCCCAAAGCAATGACTTACTGCAGAGGAATAGTGATGGCAAAATGGCAAAGTGAGCAGTTCCAAGCTCTTATTCGACCCCCAGAAACGTTGAAAACAAGCAGAAACTCTTAGAACCAGCACTAAGAGTTGTGGAAACTGTAAATTATTGCGTTTGCTCTGATTTGTCTGTGGGCTCACTGAAGGATTGACACAAGACTCTGAGCTCTGTTTTGCCTAACTCAGAACATAAGCTGGAAAAGTGATGGGCATTGCTTGAAGATACTGTCAGAGAGTCTGACAAACTATAGAGGCCTAGGGCAGATGCATACTGATTGAGGCATACAATAGACTGCCTAAAACCTAGGTGCAAAAGCTGTAGGAGATTCCTTGGGAACTTAGGATACTCAAAAGTACCTGTGTGTGGATGAACTTAGAAAGCCACATACATAATTAGGGTGAGATGCATGCTCAGAAAAGACCATAGAAAACCCTAAACTTTCACCTCAAGCTTAATCTTAGTCTCAGTGGGAGACTTGATAATTGTTGATGAAGTGCTCCATCAGAGCCACTTTGCAAAGACTGGGAAAGGTGTTTGCTTCTTTGGTTTTGTGTTTTCTCTTTTTCTGGTTTGCTTGTAAAATCTCCTGGTATTGAAGAAAATCTCTGTCAAAACATTAGCTGAACATGATGTTAGGAAACAGACATGAAAAGGGATACAGTCCTTGGAAAAATAGTTTGGAAAAGTACCTAAACCAATGGACTGCTACAGCATTTAATAACAGTGACAACAACAGCAACCACTGCCACCAACAACAAAGTGTTTCAACAACAATAATAATAAAAAAAAAAACCCCAAGACATACAAAGAAACAAATCCATTTAAATCCTTTAAATGGATTTGTTTCTTTCCATCCTTGAGGAAGCCCAGACATCATATTAATACCTCCTGAAAAAAGTCTTTAAAACATCTATCTTAAATATGCTCAGATAGCTAAAGGAAAAAGAAGGACAAATAAATATGGGAAATAAGAAAAACACCGTATGAACAAAATGAGTCTATCAACAAAGAGATAGAAATTATAAAAAAGAAATCAGCAAGAAATTCTTGAGCTGAAAAGTATAAATGAAATGAAAAACTCACAAGTGGCATTCAACAGCAGATTTAGGAAGGCAGAGGAAAGAATCAGCAGGCTTGAAGATAGGACAATTGAAACTGTTTAATCTGAGAGGCAGAAAGAAAAAAGAATGAAGAAATGTGAATAGAGCCCAAGGGACCTGTGGAAAGCCATCAAATAGTACAACATACACATTATGGGTGTTCCAGACAGAGAAGAGAGAGAGAGAGAGAAAGGACCAGAAAACATTTTAAAGAAATAATAACTGAAAACGACACAGATGTACAAATCCAAGAAGCTCGATGAATTCCAAATAAGGTAAACTTAAAGAGACTTATAGCAAGACACATGTGAAGGCCAAAGAGAGAATCTTGAAAGCACTGAGAGAGAAGTGACTTGTCACATACAAGGGATCCTTAATTACATGCACAGTTGATTTTTCATCAGAAACCATGGAGGCCAGAAGGCAGTGGGATGACATATATAAAATGTTAAAAGAAACATACTGTCAACTAAAAATTCTATATCTGGCAAAACTGCCCTTCAAAAATGAGGGAGATGTTAAGAAATTCCCATACCAACAAAAGCTGAGGGAGTTCTTTAACACTATACCTTTCCCACAAAAATTGTTAAAGGGAGTTTTTCAAGCTGAAATGAAAGCACACTAGACAGTATCTCAAATCCACATAAGGAAAAACAGAGCACCAGTAAAGAAATCTGTATAGGAAAACATAAAACACAGCATAAATGTATGTTTTTCTATGCAACTCCTTCATTCTACCATCTGCTTTAAATGACAGTTGCATAAAGCAGTAATTATAAATCTTTGTTAAAGGATATACAATGTGTAAACGTGTACTTTATAGTCAGCAATAGAACAAACAGGTGAGAGGAAATAGAGTTATGTAGGAGCAAAGGTTCTGTATAGAGCTGAAATTAAGTTGGCACTAGTTCTAAATAGATTGTTTTAAGATGATAATTGTAATCCTCTCAGCAATCACAAGAAAATAACTAAAATAACATATAGTAAAAAAAGAAGAAAGGAATCAAAATGATACACTAGCAAATATCTATTTGACTTCAAAGAAGGCAGTAATGGAGAAGTGAGGAACAGAAAAAAACATGAGGCATATAGAAAAAAAT
Organism: Homo sapiens; assembly: GCF_000001405.40. Taxonomy (NCBI): domain Eukaryota; kingdom Metazoa; phylum Chordata; class Mammalia; order Primates; family Hominidae; genus Homo; species Homo sapiens. The sequence continues at coordinate 197,745 of NT_187660.1, read as the reverse complement.
ACCAAAGTAGCAGATAAATCTTACCTCAATGGTAATTATATTAAACATAGATGGATTAAATACTTCAACCAAAAGGCAGAAATTGGCAGACTGGGTAAAGTAAATGATCCAACTGTATGCTATCGCCAAGAAACACACTTTAGAATCAAAACCCCAAATAGGCTGAAGGTAAAAGAATGGAAAAAGGTATATCATGAAAACAGTAATCAAAAGAGAGGTAGAGAGACTATACTAATATTGGACAAAATAGACTTTAAGACAAAAATTGTTACTAGAGACAAGAATTTCTGGTAATAAAAGTGTCAATTCATCAAGAAGATATACTTACTATTGTTAAATGGCATTACTACCCAAATTAATCTACATTTTCAGCACACTGATCCTGCAAGTCATAGAGAAATGCAAGCAATCCAGAATAGCCAAAACAACCTTGTAAAAGAATAGCACTTGGAAGACTCATGCTTTCTGCTTTCAGAAGTTACTACAAAGCCACAGTAATTTAAGACTGTGTGTTTCTGGCATAAGGATAGACATACAGATTAATGAAAGAGGATCAAGACTCCAGAAATAAACTCTTATATGTAAATTCAATTGATTTTCACCAAGGGTATTAAAACAAATAAATACAGAAAGAATAGTCTTTCCAACAAATTGTGCTGGGATAACTGGCTATCCACATGCAAAAGAATGAAGTTGGACCCCTACTTCACATCATATACAAAAATTAACTCAAAAGGGATCATAGACCTAAATGCAAGTTCTAAAACTATAAAACTCCTAGAAGAAAACATGGTTATAAATCTTTGTGACTTTGAATTATGCAGTATCTTAGATTTGATGCTAAAAGCACAAACAAAAAAAGTACATAAATTGGACTTTATCAAAAAGAAAAACTTTTGTGAATAAAAGGGACACTGTCAAGAAGTGGAAAGACAAGCAACAGAACGGGAGAAAATAATGGCTGACAATATATCTGATAAGGGACTAGTATTCGGAATATATATAGAACTCTTACAACTCCATAATAAAAAGACTCCCCCCATGCCCACAGGCAAAATATTTAAATAGGCATTTCTCCAAAGAAGATATTCAAATGGCCTGTAAGCAACTGAAAAGATGCTCAACATCAGTGGTATTTAGAGAAATGCAAATTAAAAGCTCAGTGAGATGCCATTTGACACCCAATAGGATGGCTATCATAAAAAAGATGGCAATGACAAGTGTTAGGGCTGATGTGGAGAAATTGGAACTCTCATGCATTGCCAGTGGGAATATAAAATAGTGCTGCCATTTTGGAAAACAGTTCAGCAGTTCCTCAAACTGTTCAGCATGGAGTTGCCATTTGATACAGCATTTCTGTTACTAGGTATGTACACAACAAAATTGAAAAGACATGCCTGTGTAAAACTTGTGCATATGTGTTCAAAGCAGCATTATTCCTAATGGCCAAAGAAAGAAGCAACCTCATTGCCCATCAATTCATGAATGGATAAACAAAATTTGGCATATCCATACAACAGAACATAGTTCCCATAAAAATAGAAGAAGTACTGATATGTGCTACCACTTGGATAAACCTTAAGGACATGCTCAGTGAAAGAAGCCAGATATAAAAAACGATAAATTGTATGTTTTCATTTATATGAAATGTCAGATTAGATGTCTTAGTCCATTAAGGCTACTGTAACAAAATGCCATAAACTGAGTAGCTTATAAACAACAGAACATTATTTCTCATAGTTCTGGAGGCTGGGAAGTGCAAAGTCAAGGTGCTGGTGAGGGCCTGTTCCTCGTAAATGGTGCCTTCTCTCTGTGTACTCACCTGGTGGAAGGGGTGAGTGCACTCTCTGGGCCTCTTTTAATATGGACACTAATTCCATTCACAAGGACTCCATCCTATTTACCATTTTTTTTTCTTGTGTATGGACCATACATGTCTTTGCATGTGTATATTTTTGTCAGACTGGACATTTAAAAGAATATAATATGGAAGCTCTAGTAATCAGATTCTTCCCCCTTCCCAGGGCTTTTTGCTGTTCCTGTTTGTTTAGTGACTTTCCTGAACTCATGTTTTTGAGTCTGTATTCTTTGTTGTGTATGGCCAGTGAATTCTCTGTTCAGTTAGTGACTGGACAGAGGTATTCTTAAATAAGGGCTGGGACCATTAAGTCTCCCTGCCTTTGTCAAGGGGCTGTGTGTGCATGTTGGGGTCGGCTTTCAGCTTCCAGCCAGACATTCTGCCTTCTTCTTCACTTCTGGCTTCTGCAGAGCCTCACGGTCATCCAGAGGTGAGTGGGTAGAACTTCACAGGTCCCTCTTGGGCACACGTACAGCCCTGTGCTTGAATGCCTAGGAATGTGTTGAAGCTTTACAAACTGCTTTTTCTTTTGTGTTTTTTGGTTGGCTTCTTGTTAGCCCCAGTGGCTGTTGCTGCCTCAGGAAGCTGTGATGTTAAACACTTGCTGCTCATTGTTTGTGGCAAACGCCCAGGAGAGAAGGCTATTCACCTCTGGAGCTCTGAGCCTGGTCCAATACAGATGGTACCTGTGAGAGGGGTAGTCAAGGTACTGCCAGACAGCTCCAATAGTGCCAGTTCTCTGTAAAGGAGATTTGGAAGTGCCCTAGTCCAATTCTGCTCTCTTCAATGGCTACTAGGCCTCTGGTTTTCACCATCATGGCAGGGCTGATTTTCAAGCCCAGCACAGAACTGGGTAAAGGGATATGGCAGTAGAGCAAGTTAAAATTTTCTCACTGAGACTTGGCCATCCTCTAGAATACATGCTCCATGGATTGTTTTATACTTTTGTTAACTTCCAAAGTTCTGAAAATATTGATTTTGACAAGTTTTGTCTGTTTTTGCTGCTTCTATGGAGGAGAGAATGTCTACACGTCCTTTCTGTGCCATTCCTGCTGTTACCTCGTCTTCCTTTGATTTGAAAGCAAATCTCATCTTACAAAAATAATACTTTTGAGATACTAAGTGGAAGTGCTTTTCTATCCCCACAAGGGTGCAAGAAGATTAGGTTTGGCTTAGAACAGACAAGTCATTGCTCATTTTGTATTTCAAGCTAGGATTAAAAAAAATAAAATTCATAGCAGCAAGGTGATCATTTCGCAAGGCTGGGCAGGAGGTGCTGGTCTGGTCAGCACATCCCAGCCTGCAGTGCCCCAGCTAGAGGGCGTGCAGGCCTTGCTGGAGCAGTGTCCATGAGGTGGTCTGAGACTGATTCCTGGCCTCCAGTTCCAGGCAGGCATGCTGGGGACCTACACTTCCCACCTGCCTCAGTGCGGGGCCGGCACCCTGAGGAGCCTGGCAGGGACCAGGTGAAACATGAGACTGCAGCAGAGGTGCTGGCACCAGGGGTGGGAGCTCCTGCAATGCCATGAGGGTTGGTGGAAGCAGCGGGTTGCATGAGGGGCATGCGGCGTGTGCTCGCCCACAGCCTTCCCCTTTCATGGTGCCATTGTGTGTGCTGCTCCTTGGGTGGGGAGAAATCCTGATTGGGAGTCTGAACTTTGGCTTGAATGAATGTGTACATAAAGAGAGACTCTTAAATAGAAAGAAACGGAGTAAGTACTAATTGACTTCACATGCTCCCATTCATCAAGGGGACTAGCGGCCGGTTATATTTAATAGAAACTGGAGTGAATGAATTACACACGAAGTGACCCAGTGCGTGTTCCAGCTCTGCCCAGGCATGCTTCCTTCCAAGAGGAGATTTGCTCTTCCCTTTTTGGGTCAATAAAATGGAAAATCTGCAGAAGACTTTACTACTAGGGAGCAAAAGGCATTTAGAAGTCTTTAAAAATTGTTCTTTTCACATAATTTTAATGTAGTACATCTTTTAGTTAATCTCAAATTTAGATTTGTCTTATGATGATGATGATTATTATTATTACTATTTCTGAGACAGGGTCTTGCTCTGTCGCTCAGGTTGGAGTGCAGTGGTGCAGTCATAGCTCACTGCATGCTTGACCTGTGCTCAAGGGGTCCTCCTGCCTTGGCCTCCCAAAGTGCTGGGATTACAGGCAAGGGCCACCACACTCAGCCTATCTTATCCTTCTGATGATTTTAATAAGGAAAAAATAAGATTTACCTTATTCCTTTGCTGATAAGTTTTGGGTTATTCAAATGAATAACTGATTTCCCTGGCCACTGCAGTAGCTCACGCCCCACCTCCCTGCAGCTCCAGGATGTTCCCCAAATGCAGACCAGCTTTGCCCTGCGTGGCTCCTGCAGGCCAGCCTTCACCTTCTCAGTCTTCTGCTCTCTTGTGGGCACAGGGAGGAACTGGAGCTTGAGTGGACAGGGCAGGCTTTCAAACATCTTCAGAAAGTGCAGTTTGTCGCCTTCTAAGCAGTGAGGTGCATTTGGTGTGATCTAATGTCCTATGCACTCTCCTTTTCCTAGGGGAAGGCAGGCTTCACTGAGCGCTCTCTGGACCCAGTGGGAATGTGCCCCTTCATCCAGCACCAGAGCTGTCCTCATCTGCGGGGCCCTTGGGGACCTCCACTGCATCCCCTCAGGACTTCTGGGAGCAGGGAGAGGACCCAGGCCCTGGACCACAGGCTTGCACCCCAGCGCAGACTCTCCCCTGCACACCTGCCCCCTGGACTGGGCTCTGGGATGCTACGTTTATTACCTCTTCTAGTCCCACTTGCCTGCAAGGGAGGAGCTGTTCATAGCTATTTTGGGGGCTGAAATAGTGACAATTTTCTGTTAAGTGTTTTGGTCACCTGGATTATTACTATTTATACAAAAGAGCAACATACATAAAGTCACTAACACTGGTCTCTAAGAAATAGAGAAGTCGACATCATGTTCCCAGCAGGGCACCACCCCATCTCTCTGAGATGTGTCTGGGTTTGCCACCTCAGGGGGATGAGGAGGTGACAGGGAGTCCAGAAAATGAGCAGTGGAGGGGCACAGGGTGGCAGGGTGGGTGGTGGGGCCTGAGCCAGGTGGCCAGCGTGCCCTGGGCCAGTACCTCCTGCATGATTCCTGCAGCTGCAGAGGGAGCCTTCCCTGCTAGAGGCAGATGAAAGAGGGAGCGCTCAGAAAAAATCGGACAAAGGCCCCACCACAGAGGAAGGCCAATTCCCAGAGGACATTGCAGACGGAAGAGGCGGTAGAGGCAAGGGTGGCAGCAGCCAGGCCCAGCTCCTGGCCTTCGTCCTTCCCTGTGGGCAGTGGACCAGCACCCAGAGCCACCCCTTATCAACCCTCCTGCTGCAGTTTTGCCTTCAGCATTCAAGTGGCTATGCATGTGGATAGCATTTCCCCAAAGTCTCTCATTTCATTATTGGGGGGGACCCTCAAGCTTTGAGGGTCAGTTCCCAGGCCCTTATAAGGCTATGAGAGAATGTCTACCAGCCCTTCAGGGTACCAGGGCACTTGGTGGGCCAGGGTGACCTGCTGCAGGTACCCAGCTCTGGGTGGGTCCTCACATGTCACTCCCCGCTGTGCCAGGACCAGGCAGGCTGCCTCCCGGTGTGTGAGGCTGTTTACGATCCAGTAGTCACAGGGTCCAGCCTGGTGGCTTAGTTTGGTTGATCTGGGAAGGGATCAGTCTTGTTGGACAGTTTACTTTCCCCTCCTGCTTTACTCCTGAGTTTTCTGAGTACAAATCCCACCCGTCTTTGTGATGACGTTGTTCCCACCTGTTCCCCTGCAGCAGCGGCTGCTTACCTGTCTTACTCTCAGAGGGCTTGTGCCCAGGAGGCTTTGCTGTCTGAGAGCAGGGAGTGTGTCTTGTTCATGCCTGCCCCTGGCCAAGCGAGTGCTCGATAAATATTTGAATGCAAGAGTAGCTTATATGTATTTTTGGGCCAATGTTTTTGGAGTATGTGTAGTAGGGCCATTTCTTGGTGGGGAGCAGACATTCTGGGAGTGTAGGAGCCTTGTCTGTGGGGCCCTGTCTGTTACAGAGCTGATGCAGCAGTGACAGTGGCTGGGCAGGCCAAGGGATTCACTGGTCTCCAGGACATCTCAGGGGCACAGATACCCTGACAAGGGCATGGAGGCTTCTCACAGTGCAGGCCCCATAGAGAGCTGCTATTATGTTGAGGGCCGTGGCAACATCACAGGGCAATGTCTTGGAGTTTCATAGAGTTGATTTCCATGAGCATTGGATTCTAGCTCCTGTAGGTTGCCAGGTGTTCTTGTGGATCAAAAATAATGAGACCATCACCTACAAGCACTGGAGAATTGGATAGTTTCAAAAAGGTGCTTTCTTCAATGTATTCATAAAATGTAAAGTCTAAATGCATTTCCTATTTGAAGCTCTTAGGAATCAGACTTTTTGTGCCAGAATCCTTTCTGAAACATGTGTTCTATTTTATGCTATCAATCATTGCAACTTTGCAATGGAAGAAGTGTGTTCAGAAAAGCAATACAAACCTAAAGCATGCTTTCCTATGGGCCCTCCCTTTCTAGAAATGCAGCCACTGCCTCTGCTGAACTAGGAGGGGGGCCTGAGAGGGTGCACCGACTGCCCAAGGTCACACATGCACCAGAGGCAGGGGGCAGGCAGCTGGGGCAGGGGCCACCCCACTGGCCTATGTCCCTGTCCTCGTTGCCTGGCTCCGAGAGAGACACTCAGCATCGTGGTACTCACTAAGGGTCTAGCACCTGAATATTCATATAGTGTGGAGCCCTGTTGAGCTCACCCTGGCAGGGACTTGCAGGGGCAGGGATAGGAGCGCGTGATGAGCCCCACTGGGGTGTCACATGGACAGCCCTGGAGGGTGTGGAGCTCAGCAGTGATGCAGGTGTCACCTGGGAGCCACACTGCCATCCTCCACACACACATGTCCACTGCTGATGCTTTCCTAACGACTCAGTTTTCAAAGAGCAGTGGAAAGAAGTAAAGCAGCGTGCCCCCACGTCACCCCAAAGGACAGGAATGCAGTGTGCTGTGCAGATGTCCCTGAGCAGGGAGGGCAACCGTTTTCCCAGTGCAGGGTCCTACATCTTGACAGGTGTTGGGTTTGGCTTCCGGCCAGTGAGTCCCAGACAGCCCGTCTTGTTCCTCCTGTGGACAAATTTTCTGGGGGAAAACTTAAAGTTGCACAAGCAATAGGAACGTCTCCCATCCAGCCAGTGGTAGAATTTTGTCATGAATGCCAGTGCTCAAGAAGAGAGGCTCCTGTCAGTGGGAATTCTTGAGAAATCATGGCCAAGTGGACTGTTTCATGTCAGACTTCTCTGCATATGAAAACGCTGTTTCTACATGGGAAGCACACAGGCAGGTCCCATGGTGGGCTGTGGAGCGAGGCTCTCCCTCTGGTTACCCAGACTGAACTGGCCAGCCCCCAGTCAGCGTTGCAGGCACTTGTACAGCAAGGTGGCCAGAGCCCAGGGCCACGAGGCTCCAGGGGCCCCTGGAGTGCAGGGGACCAGGGGACAGTGTCCTAGGAACAGACACTGCTCTGGGTCTCTGCCCTCTTGTGTCTCTCCTTTCTCTCTGGCCTTTTCTGCTCCCCCAGTCAGATCCCGGTTGAGTTCTGGAATCCCAGGGCTCCTGGCAGGTCCTTGACCACTTGCTGTCTCCTCCGGAGATGAGCAATCCATGCTCTGCATCTGAAGCAGGGGTCAGCTGGGGTTCCCAGCTTCTTCTGTCCTGCTGCACCGTGAGGATGGCCAGGCACCTAGGGGTGGGGGACATAGGCCGGGGAGATGTCCCTGAGGGGAGGTGGCCCTCGAGGAGGCTGCAGGTGAGGGAGCCGGCCTTCCCTGCTCAGGTGGGCTTGGCTCCCCGCTGGCCATACCCACTCACTTGAGGAGGCTGGAGCACCAAACCACTGTGATGTGGCCTGGGAGGGGCCAGGCCCCACAGCATTCCACACATAGCTTTCCTAAGCCTTGGAAAATGTAAGGAAGACACCCATTGAGGATACCACCCCAAACAAACCATCTAGGAGCACACTTCCATGGATGTTCAGTACCTACGTGAAAGGCCAACTCTGCCCAAAGCCCTCGAACTTCTGCAATGAGCGGTTCTCAGGGGAAACAGCATTGAAATGAAAGCAAACCTGGAAGAAGTCTCAGTGCAATTGCTTTACAACTTGACGAGGCTTCTTTTGCAGATAAAAGTTTTGGGGAAAAATGCAAGTGTGAGATCAGATATGTGAAAAAACAAATATGTGAAGAGAAACACGAAAGACGAGAAGGAATGAGGGAACTTTGTCCTGTAACTGGCCACATTTTATATAATGCCACACCAACACAGGAATAACAGGAAAGTCCCAGATACAGGTGTATGACAAACTCAGCAAACCCAACCTCTTAGACAACTGCAAAAGTGTGGCTCACCCATGTTACGAAAGTGGACACGCATTTGGAGAGGAACTGATAGGGTTTGGCTCTGTGTCCCCACCCAAATCTCACCTTGAATTGTAATAATCCCCACATGTCAAGGGTGGGAACAGGTGGAGATAATTGAATCACGGGCGTGGTTTCCCCCATGCTATTCTGGTGATAGTAAATGAGTTCTCACAAGAGCTGATGGTTTTATAAGGGGCTTCCCCCTTTGCTCTGCTCTCATTCTTCTCTCTCCTCCCACCACGTGAAGAAGGACATGTTTGCTTCTCCTTCTGCCATGATTGTAAATTTTCTGAGGCCTTCCCAGCCATGTGGAACTGTGAGTCAATTAAACCTCTTTTCTTTATAAATTACCCAGTGTCTCAGGCAGTTTTTTTATAGCAGCATGAGAACGGGCTAATACAGTAACAAAAAGTTGCATTCAGTTTTTTGCCAAGATAAATCTTGGACTTATGTGTAAGTAACAATAATGTAAGAGTACTAGAAAAAGCACATGTGAAGAAATCCTTATGTAATTTTGGGAGAGGGGTATCTCTATGGCAGCAACATAGAACTGTCTTCATGAAACGTGATGTATTGAGGTCTCAACATTTGGGCCCTGTGTCAGGGCAGAGCCGGCCAGGCTCTGGAGCCAGTCAAGATGGGTGTGGGAGGTGTTGCCAGGATCAGAAAACACGTTGAGGTGGGGCTCCTCTTGGCCACAAACATGCTGCTGTGCCTGCAGGAGCCATTTGGCCATCTCCAGAGGACCAGCACGCACATGTACATAGCTATGCACACACATAAACACACACTTCATACATGCATGCATACATACCCACACAGTTATACATGTGTACATGCATGCACACATGATTATATGCATCCACACACATTTATACATGTATATATGCATACACACATACACATACATACACACATACATGTGTGCACACATACCCATACACACATATACCTATAATACATATATGTACAGTATTTGTATACATACACATATTTACATACACATGCACCTATATACATGCACATATTTACACATACATATATATGCACTTACACATGCCCACATATATACATGCACATATTTATACACATACATATATACACATTTACAAACACACACCCACACTCATATAGCGATTTCTATCTTCTGTTACTCTGGACCCTCATGAGTTTAGAAGGGGGTGAGCCAGGGTGGGGGATCCGGAGACAGCTGTCCACTTGCCTGTGGGGGCAGTGGTTGGGAGCAGATGACCTGAGCTCAGTGGGCTACCACTTTTGCCAGGTATTGGTCTTGTCATTCTAAGATGGACATAACAACAATTCCTGCCCGTGGTTGCGCTGAGCATCGTGAGACAAAGTGCCCAGAATAGGCTCAGCTAGTTGCAAGAGCAGAGAGTGTGGTCTTGTGCTGGGAGGCCCTCTGAGGTGGGGCCTCTGAGGTGAGGTCCCCCTCTTTGGGAGACCTCATGGGCTGGGGCAGCATGTCTGGACTCCAGGGGCCTCATCAGCAAGAGCCCAGGCTTGTTTTGGGAGCCTGGAGGGAGGTAGCCATGGTAGTAGCCCTGAGTGGAACAGCTGTGCCCAGCACAGTGACCATCTCTTGGGCAGTGTGGGTGATGCCTTGAGAAATGCTTGGAATCAGCCAGGGTCACTTTGAGGGCCTAATATCTGGCACAGGGGCTGGGAGAGGGTTGTCACTGTGCTTTGTGATGAAGGAAGAGCACCTCCACCTTGGTCAGGCTATTGAGGTTGGGGGGCGTTTCCTGGTCCCCTCTTCCCTCCCACACCTCCTAAGAGGCATCTTCCTTCCCAGGTGTGTGAAGGTGAACGTGGCTGTCTTGTGCCCTCCATGGCCCACCCATGTGGGTGCTGCCTGGAGATACACACCATGTGTGTGCCAAGGAAAGGTACCAATGACTGTAACGATGACGCTGTGGCCACAAGCCTCTCCAACCAACTCTTTGGTGATTTTCTGATATCAGTATAGTTACATACACACGCAACTGAGGCTATATCAGAATGGCCTTTCCAGTCTCGCTTTTGAAAGTGGAATCCCATTTAATATTTTCATTCTGATCTACATGAAATTCAAACCTGCCTTGAAGACCCACCTCAGATTCCCTCTGTGAAGCCTTACCTGGCAGCGCAGTCATTGCCATCGCCATCCCTGTCTGCTTCTACGGTCTTCACCTTGCGTTATACTTGCTCACAGAGTCTTACGTGCCTGAGTAAGGCGATAGGCCAGCAACTCACCTGTCCATTACCCCCTTCCTAGAACAGCACCTGGGCCAGTACCCATTGAGGAATTATTGGTAACATTCTGATAAAATACAGAATTGCAAAATTTAACATTTCTCAATTTGGAATTTTGTCGAAGCCTGTGAGCTTGCTTAATGCAGGGCATTAGACCTCTGTGAAAATGCAGAAATAGTATTCTAGTTTTACATCGTATCGTAGTGTCATTATTTGCTTTGCATCTATTCACAGTTTATAGAGTATCTGATGGGGTGGAATTATTTTGGGGGTTTATGGATTTATTCTCATGTTTCCCCACCAGCTTCTACTGATTTCCCTTTTTAACTTGTGGATTTGCATTTGGGTTGATTAGCTCTGAGGCCAGCAATGCTCAGAGCTAGACTGAGGTTGATCCCTGCATGATTCCAAGTTTGGAAGGGTCATGAACGGCCTCTCAGCAGAAGGCGTGATTATTTTTATCTGTGGCTGTACTGTAATTAGAACACAGCTGTGAGAGTTGGTAGTTTACAAGTTTCTAATGAGCTATTTCCTTCCCCAATCACATTAGTTGGGGAGTTAATTGGGTCCATCTGGTGCATAATTCACAGTATCTCTAATATCTGTGATTTTATAAGCCTGTGGCAAACTTGGACTCTCGATTCACAAGGGGGAGTTTTGGTGCTTGAGTTCAACGGCAGAGTTTAGTGAAATGCAGGGACAGCAAAGCTGAGCTGGGGCTTTGCAGTAAACATGCCCTAGGAAGCAGAGCCACTGGATTCCAGTGAGGTGGTCAGGGCCATTCAGCACCCCAGCCAGCCTCAGGGATCTGGTTCCTGAGGGGGGTCACTGATCTGTGGGTTACCCGGCCAGGCCCAGCCTCTGATAGGAGGATCCTCTCCAGCTCAGTGAAGCAGAGGGGGGTTAGACAGTAGCTACAAATGCTGGCTTTCTTCTCATGATGAATGTATGTTCCTGATTTTTTTGCAGAATAGTGTGCTACAGGGCACAAGGCTATAGGAAAGATAACATGGGGCATATCTATAAACTCCTGGTCACATGAGGACGAAATCTGACCCAATCAACCAGTGCCCAAGCATCCCATGGTCCCCGCCTGCACCCTTCGGAGACTACACCTGGTCTGGAGGCTGGGACAGGAGGATTGCTTGAGGCTGGGAGTTGGAAGCTGCAGTGTGCCATGGTCTGGCCTCTGAATGAATAGCCACTACACTCCAGCCTGGGCAGCCTAGTGAGACCTGTGTCTATTAAAAAAAAAAAAAAAAAAAAAAAAAAAGGAAGGCCAGGCGCAGTGGCTCATGCCTGTAATCCCAGCACTTTGGGAGGCTGAGGCGGGCGGATCACCTGAGGCCAGGAGCTTGAGACCAGCCTGATCAACATGGAGAAACCCCATCTCTGCTAAAAAAACAAAATTAGGTGGACGTGGTAGCGCATGCTTGTAATCCTAGCTACTCGGGAAGCTGAGGCAGGAGAATTGCTTGAACCTGGGAGGCGGAGATTGCTGTAAGCAGAGATCACACCATTGCACTCCAGCCTGAGTGACAAGAGTGAAACTGTCTCAAAAAACAAAACAAAACAAAACAAAACCATAAAGGGAAATGTCTGTAGATTTCCCAACTGTAGTTCCTTGCCTGGAAGCATAGCATACTGCACAGTGTGGTGGTGCTGGCAGCCAGTGAGCCAGGATGTCCTTTTGAGGCCAGCGCCCTCCACAACATTCTCTAAGTGTGAGTAAACTTGCCCCCTTGCTTCAACACATCCCTGTGGGAAGACCTGCAGAGGTCCCAGCTCCAGAGGCCTCCAGGCAGGATCCACCCTCATATGGGTGGGAGGCAGGCACAACCCAAGTCACCATGCCCTGTGCAGGGCCACACATGCAGCCCAGCTCCGAGTGGCTGTACTGGGGTGGAGGGCAGTAGGGGGTGCAGGGCAGAGGAGGGGTGCTGCAGGGCAAGGATGGGGCGGGATGGGTGAGATGGGGATGGAACCGGTTTCATTTTCCCTAGTGGCATGAGGGAGAGTAGTACTGACTTCTCAGGGTCTGCTCCTGACCAAGAGCCACTCCATGCCATGTGTTTTACCTGCACTCGGCATGTCTGTGTGGCCTCATGTCCAGGAGAGGATAGTTCTGCCGGCAACAAGAATGACACAACAATCATCATGAAATGGATTAAAGACAACCTGAGGTGTATGAAGCAATAGGTGCGTATTATGTCTGTCTCCTAGATGAAGAGGATGCGTGCGTATGCTCATTCCCATGCTTTCCCACCACTGGAGGGCACTGGTCTTTTTTTTTTTTTTTTTCTTTTTTGAGATGGAGTCTCACCCTGTCACCCAGGCTGGAGTACAGTGGCACGATCTCGACTCACTTCAACCTCCGCCTCCCGGGTTCAAGCTATTCTCCTGCCTCAGCCTCCCAAGTAGCTGGGATTACAGACGCCTGCCACTATTGCTGGCCTGCTAATTTTTGCGTTTTTAGTAGAGACGGGGTTTCACCATGTTGGCCAGGCTGGTCTCGAACTCGACCTCAGGTGATCTGCTTGCCTCAGCCTCCCAAGAGGGTATTGATCTTTTCCTTTTTTTCTGTGAAACAAGGTCTTGCTCTGTTGCCCAGACTGGAGTGCAATGGTGCGATCAAAGCTCACTGCAGCCTGAAACTCCTGGGCTCAAGCGATCCTCCCACCTCACCCTCCTGAGTAGCTGGGACTACAGGCATGTGCCACTACACCCAGCTAACTTTTAACATTTTTTTTTCTGGAGAGATGGGATCTTGCTATGTTGCCCAGGCTGGTCTCAAACTCCTGGCTTCAAATGATCCTCCTGCCTTAGCCTCCCAAAGAGTTGGGATTACAGGTGTGAACTACCACCCCAGCCCAATTTTTTCAATTATTTTTAGTGTGGAAAAAATATATATCATATAATCTACCATTTTAGCCATTTTTAAGTGTACAATTCAATGGCATTAATTACATTCCTAATGGGCAACCATCAGCACAAATTCTAAAATTTTTTCATCACTCCAACTATGAACTCTGTGCTCATTAAGCAATAACTCTCCGTGCCTTCCTCCCCACAGGCTCTGGAACCTGCAATTTCCTTTCTGTCTCTGTATTTACCTTTTGTAGATATTTCATACACGTGAACTCATGCAGCATTTGTCCTTTTGTTCCTGGCTTATTCATTCAGCATGATGTTTTCAAGGTTCATCATATTCGGCATGTGTCAGAATTTCATTCCTTTTATGAGTAAATGATGTTTCATTGTGTGTATATACCATATTTTATTAATCTTTTATTGATAGACATGGGTTGTTTCCACATTTTGGCTATTTTGAATAATGTGGCAATGAATATTGGTGTATAAGTATCTGAGTCCCTGCTTTCCATTATTTTGGGATATACATCTAGGAGTGAAATCGCTAGATTATGTGGTAACTATGTTTAACTTTGTGAGAACCTGCAAAACTGTTTTTCATAGAGTTTTCCACACTTTGCATTATTACTAGCAGTGCATGAGAGTTCTGGTTTCTCTATATACTCACCAACATTTATATTCCTTTTTTTATTCTAGCCATCCTAGTCAGTGTGAAGTAATATCTCATAGTAGTTTTGCTTTACATTTCTCTAATGACTAATGATGTTGAGCATCTTTTTATGTGCTTATTGGCCTTCTGTATATCTTCTTTGAAGAACTGTTCATGTAAGTCTTTCGCCCATTTAAAAATTGGGTTGTATTTTTGTTGTTGAGTTGTAGGAGTTTTTAAAATATTGGATACTAGACCCTTATCAATATATGATTTGCAAGCAATTTCTTTAATTCCATAGGTTGTCGTTTCACTTTCTTGAGAATGTCTTTTGTTCTCTTGTTTTTGAGACAGGGTGTTGCTCTGTAACCCAGGCTGGAGTGCAGTGGTGTCATTATGGCTCACTGCAATCTCTGTCTCCCGGGTTCAGGCCATCCTCCTCAGCGTCTCAAATAGCTGAGACTACAGGTATATGCCACCATGCCTCACTAATTTTTGTATTTTGGGTAGAGACAGGGTTTCACCATGTTGCCCAGGCTGGTCTCAAACTCCTGAACTCAAGTGATCTTTCCACCTTAGCCTCCCAAAGTGCTGGGATTATGGTCATGAGCCACCGTGCCCGGCCCTGAAATGTCTTTTGAAGCGCAAAGGATTTTAATTTTGATGAAGCTCAATTTATCTATTTTTTTTTCTGTTATTGCTTGGGATTTTGGTGCTATAGCTAAAGATCCATTGCCAAATCCAAGGTCATGTTTGTTTTTTTCTAAGAATTTTATGGTTTTATCTTAAATAAATGATCTATTTTGAGTCAATTGTTTTATAGGGTGTGAGGTAGGGGTCTAACTTCATTCTTTTGCACGTGGAAATTTAGTTATCCCAGCACCAATTGTTGAAGAGACTATTTATTCTCTGTTGAATGGTCTTTGCACTCTTGCCACAAAACTGGTTGGCCATAAGATGTATGAGTTTATTTCTGGACTTTCATTTGTATTCCATTGTAGTAAGTTTTGATATTTGAAAATGTGAGTACTGGAAAGTTGTTCTTTGTCAAGATTGTTTTGGCTGTTCAGAGCCCCTTGAAGTTCCATATGAATTTGATGACCAGCTTTTACATTTCTTTGGAATTTTGATAGGTGTTGCACTGAATCACTTTGGATAGTATTAAAATATTAATGACATTAAGTCTTCTTATCCATGAACATAGGGTGCATTTTAATTTATTTAGGTCTTCTTTAATTTCTTTCAGTTATGTTTTACAGTTTTTAGTGTACACGTCTTTTACCTCTTTGTTAAATTTATTTTTAGCTATTTTGTTCTTTTGGATGCTATTGTAAATGGAATTGTTTTCTTAATTTCCTTTTTCAGATAGTTCATTGCTGATGTATAGCAACACAACAAATATTTTGCATTGAAAATTGTACTTGCAACTTGATGAATTAATTTATTAGCTCAGTAGCTTTCTTGTGGATTCTTTGGGATTTTCTACATATAGATTCATGGGATCATGTCTGCAAATGGAGATATTTTTACTTCTTCCTTCCCCATCTGGATGTCTTTTATTTCTTTTTCTTGTTTAATTACTCTGGCTTGAACTTCAAGTACAATGGTGAATTAGCAATAGTGAAAGTAGGCATCCTTGATTTGTTCCTGATCTTAGGGGGAAAATTTTCAGTCTTTTACCATTGAGTATGATGTTAGCTGGCTGTGGGTTTTTCATATATATCCTTTATCACGTTGAGGCAGTTCTCTTCTATTCCTAGTTTTCTGGGTAATTTTCACCCTACTCCCAGAGAGCTTATGCTTAAGATGGAAGATGGCAGGAAGACATAACAAGTGGGGGAAGAAGCCTAGACCACGTGTTTCCCTGGAGTCCATCTATATGACATGAGGTCTGTCTGTATGTCTTAATGGTGATGAAGTTGACAATGTTCAAAGGATGGTGCCATGGACAGATAATCATGCCAAGCTGGAGAGGTCCGAATTCATCCTCTATGCCAGTGTTTCTCATAATGTGGTACTATATCAATATCTCCTAGGTGTTAAAAATATAGCTCTTTGAGCCACACTCTCTTCTGAATCAGAGTCTCTGGAGGAGGATTCTGGGAAATTGTCTTTGAAGTAAATTCCTCAGGTGATTTGACTGTGGGCTTATTTTTGGAAACCACTGCTATAGGTCATGGTGGGAGAGAATGAGGTGAGAATGGTGTTTTGGGGAGTCTGAAGTTTGTGAGATGGCCTGGGATATAGGCCAGGGCATGTGTCAGGGCCTGACCAAAGAGAGGGATGCACAGGCAGGCATGGGAGTGTGTGCTGGCAAATTTTTTTCGGAGAGGGGAGTCCAGTGATCTTTGGATTGTTCCAGATCTAGAGTTGTTCCCAATAATTCTAGGATCCCAAAATTTTCAAAGAGGATGACAAGAGGGAAATCTTGAGCAGGTGGCTTTTAGGAAAACATTAATTCATTTTTAGGCATGTCGATTTGAAGTAAGAGTAAAGCCAGGCTTGTGGCTGCCTACCCTGTGTGAAGAGGCACAGCCTCTATAAAAGGAATAACCCCAAATTTCCATCACAATATCGGTTCATTTCTTGCTTGTATGGATGAAGTCCACTTGGCAGCATGGTGGTAGTGCTGTGGTCATTATTCAGCACCAGCATGATAGGTACCCTGTCCTGTTGTTGTCAGTGCATGGTTGGTTGCCCCTTCCCTCCTTTCCCCCTGCCCTCTGCCCTGGGATATGACCTCTAGGGACTTCTTAGAGCTCCCTGGTGGCTTCTGGCTGGGTTCAGCCCATGGGGCATGGTAGGAGATGGAGCATGATGCGACTGGGGCTCTTATTTCTTCAGTCCTCCCTTTCCTGTCCTCCCAGAAAGACCCTTGTGGCTGATGTGTCCTTAACAAGAGACCTCCATTCATCTCAGAATGGCTCTTCTGCAAGACTCTTTTCTGCTGGGTTCTGACAACTGCCTCCTCCCTTTATCCCCTTCAGGCCAGGGGTGGTAACAGATCTGCTGTTCCTAACCCCATCATACTGCACGTGTGTTTTCCCTACACTCTGCCTACACTTTTGCAAATTTTCCCTTTATTGAATCCTCCTTGAATTATTCTGACTTAGTGAGCCACCCATTTCCTTCTGGTATCCTGACTGGTAGAATAGCTTCCAAGATGGCACTGCGGGTAAAGTCCATCTGGAGTGTGGAAGAAGAGAGAGGGAGGATGATGCACAGGAAGAGAGAGTCTGGAGTGTCATCCATCATGTCCTCCTCTGGCCACTATCTGGGACTTGGTTCTGTGGTCCCCTGAAATAGAAGGGGTGGGACACGTGGTCCCTAACCAGCGAGCCATCTCATAGCAGCAACTCCACACTGAGCAGCTGCCCTGGTGAAGAGCTGGTGGTCTGTGTTGCAGGAAGGGGCAGTTCTCAAGACTGAGGGTTTTGGTATGAATATTCAGTATCACTTAACCTGATATCACCAGGATATTTTAGGTGTCTTAAGAGTGATGATAGCACAACACCCTGTTTTAGAGACTAGTATATATGAGTTTGGAGGAAACTGTGACAGATAACTAAGAAGTATTTGTTGGAGAGAAATACTGGATTTCTCTGTAAAATACTGTAGCCTGGATTTAAGTAGTTCTGGCATTTTCTGTGCTATGTGCCGGGTGCTGTGCTGGGAGGCAGTTACATAAGCAAGTGGCCCTGATATGTTGAGTTAAATGTGGTACTGGTGAGTGTGAGGTCCAGCCAGGTAGAGGGTGTATGAGCTCCAGCTCCATCAGAGGAAAATGGGTCTGCACAAAGGAATGGAGGGTACCAGAAACACTGACAGCTTTGTAAATCTACACATTCCTTCTTATCATTAAAAGGTAATTGGCAATTGAAATAAAAATAATCAAAATGAAGTGTGCGTCTCATATCACATGTAAAAATGTGACAGCAGTGATACAAAGGCTGAGGAGAGAAATGGAAGCACACTCTTCTTGTATGTGAACCACAGTGTACCATAGAGGTAAAGTGTTATATACTGTATATGTGTACATACATGTATATATTCCTATTGTATGCTCTCTAGCAATGGGTATAATATCATTTTCAGTTAGACTGTGGGAAGTTAAAGATGTATACTGTAAACCCTAAAGCAATACCTAGAATAAAAAAGAGTTATAACTAATAAGCCAATAAAAGGATAAAATGGAATCATACAAAATAATTAATGCAAAATAAGGCAGAAAAAGGGAACAAGGAACAGATTGTCAAATAGAAAACAAGTATCAAGATGGTAGATTTAAATCTAAATATATTTCTAATCACATTATATGTGAATGGACTTATTATCTCGATTAAAAGGTAGACATTGTCATATTGGGAAAGAAATAAAAATTGAACTATATGCTACTTATAAAGGAACCAATTCTAAGTATTAAAATCATTCTAAGTATTAAAATAACATATGGAGATAGGTTAAATACAAAAATGAAAAAAGACATACAGTGCTAAAACTGATACTGTCCAAAGAAAAATGGGATGTCTATATTAATATCAGAAAAAGTAGGTTACAGAGCAAAGAATATTACTAGGGACAAAGAAGGCCAGACCATAATGATACAGGGGTCAATTGATCCCAAGGACATAATTCACAGTGCATATGGACTTAGTAACAGAGCTGCAAAATACACGAAGCAAAAACTGATAGAACACAAGAAAGAATCATAGTTGGAGATTTCAATACCCCCTTCTTATTAATTAATAGAACAAATAGACAGAAAATCCTGTAAAGCCATGACTTGTTCAGATGCCTGTAGCACGTGGCAGGGATAATTGCCATCTGCAGAGAAATGTGCTATTATTCACTGTGACGAGTCTCCAGGCCGTGTATGTGTCAGGTCCATGCCAGGCCACTGGGACAAGAATCTCCTGGACAAGCATCCTGGACAAGCATCCTGGATAAGTATCCAGGAAGGCCAGTGGTTTTCGAAGAAGAGCTTAGGAAATATACCTAGCCACTGTGTCACTGGCAGAGTCTACCTAGGAACATGAGATAGGGACAATCTGCCATCTGCTTCATGCATGCGTTGCCACCTACTATCATTTCAGAGAATGCCCTTGAATGTTTCATTGATTTCAAATTAGATATTGGTTAGAATAATTTTTTAAGACTATACTTCCCCTTTTTTTATGTGGGATATCACTGTTGAGCAAGTTGTACACATACACATATATAATATGAAAAATGTTAACACAAGTTGTAAAATGGTCTTTCAGAGAGCTGTCTACTCTGGCAAAATGGAATGAGCTCAGGCTTCATCCAATAACATATGGAGGTACTGTCTGCCCATCTGTGTTCCTGTTGACATTGCTCAATGTTTTCCTTTCCAGGACTCAAGCATTCATTGGCCTTTCTGTGAAAGTATGGCTATTAGGAAAAGATACAGCTTTTAACTCATGGCCTGCACATCATTCATTAACATGAAGAATCTTATCTTTCTTCCTTGAAAAGCATAGCCCATCTGGTTTGTTTTGGGAGGAGTATACTTCTGTGCTTTGTGCAATAAAAATGATTTATCTCTTCAATAACCAGCCCAGTCACAAGCCCATCTAATGTTAATAATTAATTTTGGGGCTTTCCAGCTAACTGGAGTGAATGTTGGTCTGATTTCTTCCCTCGGGTTTTTTCTGCCTGAAAACAATCCTTCCAATACTGATTTCTTTGCACACTGGGCTGAGATTTGAAAACTTGCTTAATTACATGGCAGTGGTTCTCTAAACAGGAGTCTTTCATGTTCCATCCGTTTGCTTTGAAAAGGAAGGATTGCATCCTTATGTCTGAGGAATTACTTAAGCCCAAGGATCGAATGTTCTGTTTTACTACCTGTGTGTAAGCCCCAGAAAAAATGGGCACCAATCTTCTTTATTGTGATTTTTGGAGATTTATTGAGCGATCACCAGCTTCACAGCAAGCTGGATAGAAACAGCCATGCATGTTTGGCTTTATTTCTGGTATGTCTACTTCTTGTGTCTCACTGGGCTCAGGCACTACCCTACCACCTCTCCGTCTCTCTGTTGAATTGTAAACTTCAAAAATCCTACCACTGGGCCTACTTGCTGTTTAAACTACTTTCCTTAGGGGAAAGGACAATTGAAATTAGACCTTAAATACAGGTGATGTTCTTACATCCAAGTAATCCTAAAATTGCTCCTGTAAATATTTCTCAGTGAATACCTCCCCAGGCTTTGGGGCATATGATTATACTTTTTTGCCAATTATTAATATCCATTTATATTCAATATTTCTTGTGTTAACTGTCCTTACAAATTGTCTGGAAGCATTTTAAAAACAGTTTGTAGACATTCTCTTAAAAATATTAATTTGCACCCTCTGTAATGAAACTAGTTGTTCGAACAAAGGTTACCATCAACCCTAACATATTTTCCAATTAGGGGGCACTGCTAGGATTGGTGGAGTATAAACGAATAAAATTTTATTATGTTGGCAGAGAGAGAAAGTGAAAAAACTTTTCACTTGTAAAGACTGCATTCTTTTAATCCCTTTTTCTGCTACTATTAATATATAATATACAGGGCATCTTGGTTTGGCAATTCATTTGAAACTTTAATATTCCTATTAATACTCACTTTACCTCCAAGTCCCTTAATTTTTAGAAAGCATTTTATTTATTTATTTATTTATTTATTATTTATTTATTTACTTTGAGACAGAGTCACACTATGCCACCTAGGCTGGAGTGCGGTGGTGCAATCTTGGTTCACTGCAATCTCCACCTCCTGGGTTCAAGTGAGTCTCCTGCCTCAGCCTCCCAAGTAGCTGGGACCACAGGTGTGTATCACCACGCCCAGCTAATTTTTTTTTTTTTTTTTTGTATTTTTAGTAGAGATAGGGTTTCCTCATGTTGGCCAGGCTGGTCTTGAATTCCTGGCCTCAAGTGATCCACCCACCTTGGCCTCCCAAAGTGCTGGGATTACAGGCGTGAGCCACCGCACCTGGCCCGAAGGCATTTTTAAAATAAGAGTTTCTTCATTTCATAGAATAGCTAGAAATGATAAGTAGAAATGATTAGTTTTCATCTTGTATTTCAGGGTTTCAGTACAGTCTTTCATCCCATCATTTCTTGAATTCCTATTTTCTATCCTTCCCTGTATCATTTATTTACTGTGCAAATTTCTCTTGTTTTCAAGTTGATAAGTTCATTCTTCCTTTAAAAATAGCATGTAATATTTGATCTACACAAAATAATATATGTAACATATGGATAGGTTATGAAGTTTAGTTTTTACAAACCCCTGTATGCTCACCAACCAATTGTTCCTCTTTTACCCCATCTCTTTGCTTCCCAACATGGAGACTTCTCTCTGGAATTGTGTATTTAAAATTCCTGTATGTGTACGCATGCCTCTCTCTCTCTCTCATCTCATGCACATTCACTCTTTCTATCTAAAACCAAATAAATTTATCCTAAACAATGTATTCTTCAGTGTGTCTTGGTTTTGAGCCTTATAAAAATTGCATCATGTGTGTATTCTTCTATTTTTCTTCATGCAACATTATGTTTCTAAGATTTATCCATATTGATTTGTTTAGCTGTAGTTCATTTATTTCCACTATTGTGTGAAATTCCATTGTGTGAATATACCATTGTGTGTTGATTTTGTATCCTTCAGTTATGCTGAATTTATTAATCCTAATGATTTTAAAAATGGAGTCTTTAGAGTTTTCTACACATAAAGTTGTGTTATCTACAAATAGAGATAATTTTACTTCTTCCTTTCCAGTTTGGATGCCTTTCATTTGTTTTTCTCCCCACCTGTTCTGGCTAGAACTTCCAATACTGCATTGAGTAGAAGTAGCAAAACAGGCATCCTTACCTTGTTCCTAGTCATAGGGGAAAAGCTTTCAGTCTTTCACCATTCAGTGTGATGTTAGCTGTGCGTTTTTCATAAATAGTCTTTATTATGTTACAGTAGTTTCCTTCTATTCCTAGTTTGCTGAGGGTGTGCATTTTTTTTTTTTTTAATCATGAAAGGGTGTTGAACTTTGTCAAATGTTTTTCCTGCATCAGTTGAGATGCTCACGTTTTTTTTTCTTTACTGTGTTAATGTGTATTTCATAGATTGATTTTTCCCATTTTAAGCCATCTCAGTATACCAGGAATAAATCCTACTTCATCATGGTGTATAATACTTTTAATATGCTGCTGAGTTTGATTTGCTTAGTATTGAGTATTTTGTTGAGGATTTTTGCATCAGTATTCACCAGGAATATCGGTTTGTAGTTTTCTTTTCGTATAGTGTCTTTGTCTGGCTTTGGTATCAGGGTAATGCTGGCCTCATAGAATAAGTTAGGAAGTTAGGTCTCACAGAATGAGTTTGCCCTCCTTTTCAATTTTCTGGAAGAGTTTGAGAAGAATTGGTGTTAATTTTTCTTTAAACGTTTGGTAGAATGCACCAGTAAGGCTATCTCATCCAGGGCTTTTCTTTGTTGGGAAGTTTTTGATTACTGATTCAATCTTTTTCCTGGTTGTAGGTCTATTCAGATTTTTTTATTTCTCCATGATTCAGTCTTGGTAGGTTGTGTGTACTTAGGAATTTGTCCATTTCATCTAGGTTATCCAATTTTGGGGCATACAGTTGTTCATAGTATTTTCTTATAATACTTTTTATTTTTTAAAAATTGGTAGTCATGTCCCTGATTCCATTTCTGATTTTAATAATTTGAGTTTTTCCTTAGTCAGTCTAGCTAAAGATCTGTCAATTTTGTTAATCTCTTCAAAAAACCAACTTTTGGTCTCATTAATTTTCTTTATTTTTAAAATTCACTACAGATCTCCTCTCTAATATTTATTATTTCTGTTAGCTTTTTAGTTTAGTTTGTTCTCCTTTTTCCAGTTCCTTATCGTATAAAATTAGGTTGCTAATTTGTGATCTTTCTTCTTTTTTAATGTCAGCATTTACAGCTATAAATTTCCCTTTTAGTACTGCTTTCACTGCACCACATAAATTTTGATGTGTTATGTTTCATTTTCATTTGTCTCAAGGTATTATATTAGTTTGCTAGAATTGCCATCACAAAATGCCAGACTGTGTGGCTTAAACAACAAAAATTAATTTTCTCACTGTTCTTGAGGCTAGAAGTCCAAGGTCAAGGTGCTGGTATGGTTGGTTTCTTCTGAGTCCTGTCTCCTTGGCATGCGATGGCTCCACTCTTCCTTCCTCTTCACATGGTTCTGTCAGTGCATGTGTGCTCCTGGTGTCTCTTTGTGTGTTTGAAGTGTTTGAATTTCCTCTTCTTTTTTTTTTTTTTTTGAGATGGAGTCTCTCTCTGTCACCCAGGCTGGAGTGCAGTGGCACAATCTTGGCTCACTGCAACCTCCGCCTCTTGGGTTCAAGCAGTTCTCCTGCCTCAGCCTCCCGAGTAGCTGGGATTATAGGTGCGTGCGACCACACCCGGCTATTTTTTTATTTTTAGCAGAGACAGGGTTTCACCATGTTGGCCAGGCTGATCTTGAACTTCTGACCTTGTGATCCACCTGCCTTGGCCTCCCAAAGCATTGGGATTACAGGCATGAGCCACCGCGCCTGGCCAAACTTCCTCTTCTTATAAGGACACCAGTCAGATTGGGTTTAGATCCATCCTAATGGCTTCATTTTAACTTAATCATTTCCTGAAAGACCTCATCTCCAAACACATTCACACATTGTGGGGTACTAGGGGTTAGGGCTTCAACATAGGAATTTCAAAGCTACACAGTTCAGCCCATAACAGGTGTTTTCTAATTCCTCCTTTGATGGATTGGTTAAGAGTATGTTGTTTAATTTCCACATTTTGGTGAATTTTCTAGTTTTCCTTCTGTTATTGATTTCCAGTTCATTCCTATTATGATTGGAAAAGATACTTTGTATTACTTCAAATTTTTAAAAATTATTAAAACTTGTGTCCTAACATATGGTCTATTCTGGAAAACGTTTCATGTGCACATTAGATAAAAGTGTATTCTGCTATTGTTGGGTGGAGTGTTTTGTATATGTCTGTTAGGTCCAATTGGTTTATAATGTTGTTCAAGTCTTCTGTTTTGTTATTGATCTTCTGTCTGGCTATACTATCCATTATTAACAGTGAAGTATTGAAGTCTTCAACCATTATGGTAGAGTGATTTTTCCCTCCTGTTTTGTCAGCATCATATATTTTGGAGCTCTAATGTTTGGTGCATATTATTTGTAGTTGTTATAACTTCTTGGTGAATTGACTCTTTTATCATTATATAATATTTTTCTTTGCCTCTTGTAACGGTTTTTGTCTTAAAGTCTATTTCGTCTTAACTCTCTTTTGGTTACTACTAGCATTGAAATATCTTTTCTCATCCTTTCACTTTCAACCTATTTATGTCTTTTGATCTACAGTGCATCTCTTGTAGACAGCATATAATTGAACTGTGTGTATGTGTGTGTGTTTTAAAATCCATTCTGCCACTCTTTGCCTTTTGATTGGAGAGCTTAGTCCATTTACACTGATTTTGTTTAGTTATTTATCCATGTTTTGCCAAATGGCTTTGTGCTGGGTCAATCCTTCATAACTGGCTGGGTGTGCCTTGAACCTAGAGACCAGCATGAGGTGAGTGCTTACAGTCTTCTCAGATGTTTTCTGAGCATGCATCTTGCTTGATCATGTTTGTGTTTTTTTCGGTTTTTCAGTACACTTTTCAATATTTTAATTTCCCAAAGAGTCTCATTCAAACTTCACCTTGGTGCCTTAGATGGACTGTGGTCTATCTTTACCCATAATCTCTTTCCTGAGAAGTCTGTGAATCTGTACTCTCCCTGTTCTGTGACTCTATCTCCTGAAAATGTGTGCATAGGGCCACTATGCAAAGCTGTGCTGAACTTTGCACTGTATTTTTTCTGTGTTACGTTACACTTAAAGGGCTGACCTTGCTCATACAGAATGATGCCAGACTCCCAGAGGCTCTGACTGTACACGGGTGAGGAATCATAGTCTCCTTCCAAGCCTTCTGAAAAATTGCCCATGAGAGCTGGCAGCTTCCTTACTCATGTTTCTTCCTCAGATCTGCCTTCTGTCTATGGGAAACATGTTTGGCTGTGTTCTGTGTGGTTGCTTTTGGGGTAAACCTAGCCTTACCACTGCCTGCTAGTTTGCTTTTTCCTCCTGGAAAGGCAGCTTGGGTCAGTGAAGCCAGGATGAAAACAGGCCGCAAACAAGAGTCCCTGTCAGAGAGAGGGAGAGAGAAAGAGAGGAGAAGAGAGAAGAGTACATAGGGATACAGAAAGAGAAATAGCGAAGGGAGGAGATAGGGATAGAGAAAGAGAAAGAGAGAAAGAAACAGACAGGTGAAACCTTGCTAGTCAGCCTGCTGGGCAGAGGGGGCTACAGGAGGGCTGGGTTCTGTTGGCTTGCTGTGGCTCCCCATGACTGCTGCTCCATGCAGAGTACATCTGTACAGAGGGTACCATGCCTGGCACAATCCTCAGGCTGGGATGTGTTGCCTTCTGGTGGGAGGGAAGGGCTGGGGGATGGCATCAGGTGCTGGACACATGTTGGCCCTGCCCTCAGCAGCTGGGAGCCTATCCTGAGTCCCATTTGCTCCTTTTAAAATGAGGATAATATTATCTACCTTCAGGGTTATCATGAAGGTTAAATGAGATAAAAAAGGTGATAGCTTCAGCAAGAGCCTAACATAGAAAGTACTTGCTTAAATGACCATGGTTGTTATTAATACTCATCAACTAAAATCCTGGTAATAATATGGTGGGGAAAAGGCCTTTTGTCTACAGGATACTTCAGAGATACTGTCAAGCAATTGGGACAGAGAGTGAAGGGCCCCAAGTAGAAGGCCTAAACCCGCTTCTGCTGTCTGCGGCCTGTCTCTTGCCCTGGAGATACTTCCCATGAGGGACCCCTCCTGGTCACTGCTGCATAGGCTCTGTTACAGAGAAGGCCTCATTGCTCAGCTTGGTTTTCCCACAGCTGATCTCCAATGTTACCAACCACTGGGGTCCTTCCTGTTACAGACCTCCTGACCTGGGTGTAGAGGGACCACCAGCTGCCTTCCTGCCCTCTGACTTCTGCTTGATTTATTTTGGTCCCACTCCCAGTCTGGCCCTGTCTTGATTTCTCTTGGTCCCACTCCCAGGCTGGTCCCACTCCCAGCAGCTCTTTTACACGGCTCTGCATGGCTGATGCCATCTGCCACCTGCCCTCTGTCCTGAGCCATTGGCTCTCGACCTTCCTGCCTGCTCTGTGGTCTTCCTGAGTGGTGCCTGGGAAAGAGCCTGCATATGACTTGAGCAGGCATCCCTTGGAGAATCTGTGGATGTGAATTTGGTCATGCACAGGTTAAGGCAGTGAAAGCACTTTGTATTCCTTGTTACCGGCTCTGTATCATCTTGTCCAGCAGAACTGACCTCAGCAATGGCTGCATAAATGGTGCCTATGTGGCACAGGGCCTAAGAAAGACTGAGGGCAAACCTCTTCCTCCATGCCTGGTACCCCAATCACCACCTCCCCAAGCTGTCATTTGCACTAACCACTGTCTCTTTTTTGGCCTTTAAAAATGTAAATTCTTTTGGAAGTGTTCATATATTAGGTACTCAATATTTTCAACATTTTTTAGCTCATTTTTTGTCAATATGATGATATAAGCATCATAGGATTGTTAAGTGTTTTGATCTAGAAAGAACCAAGGGATCTAGGGATGAGGAAGCTGTTGAAGAAGAGGGCAGAAGAGGCAGAGGCATGGGCAAGAAACTGTTTCCATCTCACAGTCTGACATGAACCTGTCTTATTAATAATCATGGTAGCAAGGGTTCTTGACAATGGTGGATCTGCCTCAGATCCATCAATTCTGGCTGTTTAAAACTTACTGTTTGAGGATTTTAAACATGGCTGATACCGAGGACTAGTGGGGATAGCGGTTTGTTCCTGCCTGTAACTGAAACAGGGAGTAATGGGGACAGGCTCTCTTCCAGCAAAAGGACCATGGGCACCAAGAAACTTCTTGATCCAGTGACCTCACGTCTAGGAATCTATCCTAAGGAAATAATTAAAGGCACACACAAAGAGTTATCTACCAGGACTCACATAGTGTTTGTTATTTACCCAGGTGAAAAACCAGAAATCCCCTAAATTTCCATCAACAGACAGATGGTCAGGCATAATTTGATGATCCATGTAATGGAATATGATGGCTGGCATTTAAAAATCACATTGTAGAAGAATAGCTAATATTTGATAACCTGTGAAATGCTAATGAGATAGCTGAGCTGAACAATTAGAGGACAAGGCAATTTGTATACGTGAATATGTATATGTGTGAATGTGTGTCTCTGCACTCATATGTATGAATCTGACCTGAAAATATTCATTTATATGTAGGAAAAGAACATTGAAAGGAAATTCTCTAAATGTTAACATTGGGTATCTCTGAATTATAGAATTATGTACAGTTGCAGTTGTTTTATGTGTTATCTTCTGTAATTTCCTTTAAAATAAGTATAAATGTATAGGCATTTATAAGCTTATAAATGCTTATAAATGTATAGGCACATAGGGATTTTGTAAATGTATATACAGAGTTTATTGAGACATGGGGGAAATCAGACAATGTGGAAATTAGTAAAACTAGACAGTGCCCAGTCTTAGACTGAAGTCAGAAAAATGTCAATGGGATTTCTTTTTTCAGAAGAGGAAAAGTCAGGAATAATATAGATCTCATCAATATTTTCTACCTTATTGAAGTCAAAAGGAGAAAAAATTGGGCTTTCAGCTTTGTGGACCACCATTTTTATTTTCAACCTCTGGAAAATGTTTTTGGGCAATCCTGCATCTTCTCTACATGTGATCTGTGAGCTCTCTGGATCACAGGCCAGGGATTCTATCAAGCAACAGGGCCCCAAGGCCTCCTTGGTGCTTCCCCTATTTGCAGAGAGGAATGGATTTGGAACATTGAAAATGGTATCCGGATGGTGTTAAGTTTAAATTGGAATGGCCCAAAGTCTCTTTAGGAAATTGCCTGGTGAAACTCATTTTATTTTTGGATTTTTAGAAATATAATTACATAAAAAAGCTCAGAAATGATTACCTATATGCTTAACTACAATTATAAAATACTTTGTATACACAAAGTGCATAAATGTAAGTGTTAAACAGTAATAAAAATCAGCCAGATGTGGCCACCACAGAGAAGATAAAATGGACTTTGGATTTTTCCCCATTTCTAATTTTCCTTCTTAGTGGCAAGAAGGTAAATCCTCCACATTGTGCGATGTGGTGCTGCTGTGGGCTGTTTTGAGACCCCATGGGTCATGCTTTCCAAGGAGCAATAGCGCCTCCACTCTCCTGGGCACTCTCCTGAGCACTCTCCCTCTCCTGAGGGTCTCCTGACCCTCTCGTCAGAGGGTTGATATTGAGTCTATAAACATTATTGATTTAATGATTTAGAAAACTTGTTTTATTTGAGTTAAAAAGCCAATCTCATGCAAAAAAGCTATGATTACTAGGTTTTAACCCATTCATTATTAAGTGTGTATGTATGTATTTGTTTTTGTGACAGGGTCTTGGTCTGTTGTCTAGGCTGGAGTGCAGTAGCACAACCTCAGCTCATTGAAGGTTTGACCTCTCAGGCTCAAGCAATCAATCCTTCCACCAGCCTTCCCAGTAGCTGGGACTACAGGAGTACACCACCACACCCGGCTAATTTTTGAATTTTTTTAGAGACAGGGTTTTGCTATGTTGCCCAGGCTGGTTGTGAACTCCTAGGCTCAAGCAATCCACTTGCCTTGGCCTCCCAAAGTGCTGAGATTACATGTGTGAGCCACTGTGCCCGGCTCATTATTGAGTATTTATTAAGAACTTACTTTGAACTGGGTGCCACTTACAGTACCAAATAAAACAAGATGAAAACATGGCAGCCATTCTTAAGGAGCTCACAGTCTAATGAACCTCAGTGAATCAATATCCACAATCTATCTTTATGTTTTCCATTTACATCTCCTTAGTTAATGTAAGAAAACCAAGGATTTTTGTTTCTTTTTTTAAAGCAAGAGGGTCTCCTCCAGGCTGGAGTGCAGTGACTCCATCATAGCTCACTGCAGCCTTGACCTCCTGGCCTCAAGTGATTCTCCCACCTCAGTCTTCCAAGTAGTTAGGACTACAAGTGTGCACCACTATGCCCAGACAATTTTTTATTATTTTTATTTTCCATAGAGATGGGGTCTTGCTATGTTGCCCAGGCTTGTCTTGCACTCATGGCCTCAATCAATCCTCCCACCTTGCTGGGACTACAGGTTGGAACCACCATGCTTGGCCTTGTTTTCTTTTAATCTACATTGCATGACTGAGAAAATGGAAGCTCAGGGCTCAATAATGGGAGGGAGGTCACCGTCTCCGTAACACTCAGCTCCCCTAGACCACCCCAGGGAGCATCAGAAAACATCTGGTTGTTTGGTCCACTCACTGTGACATTTTCTAAATGTACCTAGGGAGTTACAGTTACAGATTTATAGTTATGGGAAACAGGGGTGGGAGGATCTCAACTATAAGCCAGTTTGAGCAGCTAAAAGCATGCTAATTATTAAATCTCTTGGGCAGAGAGATTCTTCCAAATCTCTCTACCTTCATCTGGCAAAGTTAAACCACCTACTTTGTAATTCTCTCTCCTGCCCTGCTGACCTCTACTGGCCGTTAAGTCTCTGAGGAGAGTCCTCAATTACCTGTGTTCTCCATGGGAAGTGGCCCAGTGCTGCCCAGAGATGACGCCCAGCGGATATTCACTGGCCCCAGACAGACTCCTTTTCTGACTTCCCAGAGGCATGGTGCTGGTGTTAGACACAACTCAGGGGCCCATGTTTTATTCATCCACAGAAGTCTTATTGTCTATCTCACAGGTGAATGCTTGAATGAGAAAGAAGCAAGCAAAAATATTTTTCTTAAAATTTCTTCCTTTGTTGTGCATTCGTGATCAGAAAGAATTACTGTTATTTCCCTAGGTGAATGTTTCATAGCATCTACAGCATCTCTACCTGGCCTGGGATCCTGTAAGAAAGGCAATGCATCAGCATATAAAATGACATATTCTCAGTGATCAGGAACGAAAATTGTTCCTACAACTTCTCATGGAAAGCTGGTTGTCTTTTAACATCATGTGTCCTTTAATGAGGGTGACCATACATGCCGGTTGTGGTTGTGCAGTTACTTCCTTTTCCACAAGCTCCTGATTTAAATGATACATTTATGGTGGTCCTTCCATATGGCAGGCAGGCCAGTGTGGTGGAGGACCATCCTGCCCAGTGCAAACCTTTGCTTTGCTTCAGTTGTGGCTGCTGTCCTTGGAGAGCTTCCTCCTTGCCATTCTGATTGTCGTCTCATTCCAACCCCTTGGTCCTGATTTGTTCTGTTTGGTCTTCCAATGGACGCCATTAGGATATTTTAAATGTGAACTGCTTGTGATTTTAGGAAATAGAATTTTCTGCCTACAAAAGCACCAATGAGACTCTGAATGTTTTTTTGTTTTGTTTTTTTTTTTTTTTTTGAGACAGAGTCTCGCTCTGTCACCCAGGCTGGAGTGCAGTGGTGCAATCTCGGCTCACTGCAACCTCCGCCTCCCAGGTTCAAGCAATTCTCTGCCTCAGCCTCCAGAGTAGCTGGGATTACAGGCACCCACCACTATGCCTGGCTAAATTTTTTTTTTTTTTGTATTTTTAGTAGAGGTGGGGTTTCACCACGTTGGCCAGGCTGGTCTTGAACTCCTGACCTTGTGGTTCACCCGCCTCAGTCTCCCAAAGTGGTGGGATTACAGGCGTGAGCCACCGCGCCCGTCCCTCTGAATGTTTTTCTTGATGAGAAGCTCTGCATGAAATAGCAAAGGTGGCCTGAATCTCCTGCTAATGCAAAAGTGAGCCTAAAAGTGTCATCCCATAGTATTTGGTCTCCTGTGCGAGTTTCTGCCATGCATTTTCAATTGAGTTGGGGAGAAGAGGTCTTTCTTATGGTGTCTTCTAAAACTTCAGCCTTTTACAATTCAGACAGACCCTTAGGCAAATTTCCTTGTAAGATTTATCACTGAATCTTGGGCACATTCTTGAATCTAGCACCTGAGTGCTGGGAACACATACATTATTTCTGTGTTGGTGATTCTGTTTCCTACCCTGTCTCTTTCAGGTCTCACTCTTCTTTGCCCCAGATGTCCAGCTCCAGGTCTAAAGATTCCTGCTTTACAGAAAACACTCCTTTGCTGAGGAATTCCTTACAGGAGAAAGGGTGAGATATTTTCCCCCTCATATGAAAGTAAGAGTTTCTGAGCATTGCACCTGGCATGTATGCTGGAGAACTTGAGACACGAATTTTTATTGGACATGTTTAACCTCTGCCAGATCCTTGACAATTTATTGTAGTAGATGTTCATGATTCCGGTGGTTATATTCTGTGGATATTAATTTCCAGATGGCCTTGAGCATAACCCTGCAGCAACTGCACAGCACACACGCACACTCATGCATGCACAAAGCTCTGATGGGCTGTCTTACCAGGCTGGGGTTTCTCAGCTAGGGGTGAGGTTGGCATTGTCTGGAGACACTTTTGGTTGTCACACTGAGGGCTGAGATGCTTCTGGCATCTAAGGGTAGAGGCAAGGGATGCTCCAAACATTCTGCAATGCACAGGACAGCCCCCACCACAAAGAATTATCCAGCACAAATGTCAGTAGTGATGAAGTTGAGAAACCCTGTATATGTGTTTCACAAGAAAACTCAATTTCCTGCAAACTTGCAGGTCCTTTTTGGGCACAAATCAGGGTGGTTCTGGAATTGCCTGAGGAGAGCTGTCCTGGAGGGCAAGTTACAGATGCTTCCTTCTGGGATGAAGGGCCTTGGGCCAGGCCTGCAGCCTCAATCTTCTTTTCTTTCTGCAAACAAACCGCCAGAAGCCTGAGCCGCCTGCTCCATGTTTCCTGGCTCCTTGAACGTCACAAACTTGGTGACATTGTCACTGTCAAACTGAAATAATAAAAAATATCAGAACCCAGTTTAAAATTATTTATTCAAGCACAAAGCTGAGGATAGCCATTTGGGAAACACAGAATCCAAAGGAATGGGATCAGTGCTCCAAAGCTGAAAAGTTAAGGTCTTATTCTTATCCATATAGGCAGAAAACAAAGAAATGTAGAAGGACTACATTTTCCATACATGGCTGGTTTATGAGTTACAGCAATTTGATTAGTTACAGCTTCCCCCCTCCCCCAATTTAAAAGAGTATATTTGACATTCCATGTTAGACAATGTGATAGTCATGAGGTCTTTGTGTGAGAGAAGAAAGAAGGAAGTTAATCTGTCAATGAAGATCAACAGTGAAGAGGGAAGGGGTCTTCTCTCGTGCCCGGTAGTCTTTTACAACATTTTACAAAACAATGTAGGTAAGGAAAAAGGCAAATCTAGAATCAGAGAAAAGGCCACAGCTGCCTTTTATGTGACTCTTTTCATAATCACATTCTTTTAAGACTCAAAATAATTTAAAGTTTCAACAGCTTTGATTTTGAATCACTTATTTGCACATCATGGATTCTCCTTTCCCTGCCCACTGATGGTGTGTACCTGCATTGACAGGAGGGCTGCTGTGTCTTCTTCACTCACCTCTGAGCTTCCGAGGAGCTGCCTCCTCTCTCCCCAGCCCAGTCTGCAGCCAGGGCAGGGACCAGGGCTTCGCACTTTAGGGGTGCTTGCATGCCATGTGCATTCCTGTCCTCAGCCTCCAAATACTCTGGCTCCCGGGATTTGGATGGTATGCAGCCATCTGGGTTTATCATTTCTCAGTGCAGGGATGATTTGTTCACATGAAGCCCTTGACTAGAGGAAACTCCTTCACTCTCTGGCTCTCCAGGCAGTCAGTCCTACTCCTGTCAAGGGCATTCAAATGTCACTTCCTTTGAGGACCCTTAGTTGTCTCTGCCCCACCCACCAAGAGTCAGTGCTTCTCCTGTGCTCTCAAACACTACATTCATGCCCTTACTTCCAAACTAGCCCCTGTGCTATCTATGGTTATGTTGGCCAGCCTGTCCCCTCTTCATCGTACATCCTGGCACCTAGTACAGTCCCTGCCACCAGCCCCTCAGTGACTGGATGGGTAAGGAGTGTAAGCTGAGGCACTTCCACTGACCCAGCTGCTTCAAGCTTCTGTACTGGTGGATAACTGAATTCTCCTCCATTGCTCCTAATCAATAACTTTTAAGACAAAAACTTTACGCACCTATTCCCTTAATGCTTTCTCTTGAATTACTTGGTAAATTGTGAAGGCCTGTGACATTTTAGAACTTGCAATTCATTGGAAAACCATTAATGTGTAAGCATTTTTTCTGGCATGCAGAGCAGAGACATGCCCTGGGAGGCCGAGCTGGGCCTCATGTCACAAAAACCATTTCAAGGGAGTAGAACATGGGTCAGCTTTGCTTACAAAACGTTTTCCTTTTCTCTTTTTGCATGAAGCTAATTAAGGTATTGGTGGTAGGAATGTCTTTTTCATGCTTTACTTTTATCAACTTTATTTTGTTGCAGTTTTAATTTGATCAAATGGCTTATTAGGATAATATCCATTGATTTATATATTTTCAGAAGTATTCTTTTAAGGGTGTTGACAGCAGGAACGTGTGGTACAAAGGTCAAAGCATGCCCTGTATCTGAACTGACAACTGGTAGCCACTCTTCACAGATGTTTATTTAAATTTAAATTAATTAAAATTAAAAATTCACTTCTTCAGTTGCACTAGCCACACTTCAAGTGACAAATAGCACATGTGGCTGCCATATTGGACAGGGAAGCGAACATTTCTATCACCACAGAAAGTTCTATTGCACAGCACTGCTCTAGAAGGCAATGACATTAACTTGCTTCCCTCTGTCTTCTTATAAGAAAAGGTTTTTTTTTGTTCCAATTTTGTTACAGTTGTGTTTTTTTCAGCAGTTGGTGTGATATTATTTCTCACACACCTGAGCATTTTCCAGTCACAAAATTGATAGGATTATCGACTATTTTCAAAGTCATGTGTTATCTTGTTACACATTGGTTATACACAGCCTAATTGGCATCTCTACGCTTCTTCTGAATAACATTTTTTCCTTGTGAACCACTTCTAAAGCAGTCATAAGTGTTCAGGAGAATCACAATGCCCCATTGAGCTGGCTCCATTCTAGTGTGTCACAGATCACATCTGTTAACGTCAGTATTGTGAGCCCATGAATATTCTATATGATACATGAAAATTCTGGCTTTTGGTACAAACTTTTAAGAGTCAAGTGCATCTAAACTGAAGGAACTGATCAGGTCAGGGATTCAACCAAAAGTAAATGGAGGCTCTGTACAGTGGCTCATGACTGTAATCCCAGCACTTTGGGAGGCCAAGGTAGTCAGATCACTTGAAGTCAGGAGTTCGAGACTAGCCTGGCCAACATGATGAAACCCCATCTCTACTAAAAATACAAAAATTAGTTGGGCATGGTGGTGCACGCCTGTAAGCCCAGCTACTGGGGAGGCTGAGGCAGGAGAATCGCTTGAACCTGGGAGACAGAGGTTGCAGTGAGCTGAAATTGCGCCACTGCACTCCAGCCTGGGTGACAGAGCAAGACTCTGTCTCAAAAAACAAAACAAAACAACAACAACAACAAAAATCCCAAAAGTAAACGGATGTGTTTTCAAGTAATTCTGAGAAAAGTTTATGATTCCCCTTGAGTCATCTAGATATAGGCCCCATTTTTGGCCTGTATAGTCAGGTACGAATGTTCCCTCTTCCTGCTCATGCTTCTGTGGATGTTGTGTGGGAAGCCAGGTAGGCCACCTTCCCTACAGCTCCACTGCAGAAAGAGATCTACACAGAGGAGGAAAAACTGACACCACTCACCCTGGACAAGTCTCCCAGATCTAGGTATTGACTACTGGAGTGCATGCAGTGAAAAAGCCAACGCTGAAATCAGCGGGAACTGGTCTGAGCCAGAAACAGCTTTCTTGGAAAGTCCCAAACTCAGAAAAAGCTGGTTTCTTGAAGGCCCACAATTCATTTTGAAGACTTTAATGACTCCAGAAAATTTCCTTTGACCTAAGTGTTCTGAGAGGTCACAAAAAAACCCATTCCCACCAGTATGAGAGTGCACCACTGTCTGTGGTCCTTTGAAAGACCAGGGTTGATTCGGTGCCATTTCACACAGTCAGAACTCAGAGGAAAGCTTGCTTTGTAGCCATTACTATTTCAGGAGAGATAACCACACCTCTCTTGCTTTCCAGGTCACGGTGCATACCTGTTTACCATCCAGAGTTCATCACTGCTGAAGAGTCTTGGGAAGACAGCTCTGCTGACTGGGAGCGAAGATACCTGCTAAGCAGGGAGGTGTCTGGTCTGTCTGCATCTGCCTCCTCCGAGAAGGGAGACCTTCTGGACAGCCCGCACATCCGACTCCGTCTTTCCAAGCTGAGGTAGGCGGACTTGGGGTGCCCACCCTGGCAGCAGCGGTGGCCGCACATCGCGTCCTACATGGCCCCTCCATCTTTCAAACCAGCAGCGTGAAGAAGAGGATGAGTTTTGTCTCATCTGGCCAGGCTGCACTTTTCCTCCAAGGTGATTTATTTTTACCTGGGCCTAGGGAGACATTTAAGACCTCCTGCAAATCATGCAGCGCCGGAGAGGACAAACCTAAATGATTGACACAGTACACTCCTCTCCTTCCTGCTTGTGTGGCTGGGGTCTTCATGGCCATTAGGTTTGCAGATAGGATCTGTTTGCTTCAGGCGTCCCCGTGGCGTTTTGGAATTTGATATACCTTTGTAGTTATTGACGAAGGAGTGGGTCTGGCCCAGCGCACAGCCTGAGGGGTGGGGTTCCCTTCTGTGCTGTGGGCTCCAGAAACCTTGTTAAGGCTGGAAACATTTTAGAACTTACAATCCGTTGGAAAACCATTAATGTGTAAGCATTTGTCCGGGGCACACGGAGCACAGAGCCATGCTTGGGGAAGCAGAGTTGCATAGAGAAAGTGGATGGTGCACATGCCTACGGGAGCAATGGGTGGGGAGGGGATGCGCATGCGTAGGGGGACGGCGGGCGTGGGAGTGGGAGTACGCATGCGTGTGTAGGCCTAGGGCGCGCATGCGTGGGAGGCCGAGCGTGTGCGCGGGCAGTAGCGCTCTCACCTTACTGGCCTATTTATCTAATGGGTTTCCTCCCATGCGCCCGTTCATTTGAAAGGGTTCTTTTGAGAGGGACATGTTTGAAAGCATCATTTCCAGGACAGAACAAGGTTTTGGAGCCGGGACCAGTGGGCTTCCATTCTGGATCCGACCTGAAGTCGCTGAGCGCCCATCGCAGGGCCTTGCCTGGCCACGCGACGGTACCCTGTCACGCGATGCCCTCCTGGCTTTGTGGCCTCTCACGGGCCTACACTAAGATAATATGTGTGAAAGCCCTAGAAAAGTGAAAAAACACTACTTAGTCATCAAATATTAGCGTCACCGTGTCTCTGTGTGTGGGGACCAGTCTTTTCTGAAGATGCTCGCGGTTGGTTGGAAGTGTACCCGCCTGCACGCTCCAAGTGCACCTCCCGGGGTGCGAAGAGGCCCGCCTCAGACTCCCTGAGGTGCGTAGGGATCCGCTATCCTATACATCTTCCCAACAATCCTGGGAGGTACACGGAGGGTACCTCAAGGAGGATAAGGCTTTTGCCCAAGGCCACACTGAGCCAAGCCAAGGGGCAGGGATTCGACCCTAGATCCCCCACATCGCTGCTTTACATGGAGCTGTCTCTTCCCACTGTGACTCTCAACGGCCTGTAGCTTCTTCCTGATGAGAAGAAGGGGTCTCAGCCCCCCTCGTGGGTGCAATAAACATTTGGCCAATGAATCCGCTATGAGATTATGTGAGTTGGGTGAAATTGTGTGAGTGGGGTTCTGGCGCCATGGGTCAACAAGATGGCAAACGCTGACACTGTTCATGCCTTTTCCCAGCTGGACGGGTAACCACTCCTGAGGATGCCGTGTCCTCAGCTGTCCCACAACATGGAAAAATAGAATCAAGTACATTTGAGACTTTTGCATTCAGTACTTGTTTTATCTTCTATGATTCATGGAATATTTGCCTTTGAGCTTGCCACTGAACTAAAAGACGTTAGCTCCATTCTTTATAACATGTCTAAAAAGTACCATGCGTGATCAGTGAAGAATCTTGTAAAAAACCTTTTATTTTGGGTTGTCAGCTCTGCTGCAGATGTCAGTTACGTAGAAAGAAATTTGTATTTAGAATAGCTCAATTAATGCTTCATGCTTTAAAAAGAAATGTCATTTTGATTCCTATTTAAGTAGGAGCTGTTGAATCGTAATTGGGAAGCGTGAACTGATTATTCATCAAATTCATTAAATCTAAGAGAATGCAAAACAAGATTTTACCATTTTCAAAGGATCAGAAAGAAGGTTTTCAAAGACAGATGCAACTTAACTAAGTGAGGAGAGTATTAAAAAGATGTTCCAACATAGAGTTTCTTATTTCATTCTACACACATACATCAAGCATGGGCTATGTACCAGCATCCTTCCATGTGTGGGGACAAAGCAAAAACGCTCTAGTGCCTGCCCTCACGGAGCAGCCGGTGGGAGAGCACAACCTGGACTGGGCAGTGATGGTGCCATTGGGTGATGGGGTCTGGCTGCTGAGTGAGCAGAGAAGGGCATGACAGGAGGACTGCAGTCAGGGAGCATCCCGGCAGGCAAAGGCCCTGTGGTCCGGTCTGGGAGCAGCAAGGACGTTGGTAGGATGGAAGGGCAGCAGAGTGCAGGCCAGGCCCAGGTTCACATAGGGCCTTGGGGGTCATGGTTAAGAAATGGGTAATGGTAAGGGGGCCGGGATGGCTTTGGAAGTCCTTGGTAGGGGCTGAGTGTGTGGCTTGATGGTTAATTAAGTTATCGCCTAAGGAATTCTTAACAGACTGCTGGTACAACCAGTAACGGCATAGCAATTTCTTTCTTAAGTTATTTGTTTTTGTATTTGATGATCAAATCTGTATTCCTACCTTTCAGAAAACTTAGGGGAAAATAATTGATAAATATGAATCAGAGAGACAAGATAAGGCATTCAGTTTACTTTTTTTCCAGGAAACAGGAGCCTTTAAACAGCTATCAAAAAGTCTCAAATCTTGAACTTTAGTTTCCCCAACAACAAGCTATGTGCAAACACTTTGGTTAACTTTGTTCTCCTCTGGAACCTCCACCATGCTCCTTTGGATGGGGCTGTGGGTTTACTGGTCACTGATATGAGGGTGTTCTCCCTCATATCATGTTATGGAAAGAATTCAAAACACATGCTTTGAGATGGAAGTTACTCAAGGCTGCAGAAAAGTGTCTGAGTCTGGGCAACAGGACTGCTGCCCTTGCCACTAAGGCCCTACTTTTTCTCTTGCAGGCGCTGTGTGCAGTGGCTGAAAGTCATGGGCCTGTTTGCCTTTGTGGTGCTGTGTTCTGTGAGTACCTTAGCTGCCCCAGCACTACTGTTGGGTCCGTGGAAGCCCT
The DNA here is from genome assembly GCF_000001405.40 of Homo sapiens. Lineage (NCBI taxonomy): Eukaryota > Metazoa > Chordata > Mammalia > Primates > Hominidae > Homo > Homo sapiens. The sequence continues at coordinate 159,094 of NT_187660.1, read as the reverse complement.
GTGTGCCTTTGGCTGTATAGCAGGGGGAACCTGAGGTGTGGGGCTCAGTGCCTGGCCCTCTTCGCCTGATTCTCTGACTGTCTTTGGAGGAGATGCTGAGGGTTGTGGGGCAGCGGGCTGAGGGGGTCGAGGCCGCAGCTGTGCTCCTCTGCTGTGGTCCCAGTCACACGGCAGAAGCCGGGCAGCATGTTGTTGCCATATGGAAGGTCGGGTAGCTGGCTGTGGGGCTCCCTTCCCCCTCGAGTGGCTTACCACTTCCCTGTTCAGCCCTGGACAGTAGCACTCTTCATGTGTGTTGGAACACATCTGGAGATCGTGGATAGCCCAGAGTGTCTCAGCACCCCTTTGAGATTGTGCCCTGGGCCTCTGCCCAGCGGTAAGTGTTGAAGCTCTGAGGTTTGCCCCCTCTGGGGAGGTGTCTCTGATTTTATTTGCCCAGACATCTCCATCCTTTCAAATACATGAACATTCACAACAGACTCATTCTGGAGCCAAACCAACGTGAGATGCCCTTGTAGGGAACAGAGTGTGGGAACGAGGGGAGGGCGAGGGCTGCTCTGGTGAGCCCATGGCAGTGGGCGGTGCTGTTCTTCATTGGAGGGGTCCTAGCAGATGGACCCATCAAGGGAAAGGCACAGGAGCCCGAGCAGGGAGCCAGGGCTGCAGAGACACCTCTGTGCCCTCCGAGGCGACAGTCACAGGTCCCACTGCCAGCCTTGGTGTGCTTTGTGGCCTGATGTAGCCTGAGCCAGGGTCACATAGCGGCACTCAAAATACATTTGCCCAATGAGTGGGTGTGTGGTCTCCTGTCTGGTTGTGTGTCTGTGTGTGTGCAGGTGAGTATATGGTCTCCTGTCTGTGGCTGTGTGTCTTCGTGTCTGCACGTGGGTGTATGGTCCCCTGTGCCTGCTCTATGTCTGTGTGTGTGCACCATTGTGAACTGTGTAGGTTGTGTGTGGTCCCCTGTGCCTGCTGTATGTCTCTGTGTGTGCACCTGTGTGAGCTGTGTAGGTTGTGGTCAGTGACCATGATGGGTTGTGCCTGTGCTTTGCGGAGTTATTTTGGGTGAGTGCCACTTTTGAGTGTTGCTCCAAGATGGTGTGCATGGGCAGTTGCTGGGAGACCACAGTGGGTGGTAGGTGCTGCTGTGATGGGGGTGTGACTGTGGTTGTGGGCAAGGGTGGGTCTGAGCTGTGTTTCATGATGTGCACCAGCTTAGGGGGTGGTGTGCTCTCCCACGCAGCCTGCCCTGGTGACAGGGTCCCCTGTGCATGAGATGTGTGGCTGTTGCTGGCTGTTTCGTGACCTGCACGCGTGGCATGTGTGTTGTGGCTCTGCGTGCGTGCAGGAATGTCTGTGGCCCTGGGTCCGCTCTCAGCTGTGACATGTGGACAGCAGGGTGGTGTACGAAGTCAGTGCTGATTGCATTGAGCTGAGTACAGTCAACTTCTTAATAACCAACCCATGAGGGAGGAGATCTGTGACCCAGAGAAAGGAAACCTATGCTAGAAATGGAAAACCAATTACATTGAGCTCTGAAAGCATCACGATTTGATATTTTTGGCTACCAATTTGCTTCCCCACTTCCTACTCACATGAATGTGTGTTTCTGAAGCCCTGCTGCTCAGCAGGGCCTGGCAGGTGCTCTGAGATTTCAAAGGAACCGGGCAGGGTGGGCCAGGTCTCCCCTGGTCCCCAAGAGCTGACCTGAGCTCTGTGTCCAGTCTTCAGCCTTCTTCTGTGAGATGGAGTTTAGGTGATTTGTGGAGATATCCAAAATAGAATTTGAGGAATGATTTGAACTTCTATAATCTCATGTTATCATCAGTTTAATTTACTTTTTGATGGTGTATAAGGTGCTTTGCAAATTTCACAAACACCTGCTACCACAAACACATGCTCTAACCATCACAGGGGTCATATGCCTTTATTCTCCATTGTGAGAAAACCACATTTATCCTTCTTCGATGATTTAATTTTATGGCCAGGCATTTAATCCTTAAATTTGGCAGGTATCAATAATCAGGGCCCATTGTAGCTGAACACTGTAATGAATCAGAATATTATAATATTTAAGACAAAGCTATTCAGAGTAAGCTGGCGCGTACTGGATGCACACAGTAGCCCCATCATCACATCTGTTTTCGACTGTTATCAAAATGATTTATACCTTACTGCTCTCATACCACACCTCTGTCATTCAACGTTTCTGATTGTTACAGATTTTGTTCAGCCTATATCCGGATCAAGGAAAGCTCTGGCAGCTGTTGGCCTTATCACCGCTGGAGAACTACTGTATCCAAAATCCACTCTGAGATGGCCAGCCGCCTGGCTGAGATCTGAAACACAAGGAGACACTTGCAGACGGTTGTGACTGCTGCTGAAGGCCACGGCACAGGCCATTACCACTCGAATTTTGTTTCTCCAGGATGTCTGATGAGAGATGGAGTCTCAGGACAGAGGGGCGGGGAGCTCCAGGGAGACAGTGGCGGGGTTGGTGGTGGAGCTCTCCGAGTGAGGAAGGGGGACAGCAGGGCACATTCCAGCCAGGACCTGGCTTTCCCTAGCTCCCCGATACTCCTTTCCTCCCCCGTCTCTTTTGCGTTCAGCGTGACCCATCTTCCAGTCCCTGCTGTCCTGGCTGTGTCACCTTGCTCTGATGACTGCTGTGGCACCTCCTACTGTGCTTGCTCTGGCCTTCTTGCATGCCTCAGAATTTTTAGTTAGAAGTCATACACATCCTGTAGGATAGTAGATACAGAGGCCAGTGGTGTTTAAGCTTGGAGATGAGCATGCCTTGACTTCTGCAGGCATTAGTTGGAGGGTTCATGTAAATCTAGTGAGAATCTGGCTGTGTTGAGGTTTGCGGTTGCTGTGGCAACCTGCGGTGCACTAGACACTCAGAATTACCGGGCGCCCTGCCAGCTGTCTGCCAGACCTTGCTCTATGCCCACCCCTCCCACTGGGGTAAGAGCTACTTTTTCCCCTCCTACCTTCTCATGGCTGCAGGAATTCCCACTGCGCCCTCTGGCTGCCAGATTAGATGCGCTTCCCAAGCAAATGAAGGCCTTTGCTCCTTAGGGGAGATAGAGGCAGCGGGAGAGGGTGAAGCTTGGCATCACTGGGGGATGCTTTCCCGGGATCTTCCCCAGGCTTCCTGTCTTCCTGGGGAGCGTCCGCTGGGGTTCCTGGAGGAAAAGCCTGCAAGAAAATGTGAACACCTCCATCTGTGGCTCTCAGAGGCTCCCACGCTCAAGCGAGCCCACACTTGACCTTGAGCAATGTCTACATTTTCTGGCTGAATCCCGCCTGATTCTGAAGTGTGGGGCTGGCACCTGTCCCAGGGAAGCCGCCTCTTCCTACAGTCACCTGTTTTGCTCTAGGTTTCAGGCGAGTTGTTTCTGCTGCAGCCTTATTCTGGGATCAGGAGTGGGCGGTTAACTGATGTCCGCCCAGCCTTTTCTGGGTGAAAGGGTGGGAGGGCTGTTTCTCAGCTCTCCAGCCAGGGTCCAGAGCCTATTTTGGAATGGACATGGTCATTAAGGTGTCTGTGCATGAAGGCCCCTGAAGCCCCCGGTACTGCTAGTGCGGCGGGCATCCGTGGAGGGTCCTGGAGAGGTGGGACCCTCCGATGCAGTGCTCTGATCAGGCAAATATTTTTGATGATTATTATTTAAAAAGGAATTAATTCAGTTAGCTAAATGGCGAGTGTTTTTTTCTTTAGTCTACTTACTTGATAGCCTCAGTGAACTGAAATTTTAGGAAACTGGCTTGCTTTCCTTGCAGTTGCTGTAATCTGTTGCATAGTCTTGGTTTTTGTAGTCCTTCTGGCAGTCTCACTACATCTTCCCAGGACACCCTCTCCTTAGCCAGTGACCTACCCAGCAGGGCACCAGCAGCCTTCCAGAAAGGCCTGGCACTTGAGGCTTTCTGGTGAGCCGGGGGCACACTGGTCACAGTTTGTGCTTCCCTCTGCTCAGTGGATGGAGGCACCCACAGTTTTAGAAGCACTCCACTTCCACTGGGGTCAGGGCGGTGCTGATGTCAGCTGAGTGCGTGTGCACGTGTTTGTATTTTCTTCATCACTTTAAAACCGTGCCTGAGCTGTAAAGTATCTCCATGTGAGAGAACCGAAGAGCTGTGTGATGTTGACAGACTTTGTTTCTCATTCTTGTGCCTCGACCTCTGCATTACTTCTCCAGGATGAAGAAAGCCAAGACTTGCCCTGTGTTCCTGGCCCCCCTCATGAAGTTCCCAGGACATGCCACCCTCCTGGGCAGGACTTTCCCGCAGGGGGAAGGGGAGATAGAGCAACCGGCTGCCAGGCTGACCCAGGAACCTGAAGGGGGAGGCTGGATCCTGTCCAGAAACCGTCCTCAGTGGGACTCAGGCAGGAGGGGGAGATTTCGGGGAACACTGGCACCAAACTTGATCAGTCAGTAGAGATCCCAGGCGAGCACAGCAGCTTAGGTCACTAAGATGAGATGATAGCCTCAGCCCTCTGGTCATCCCACCCAGGCCCCAGTGTGTCCCCTTTATTCTAAGGCATTTTGCCGAGCTCCTTCTCGAGCAGCCTGAGTGCACCAGGCCCCACGCAGGACCCCACAGCCTGAGTCCCTCCCAGCAGGGGGCAGGGCAGCCTGCCTTTCTTGGCAGGGGGTGGGGATGGGTGGGGGCGGGGAGCTGTCTCGCCTGCTCCCTGTGTGGCCTTCGAATTTGGATGAAGAGGGAGAGAGAGAGCCTGGGAGAGATGAAGGCCGCAGGGGGGAAGACGGGTGCTGCGTCCTCCAGCGCAGTGGGTCACCAGCCACGATGAGGGGTTGATTTGAGCCTCCAGCAGGCTCCTTGGAAAAGGGCAGTGTTCCCAGGGATTAACCACGCTTTCCGGAAACTCACGGACCCTCTCTTTGTGAAAGCTGAGCTTTGTGAAAGCTGCAGGCCTGAGGCCTGCCTGGGGAGGAGGGGAAGCCAGCTGGACCCTGCCCCCCACAAGGTGATTCCCTGAGAAAGGGCGTGCAGTATAGGCGTGAGGTAGGAGGGGCCTCGGCCTGGTTGGAAAGGCCCACAGCAATGTCCTCAGGGCTGTCCTCTGAGCAAGGAGCTCGAGGCCTCCTCCCGGCCCTCTGGCCTGCCCTGTGGAGGAGGCTGGGTGAAGGACACCCAGGGTGTCTGCTGTGAGGGGAGGAGCTTCTGGAGAAAGCACCACTCTCCTTTAGCCGGTGAATAGCGAAGCCACCTTTCTTTCGGAACCTCAGTGTCTCCCGCAGCAGCCAGGCGGTGTCGGTTCGGTAGTTGCAGGGTCTATTTCAGAAGCCTGTAATTGTAGCACCTGAAGTTCTTTGTCCCTGAATTGTTGTCTGAAGGAGGCCTGTCAGGCTCCCAGGGCACTGGGCAAATGAACAGAAGCCAGCAAACCTCTACAACCAGGTCAGTTAAGGCACCGTCCTTGTCTCCCGCTCTCCTTTCTCTTCCTCCCTCCCTTCCTGCTCTTCTTTGCTGCGTCCTCTTCTTTCTCCTCTCCCTTTCTCTCTCCCTCCCTTCTCCCCATTCTCCCTATTCTCTCCCTCCCTCTTTCCCCATCCCTTTCATTCTCTCCTTTTTCCCATGTGATGCATTTTGTATCACACCCAGCGCTGCATCCTGGGCTCTCAGAGGACATGGAGGAGACTGTGAGATTCAGAGGGGAGGAGAAAACACTGTTTCCCCACCCTCCTAGCTTCTCCAACCAGGGCCCTGCAGATTAGACACGAAGGACAGGTTAACAAGAAAAAGGCATACTCATGTATTTCATATAAGCGTTGCTTGACAAGAAACAGCTGAGCTTGGTGTTTTGATGCTAGGTTTGATGAAGAGTGGGGTCCTGAAAGGTGTGATAGGACGAGAGCACATGAGCAAGCGCAGGAAACGGGCCGGGAGGGGCCCTGGCGAGGCCTGTCCATTCAGGTCCCTCTTGGCCTCCCTCCATCTTTGGAGCTAAGGATGCACCCTTTCCCTGGTGTGGGGGGCACCTCTCACAAGAGGGTCACGACGATCTGCTTCAGGGGAGTTAGGTCTTGAATGAGGGCTGAGATGTGGGTAATAAGAAAGGCAGGAAGATCGTGTTAATGGCCAAGGGCGTGGGGCACCTGGGGAAACGCATTTCTTCACACACTGTCAGAGGAGGGTGTGCGTCTGGCGGGCGGCGGGGACATGGGGTTTCTCCTGTCTGCCTTGTGGTTCTCCTTGACACTCTCCGAGCCGTGAACCTTAGCAGCCACGTGGACTCCACGCTGCTGCAGGTGGACCTGGCAGGGGCCCTAGTGGCCAGTGGGCCGAGTCGTCCTGGGAGGGAAGAGCACATCGTGGTGGAGCTGACCCAGGCTGACGCTTTGGGCTCCAGGTGGCGGCGGCCACAGCAGGTTATGCTGATAATTTATTTGAAAGGAATTGTGAAATCTCATTTCATCTCATAATAAATTGTGTTTCCTCTTGAATGGATTTGATGGGGAGCCACAGGCGAGGACACCATTCTTAGTCAATTCATTGGCTCTTCTTATCTTTTGCTTTGTCTTTGAAATTCTCTTTTTACCATTTCTCTATTTATGAAACTCTTGCCATTTCAGTAAAATCAGGCTTGCAAGTTCTTTATTCAAAACTGTTTTGCTGGGCCATTCAGGAAACATACATTTGAAATGAAAAAACTTTTTTTTTTTTTTTTGGTGTCGTTGAAGTGCAGTTAAGTCCGGGCCTTACGTCAGGGTTCAGAAGACACTTCCACAGCACGGTTACTGTGTTTGTGGACATCTGCTAAGACAGTGCCTACGTTCTGAGCTGCTGTATCTGTGTAGGCCTGTGCTCAGCCTTGTCTCTGAGCCTTGTCAAGCCTTCATTCACATCCTGCAAAGGCAGCCAGGAAGCGGTGGCTGTCATGGCAGCCCAGAGCCTAGACTCCAGAGGCAGGGCTCCTTCCACGCAAGCCTGACTCCCCCGAGCCCTGGCCTCGGAGACTCCACTGGATTATCACGGTGACTTCTGCATGGAAGTCGTAGCCCTGGTTCATGGATGTTCCCTGTTATAACCAGTAGAGGGAAACCCCGCCCATGCACAGGCTGTGTCACCTGCAGTGGAGCATCTGAAGAATGAATGCACCCTCCCCTTTTCCTGCCTTGTAGAGCATGGTCCACAGAGCAAAGGTCTCATTATGAACTAGCATGCAGTGTCCTGGACCGTGGCTGACGCAACACCAATGTTCTGAACCGGCTGCCCTGGCCAGGGTCTTAGGATGTCAACTTGGTTCCCTGTGTGAAAAGCACAGCCCTCTGGCAAGGGGCTCCTTGGTGATGAGCAATGACCTTTGCCCTCTGACCTGGGACTTGCATGGAGAAGGGCAGGACCTTACACAGCCTGCGGTCCCGCTGCCTCCCCAGCACTTGCATATTAATAACCCAGATTAAATGATCTGTATGGCACCTCCCTGCTCTCTTGGGGTGGCCCTTCCTAACATGCTGATGCACCCAAAATGCCCACAGGCAAATCCAGCCCCAGAAACATGGGAAACCCAAGAGATCTTTACTAAAGGATTTTTCCCCCCAGATACGCTCTTTGCAAACACTGAAGTACCTAAAAGAACTTCTGTTCTCTCATGCGTGTGCTTCTTTGCTTTGACCGGTTTCAGAGATCCTATTTTCAGTGTCCTTTGTGATTTGTGGGCGAGATTCGCATCTTCCCATTGAGGGTCCCCCCCCGCCCCCCGCTCCCCAGGCTGCCTCCCCAGGTGATCACTCTCCTGCACCCCAGGGGCAAGAACATGCAAGGCAGGGAATGAAGCTTCACTCTGGGGCCCTTCCTTGCAGGGGCTCCTGTGCACAGGGGTGTGGAAGGTTTGCTGGGGGTGGGTTTGTTGCCTCCAGGTTGCAAGCAGTTGCAGAAGCAGTTCTCAGGACTCAGAGCACTCAGAAGAGTTCTCCAAGTCTCTAGTAACTTGTAGTGATTTCATTTTTTAAATTAAAAAAAATTTATATTAGAAAATTTTTAGAGTCGGGGGTCTCACTCTGTTGCCCAGGCTGGGGTGTAGTGGTATGATCTCAGCTCACTGTAACTTGGAACTTCTGGGCTCACAGGATCCTCCCGCCTCAGCCCCTAAGTGGCTGGGACCACAAGCACATGCCACCAGGCCTGGCTAATTTTTAAAACTTTTTTGTGCAGACAGGGGTCTTGCTCTGTTGCCCAGGCTGATCTTGAACTCTTGGCCTCAAGTGATCCTCCCACCTTGGCCTCCCAAAGTGTTGGGATTACAGGCGTGAGCCAGCGCGTCTGGGCATGATTTCTTTTTCTCGTATTAAATCACTATTTACTTCTATGCCTTTTGTACTTTTGTACACTAATTCTGCATTTTTTCTTTTGAATCCTTTTTCTTAAACAAAGCTCTCTAAATTGTGGAAATTCCCAGCTCCAACCACCTGCACTAGCTCCTAACATCAGAGATGTGAGAGCTCAAATAAAGATGCTCTCCTGTTTCTTTCTTTCTCCTTTTCTTTTTTGAAACAAATACCTAGACCGAGCAGTGCCAGATCCCAGATGGTGTCTCAGGTGAAAAGCCTCACCATAACTTATGCTTTGGCTTGTACAGGTCACTCACAACTGGACGGTGTATTTAAATCCGAGGAGAAGCGAGCACTCAGTGATGAGCAGGACCTTTGAGGTACTGACCAGGTGAGTTCTCAGTGAGTGAGGTGTTGGGGCAGGCTCTCTGGGACACGTGCGTTTAAAGGAGTCTGACCTATAGGACACTGATTTCGGCCCACACAGCACCAGGTCAGCATGTGACTTGGACACGGCACTCATGCTGTGTAGACAGTGAGCTCAAAGGCTGTGGGAGGACATCGTAGCCATGGGTGTCAGGATGTGAGAGGGTCGACTGCAGAAGTCACTTTGAAACAAATGGTATTTTTTGGTTGACGTTCTAATTTCATTAATGTGAAGCTGTACAATGGAGAATTCTAGGAAATTTAGGATTCTTCTTCCTTAACTAATGCTGCTTCATATTCAATCGGTACTCTTGCTTGGTGTGTTAGACAGCTAAGGCTGCCGTATCATAGTACTACACACTGGGTGGCTTAAATGTCAGTCATTTACCTTGTAATTCTAGAGGCTGGAAGTCCGAGGTCAAGGTGTCGACAGGGTCAGTTTCTCCCAAGGCCTCTCCCCTGGCTTACAGGTGACCATCCCTCTGTGCCTGTCTTCTCATCTCTCCTTGTATGGACACCCATCCTACTGGATTAGGAGTCATCCCCATAACCTCATTTAACCTTCTTCACCTTGTTAAAGACCCTCCCTCTACCTACAGTCACATTTGGAGGTACTCGGGGTTAGGACTTCAACAGAGGAATTGTTTTTGGAGGAAGGGGACATAATTCGGCCCATAAAACATATTGGCCTGAACTTGAAAAAACGCTTCAGTGTTCGCCACAGACCTGTGGTCACTTGCAGGCTTCTCGTCTGTAGTGCGTCTCCCCACTCTCAGGGACTGGAGTTCAAATAGCTGGCTTTGCTCTTAGTTAGCAGGTAAACTGGTCGGGTATGTTGGGGAGGAGGAAGAGCCAGTTCAATGGCTGGCGTCTTCTGTGCAGGCCCCTACTCACTGTTCATTGTCGGGTGGTGTCACAGGAAGGCTGAGGGGCCTGCTTGGACCAGTCGGGCTTGGCTGCAGGGAGGCTGCATCCTATGTCTCACGCCGCTGGCCTGTGCTCACTGCTCTTCCAGCTGTGAGATTGGGCGTTGGGCTGAATTGTTCCATTTGCACTCTGGTTAATGCCATGGCTGATACAGAGGGAGGTCCCCTAACTGTTGACCTTGTGAACAGTAAGGTCGTTGTTTCGTTCTGCAGAGAGACGGTGTCCATCAGCATCCGGGCCTCCCTGCAGCAGACCCAGGCTGTCCCTCTTTTGATGGCTCATCAGTACCTCCGCGGAAGTGTAGAAACCCAGGTGACCATCGCGACGGCCATCCTCGCGGGCGTCTACGCGCTGATCATATTTGAGGTAACTTTCACACCTGCTCCCCCGATCTGTCTGGGCCCACAGTCAGGGAGGCTTGAGATCCGTGAGACACTCTGGATGGGCTCAGTCCTGACTCCTTAATCAAACTGGACTAGTGTCATCATTCCTAAAGATTAGCGTGTCCCTCTCTCTAGGTAGAAAGGGAACCATACAGGAATATTTGCTGAATCTTGGCAACTGACATGAGAAGGATGGACTTTAGGAGCAGAAGTGTACCTGAGAAAACAGAATGTGCATACGATTTTCTACTCTCTCTCCGCTGCTCACTCCAAGTGTGACCTTGAGGGAACAAGAGTCACAGTCTCCTCTGAGACTCAGAGTCTGCACCTGTGTGATGGGTGTGCTCATTTGCGCCCACCTGCACCGTGGGGTTGTGTGTGTGAGGGGACACGGATGGCCTGGGGCTGTGTGCCCGGAGGGATTATTTGATTATCTGTTCCGTCTACCAACTTGGCTTATGGGCATTTCCACATGTGATCTTAAGTCCAGTCAATGTTATGTTTCTGGGAAGTTCTAAGTGTGGCTATGCCTTCAATAGCACGAAGCAATGTGCAGACCCTTCCTGGGCTGGGCAGGTCCGTTGTTGCTTTAACTATGAAATCAAACTTAACCACAACACGGACAGGAGCCTGGAAGGTCAGTGCATGATGTGACCGTTAGAGGCGCGTCCTAGTGAGCTTGGGATAGGTCTGAGAAATACCTGGGGATGTTGAGGAGATGGCAGGCTGGAGGAGTGGCCAGGAAAGTTCCAGAACTTTGCTTGTGGTTGTTGAGTACACTTGCTGAGGAATGATGACCCCAGTAAGTTGAGCCCTCACCTGTCTAACAAGGACCACTCACAGGATTAATTGTTATCTCTTACATCTCTTCAGTTCTAGAACAGTTTTGTTCCCTCCATTTTCTATCCATTTTCTTTTAAATTAATATTACTGTTGTTTCACGGTTCCCATGACCACCCTGTGATTTGACACAGGAACTCGCAGGCTCAGGGGCAGCTGTCCTCTGGGCTGGGGTTTATTGCCATGCCCGGCAGTGGAAACCTGCTGAGCCTGGAGGAACCCAGGAGTGGGCTTCTGAAAGGTCTCCTCTCCCAGGTGGGCCCACACAGAGCACGCCCCTCCCTCCAGCAGCCAGAGGCAGCCATATGCGGTGTTTCTGCCCTGGGCAACCTGTTGGAGACTGAGTTTTTGTGGAGGCCGGTTAGATGGTCACCCTCAGCTTACCAAGATCCCTGCTCCCAGGAAGCAAGCAGGTGCGCACCATTTATAAATCACATTTTATACAGTCTGGGCATGCAGGTAATACAGCAGAACACACTGCCCCAGGCCCACAAGACAGCCTTCTCTTTGGTAATGAGGGAATAGTCCCGAAGCTGAGTACCCAGAAGCCAGCCAAGGGCCCTTCTAAAGGTGACGTTAGGTGAAATCTTTACTGCGCCACCATCTAGTTGACAAATCCTATTCTGTTGTTCTGTAGAATATTCTATACCCTGATTCAGTGCTGGGTTCCTCATGGGATTAATTAGCTGCTCTATCCTATTTCCTACAGACTACAATTGAGATCTGAAGCCTTCAGGTTCCATTTTGGGGCACCTGTGCTTCACAGGTGTGCAGGGGTCTGGCCTGTGTCCAGGAGGAGGACCCTATGTCTGGATGTCCTGCTGTCAGGGGTGCGGAGAATGCTCAGGGAGTTGAGGTGGTGGAGAAAGGTGCCCAGCTCCCTGCCACTTTTTCTCTTAATGATTTTAATACCCACCAGGGCCCACTGCCCGCCTAAGATAAATCCTATTTCTGTAATGATCAACTTTCTTAGTAATGAGCTCTTCCCTTAGTAACTTCCAGTGGTGTCCACTGAATTTATTTAGTTTCCCTCTTCCCCTTTTTTACTATTATTTTGCAATTATAGATTTAATAAATTCAATGTGCTTTAATTAGTTACAGTCATTAATTAAAAAATACAATACAATGCCAATTATTTTTAATGGGCTTCTCTGTTATTCTAAGGTTTGTTCACTTTTTTTGTAAAATTGTTCAACCTTTGAAAACTACATAATTTGCAAAGATTTATTTTCATTAATTAATGGTTAGTATTATTTGTCATTTAGAAAAAACCTCTCCTTCTCTACAAAAAGCCATTTCTAGATTTTAAAAGTCCTGTACTTTGATTTTTTTTTTATTACGGCTAGCAGATATTTAAGAGGCCAGTTCGACATGGTTTCCACCCTTACAGAAACAAAAAGCAGAGGCCACCACACAGAAACCAGCCACACATAGAAGGGAGCATGGCAGGGTCTCAGGAAGGGCCTTGGAGGGCAGTCCCTGGATTCCATGAGTAGTGTGGCAGCCCAAGACCTCCCAGAGGCTGCCTCCCCATGCAGCCCATCCGTTCCCTGGCAATCTTTCAGTAGGTCTCCCTACACGGCTTGTTCTACACATCTGGTGGTCCAAGGCCCTTCTGTCATAGCTGTCCATGTGCCCCTGCCTATGACAGGGTGTGGTCTTTCTATTGGTGTGTAGTGATATCTTACTGTGCTTTCAACTTAATTTCTCTAATGATGATAATGTTGGATATTATCTTTTCATGTATTTATTTGCCACCTGTCTATCTTCTTCAGCGTGATGTCTGTATGTGCCTTTTGCTTATTTTCTAATTGAATTGTTTTTAAAAATGTTGAGCTTTGACTGTTCTTTATATATTATAGATATACAGACTGTTGGATATGTGGTTTGCAAATATTTTCTCTTAGTCTAGTTTATAATTTTTTTTCCTTTTTTTTTTTTGGAGACAAAGCGCTGGGATTACAGGCATGAGCCACAGTGCCGGCCTTTTTTTTTCTTTTTTGAGATGGAGTCTCCCTCTGTTGCCCAGGCTGGAGTGCAATGGTCCAATCTCGGCTCACTGCAACACCATCTCCTGGGTTCGAGTGATTCTCCTGCCTCAGCCTCCCAAGTAGCTAAAACTACAGGTGCGTGCCACCACACCTGACTAATTTTTTTGTATTTTTTGTAGAGACAGGGTTTTACCATGTTGGCCAGGCTGGTCTTGAACTCCTGACCTCAAGTGATCCACCCACTTCAGCCTCCCAAAGTTCTGGGATTACAGTCATGAGCCACTGTGCCGGGCCAGTTTTTTTCTGTTATAGATTGCGGTTTGGGTGTCAAGTCTGAGAACTTATTGCTTAGTTGCAATAATTCCAGAGTCCAAAGATTGGTTTTCTTTTTTTTTTTCAGTTTTACTTTTAAGACCAGGATCTATTTTGAGTTAGTTTTATTATTATTATTATTTTCTTTGAGATGAGGTTTCAGTCTGTCACCCTGGCTGGAGTGCAGTAGCATGATCACAGCTCACTGCAGCCTCAAACTCCTGGGCTCAAGTGATCCTCCTACCTCGGTCTCCCGAGTAGCTGGGACTACAGGCATGCAATACCATACTTGGCTAAGTTTTAAAATTTTTTTTGTAGAATCAGGGTCTTGCTATGTTGCCCAGGATGGTCTTGAATTCCTGGCCTCAAGAGATTCTCCTGCTTTGGCTTCTTAAAGTGCTAAGATTACAGGTGTGAGTGACTGTGCCAGGCCTTGAGTTATTTTTTGTGTTTGTGTGAGAGTTTTAAGTGAAGGTTCATTTTTAAACCTATGGATGTCCAACTGGGCCAGCATCATTTATCGACAAGACTACCCCTCCTCAGTTGAATTGCATTTGCTCCTTGGTTAAAAATTAATCGGACATATTTGTGGGGTATCTCTCTGGGTTCTCTATTCTGTCCCATTGGTAATGTGTCTGTTCCTCTACCAGTACCACACTATCTTGATTACTGCAGGTGTAAGTTTGGACACTGGGAAGAGTGATTCCTCACACTTATTATTTTTTTTCCCAAAATTGTTCTGGCTATTCTGTGGCCATTTGTTTTCCAAATACATTTTCCCCTCTTTGTCCTCCAGCTTTATTGGAATAAAGTTACATTTCTATTTTCTAGGACTTCAGTTGCTTTTTCATGTGGTGCTTTGACATCCACATTTTAGAATGGCCTTCTAGTCCCTAAACATAGTATTTATTTTGGTCTTCTTTGATTTTTTAAATAATTTTCATGATACTGATCTTGTACATCTTTTCTTAAATTTATACCTAAGTGTTTCCTTTTCTTTGGAGCAATTGTAAATGGTACTGAGTTTTTATTTTGATTTCCACCTATCTATTGTCAGTACATATAAATACATTTTTCTGTGTATTAATCTTATACCTTGTCATTTTATTGAATTTACCTATTACTTCTCAGAGTTTTTAAAAAATAAAATTATTGAGATTTCCTATGTAGACAATCATGTCATTTGCAATGAGGACAGTTTTATTTCTTCTTTTCCAATCTGTATGTCTTTAATTTCCTTTTCTTGCCTTACTGCAGTGGCTAGAATGGGAATGGTAAGACTGGCATTGTTCTCAATCTTAAAGGGAAAGCATTCAGTCTTTCACCATGAAGTATGACATTATTAGTTTTTGTAGGTGCTCTTTATGAGACTGAGGAAATTCTTTTCCTAATGTACTAAGAGGGGTTTTTTGTTGTGTTTTTTCTTTTCTTCTCTCTCTCTCTTTTTTTTTAAAAACCATAATTGGGTGTTGAGTTTTGTCAGCATCTTTTTTGTGTCAACTGATGTGCTCATATGGTTTTTTTTCATTAGCTGCTTGAGATGGTGGATTACATTGATTTATTTTAGAATATTGGACTAGACTTGCATATCTGGAATAAATCCTTCCTTTCTAATGTGAGCGTTTATTACTATAATTTTCCCTGTCAGCACTGCTGTAGCTGCATCTTACAGATTTTGATCTGTAGTGTTTTCAGTTTCAGTTAGTTCTCTCTAATTCTTACATTTCCCTGAGACTTCCACTTTGACCCATAGATTATTTAGATGTGTGTTGTTTAAATTCTAGATATTATAGATTTTCCTGTTGTCTTTCTATTACTAAATTACAGTTTGATTCATTTATAGTTAGAGAACTTACACTATATTTAATCCTTTAAATTTGTTGACTTTGTGTGTGTGTGTGTGTGTGTGTGTGTGTGTGTGTGTGTGTGTGTGTGACAGAATCTCGCTCTGTTGCCCAGGCTGGAGTGCAGTGGCGCAATCTCAGCCCACTGCAACCTGCGCCTTGTGGGTTCAAGTGATTCCCCTGCCTCAGCCTCCCAAGTAGCTGAGACCACAGGCGCATACCATCATGCCTGGCTACTTTTTGTGTTTTTAGTAGAGACGGGCTTTTGCCATGTTGGCCAGGCTGGTCATGAACTCCTGGCCTCAAGTGATCTGCCTGCCTCGGTCTCCCAAAGTGCTGGGATTACAGATGTGAGCCACTGTGCCCGGGCATTGTTGACTTTTTTTTAAATGACTCAGGTTTATGGTCTATCTTGATGAATATTCTGTGGGCTTAAAGTAATATGATTTTTCCTTTCTTATAATACTAGTGTAACTTGCAAATATAAATTTTTTATAGGTAGTCTAAGCAACAACTTGTGAAAACCCAACACTGACCTTTTGTTGTGTCTGTAACTTGATGTGGAAGGTAGAGAAGGCTGCAGGGGTGTTAAAGGAATAGTATGTTCTACCTTATGTTTCTGTGACTTCTGTGTGTCCATAACTCCCTAGGGGAAGGTCCACATTATGAGGGGAGGGCTGGATGCAATCGCCAGCCCTATGGGCTCTCCAGCAGTGGAGCCAACATTGCATTATTCCTAGGATCTACTCTAGGGGTAGAATTTGCCTTGGGCAATGACTCAGAAGTTGTCTTGTTTCAGGCAAAGCTGCTTCCCCAGAACTGGAGGTCTCTAGATTCTGCAGGCAGGCATGCTTAGGCTGTGCCACTGCTGTCTGCATCCTGCTCTACTCAGGGGAGTCTTGGGGTGGCTTGCAGATGCCCCTGCCTGTCCTCCCAATCTGCTGCTGCCAGCTGCTCCCCAGATGCTGACACTGTTGCCTCAGGCTATGGCCTCCTCCCTGATCCCTTCTCATCTGCTCTGTTTGAAATGTTTGTTTTTTGGTGCCGAAAAGAAATAGCACTTGAACATAAATTTAATTTCCTCAGCAAGGCCATTTTTATACTTTCTGCAGAAAGGGCACACTCGCCAGTAGTTTTGCCATGAGAGTATACCAAACAAAGGAGACAGGGTCATTTATAACCTGACGTGTCCACCTTACTACTGTGTCTGGTTTCCATTGGCTAGGACGGGACCTCACATTTTGTATTTGTTTTGATTGGCTAGCAACTTAGAACTTTTTAAAAGAGGCAAAGGCAGAGGACAACAAAGGAAGGAGGAAGTAACTTGTAGAATGCTGAGAAAGGTAAAAACAAACACCTTTAAATAAGGAAGAGGAACAGGCTATGAGCTAATGCTTGCTTGGATTAGTATAAGCATGCCAGGACAAGTATTTAGGCTAAATTGTGGGAGCTAAGAACATAAAGTACATTGATTTCTTTATTACGGCCAGCAGATATTTAAGAATGTTAGCACAGGTATTTGAATAAATTTTGCTTCTAAGAGAAGTTACTATTTATTTCTAATGAGATGGGGAGGAAGTCTTTGAAGAGGAAACTCTACTCTACTTTTTACATGCTTTGTCGTGGGCGCTCCATCTCACTTATTGTGTCTGTTGTTGGTTGCTTTTGTTCAGTGTTGATTCCCAGTGCCTTGGACACTGCCTGGCCTAGAGCAAGTGCTCAATAAATATTAAACAAATGTTTCCAGAGCATCTTCAGATATTTGAGACAGGTGCTAAGGTCCTCTGGGTCTGGTCTAACTTGGCTCCTACGTGGGGGGCACTTTCCACCCCTGACTTTGTGCCCAGTGATCCATGAGTGACTGAATGGGAACAAAGGATCAGCCAGGGTTCCCTTAGGTCTTTTAATAGCTTGATGGGATGAAATTATTTCAGGAAATACCTTGGGTTATTTATACTTCTGGTCCTACAGATAATCATCCTGATTGGCACTTTCTTGCCTGAGGATTTGGGGTTGTATCTTTCATCCTTGTACAGTAGGTCTTTTTTTTTTTTGAGATGGAGTCTTGCCCAGGCTGGAGTGCAATAGTGCAATCTCGGCTCACTGCAACCTCCACCTCCCGGGTTCAAGCAGTTCTCCTGCCTCAGCTTCCCAAGTATCTGGGATTACAGGTGCGAGACACCACCCCCGGCTAATTTTTTGTATCTTTAGTAGAGATGGGGTTTCACCATGTTGGCCAGGCTGGTCTCGAACTCCTGACCTCGTGATCTGCCTGCCTTGGCCTCCCAAAGTGCTGGGATTACAGGCGTGAGCCACCATGCCCGGCCCATCCTTGTAAAGTAGTTCTTGTTGAAAGTCCCAAAGAACACAGTTGGAGCAATCCTCCTAACTCTTGCACTTTGCATCTATAATACGGCTCTGGGAGATTTCCCAATGCAGCATTCTAAAAATTCCATTATCAGAGCTAAGGCTTCTATGCCCTTATACTGTATAAAATTAAAATAGTTCTGACACAGTCTTAATGAACAATATTTCACAACATAAATGAGACAGTGCATTTTCTCCATATGTCTTCCATCCAACCCCTGGTATTATGTTTTAAGAAGGATTGCCACCACAGCTCCTTTCTGCTGGAAACAAGCGAGCCCTTTCTTTCCCTTCACCCACTTTATGTAATTGTAGCAAAATGATGCAGCCTTTGTGTAACATCGTGTTTCATTGCTCTGGGTCCTTTCATATTTAATTTAGGAGTTCGTGTAGTGTTTGGTTTAAAAATTAACTGTGAAATTAAATTCGAGGGAGATGAATAGAGAACACCTTCCATCTTCCAGGGAGTTTCCATTTTTAATTTACAGAAATGGGAAGCATATTTGGAGAGAGAAGAGCTGCATTTCAAAACCCAATGCACGTATCATAACACTGCAAACCTCCAAGTTAGGTTTTCCTAATTTCTGTTCTTATGATGCTCTGCAGGGCTGCAATTTAAATCTGTAGCCATTGGCTCTGCCCCCTCATTCATTTCTTTTTGTCTGCAAGCCTCTTCTTACTGCTGATTCATGGAACATATTGCATAAGTAGCACTGGCAAACTTGCTCCATTACCTTGTTCCAGAGATACCTCTCCTTTTCTTTCTTGAAAAGGACTCCTTCAGAACTGCAGGAAAACTGGTGGATTATGTAATACACTCCCTCTGCTTAACACATAAACTGAATTGCAGAGACACTTTTGCAGTTGAAGGAGTCGGGATGGGACATAGGTCTTCTGGCCACTGGGCCATGCTACTCACATTTTTTTCTGGCAAGCTCACAATCCAGCATTTCTTCTCAAAGTGAGTAGCCACATCATTCCTTAGAAAAATGGCAAGTATTTTGCAGACTGCTTGAAGTAGGTGGACCCTTTCCAACCTCGCCTCCTGGATGGCTCTCTTTCGCATGCCCTTGGCTGTTCCTGCACATGCAGTGAGCTCTGGAGCATGCTGTTGTTCGAAGCCAGATCCAATGAGAGGTGGGGGGTGGTGGGGCGAAAGGAAGCCAGTGCAGGAAGGAGGGCCACAGTGAATCTTGAGGGCTCTGATTTCAAAGAAAATGATGATGGTGATAACCACCGGAGCTAACGTGTGCGGAGGGGCCAGCCCTGTTCTGGGAATTCTCTGTGTGTTAATGGACAACCCCACAACCCCATGAGGCAGACTTTATCACCACCTCCATTTTATAGTTGAGGACATCAAGCACAGAGAAGTCAGACCACTTGCCCAAAGTTCCCCAGCTGGCCAGTGGCTGCCTTTGGAGTCCACATTTCTCACCAGGGTGTGGCGCTTCTCAAGGAGATGGGAATTATCTGTAGCCAATGCCCAGAAGGCTGTGCAAGGTGAACAGATGTCTGTCATGCTCCTACCATGGGTCTGGCTCTATGTTTTCATCATCTATGTTGATTCTGAAAAGGTGCAGTAGGCTGATTAAATGACCACTTCCAAGATGCCACATCCTAACCCCCAGACCATTTGCATATGGGACCTCACACGGCAAAAGGGGCTTTGCAGAGTGATTATGCCAATGACCTTGTGATGTAGAGACTATCTGGGTGAGCTCAGTGGGTCTTTACAAATGGAGAGCCCTCCCAGCTGTGGTCAGTGGGAGAGGTGACTATGGAATAAAGGGTCACAGAAGTGTGATGCGAGGGCTTGATTCACCGTTGATGGCTTCGAAGCTGGAAAAGAGGGGTCCTGTTCATGGGATTTGGGTGTTAGGGGAAGGTGAGGGATGGATTCTCCTCTAGAGCCTGCAGAAGGAATGCGTTCCTGCGACGCCTCGATGTAGGATGTAGCGCACCTGCTGGATGTCTTACCTGCAGGACCAGAGGAGGGTGGGTTTGGTGACAGCAGCCCGGGAAACTCATACAGAAGGTCTCTGAAGGAGGTGTTGTGCTCCGGTTTTGCCAATGGAGATGTGAGCTTGGGGAGATGTGGGCTTGGGGAGACGGGGGCTTGGGAGGCAGTGAAGGCAGGGTTGAACCTAGGTTCAAGACACCCCCCAGCCCTTTCTGTGGAATCACAGCCATTTCCATGGAATCAGCCTCCTTCTGAGGAGGGGAAGTGGGGGTGCTGAGGACTGGCGGGCTGAACTGAGCTGAGCTGAGCTACAGGCAGTGTGAGAGGAGCCTCCCAAGCCTGCCTGCCTCCTGGACGCCCTGACACCACGGTCCAGCTCGCAGGGGCAGTGCGAGGCGAGGCCGGCACACAGTTTCTGTCACAGCCACATTGTGAGGCATGGTGATTTTCTTTGATATACAGGAAGAAATCTGGGGCTCAAGGGGTGGAGGGGCTTCCTCCCCCACAGTCTGATGGCCTTGTCTGTCATCAAAAGATCGGGCTGCCGTGAGAGTGTGGGATCAAGTGGAAGGACGTTGGGGTGCATGTGAGTGTGTGACTGTGTGTGTGTTAGTACATGAGTATGTGTATTACTGTTTAAGTGCATGTGAGGCTGTGTGTGAGTCACAGCGAGGGTGTGTGTGTGAGACCATGTGTCTGTGTGTGATTGCATGTGAGAGTGTGACTCTGTTGTGTCTGTGCAAGTTAGTGTGTGAGTCAGCGTGTGAGACTGTTAGTGTGTGGGCATGTGAGGGTGTGTGTCAGACCATGTGTCTGGGTGTCACAGTGTGTGACTGCATGGTTGTGTCTGTGTATACCAGTTAGTGTGTGAGTGTGAGACTGTGTTAGTGTGTGGGCATGTGAGGGAGGGTGAGTGTGAGACCGTGTATGTGAGGTGAGGGCGTGTGACTGTGTGTGTGTCTGTGTGTGGGTGTGTGCCAGACGGTCCGGGTGCCCCGCTGGCGTCCCCGCAGGCTCCCCTGCAGCCCAGCTTGGAAGTCAGGGCCTCGGCCTGTTGCTCACACTCTGGTTGGAGAGGTGGTTTCCAGAGCGCGTGCTCTGGGGAGCTGGGTGGCAGGCAAGAGTGTCCCGGGGACAATGCAGCACACCACGGGGACAGCTGCCACAGGGCGCCTAGCAGGGGGGCTGAGAGGGGGCGGAGCCGCAGGGGATGCTCCCACCCCAGGGCCGGCAGCTTCTGCTGTCTATTGTGCACAGGTCTTTCGATGTCGTAGGCTGCTTTTCCATGTTGAAAACAGGAGACGATGGACTGATGTTCTTCTGTGGGCTACTTTGGTAAATGGAAGGATCAGTGACGTGCAGAGAGACCCACAGGAAGGAAGAGCAGGGTGTCTTGCAGACCTGTGGGGCCCAGGGCCTGGGTGGCAGCGGCTGGACGGTGTTTCCGCGCGGGCGCGCAGCGCGCTACGTGGACACCAGCAGAGCCGGGAAGGGACAGGTTGAGTCCCTCGGTTTCGCATCACTCTCAGGTCACCTTTCCCCGCTCGGGGCGTAGGCCGGAGCATGACGCGGTGGAGGGAGCAGGCGGCGCGGGCGGGTTCGTGGGGTGGCCCTTGGAAGGCCCACCTTCAGAGCACCCAGATCGAGGACGCGAGCAGGCTGGGCTAGGGGTGGGACCGCCACCCTCGTGGACGTCGAGGGCGGTCTTCAGACATCCGCCAACTCTGAGATCCCGTTTCTAAGAACCCCCGAGGGCCGTGTCATTGACACACCTCGGGCTCAGCGTTCGGGGGGCACACTGCCCTGCGCACGGCTCACGCGCTGCACCACGGAGGGCCCTGCTTTCCCGTCGTTCCCCGCAGCCAGCGTGTAGCAGCCAGAATGCAGGCTTTCAGACTCTAGGCTGTGGTTTTTCCACATTTTACTCCCCTCACCCACAAAACAGAGTAACATCTCCTGGCTTCTTGTGGGAGACGAACGCGGCAGCGCGCGTGGGGCACGGACGGGCGTCCTGGGTGGGGACCGCCAGCTTCTAGAGCCATCTTTCGTCTGAACCAGGGGTAGGGACGGCACCTGTTCAATTTTGTATATTTAGGGATACAGTCACGCGAAAGCAGCTTTGGGAACATCTCGATTCTCTAAGATGGGGAAGTGTGGCTGGCCAATGTGACTCTCCGAAGCTGGCGGAGTTGGCAGCTCACAGGCTATTTTATTGCGGAGCTAAGCTTCTATAGCTTCTGAGCAGAAAGCTTTTCCATATACAATAGGAATTTGTACCTTAGGAACTGAGTACTGAAAATTCAGCTCTCCTTGCAGGCCAGGCAGGATCACGTGGGGGAAGAAGCACAGTCCGTGCGTGGCTGACGCGGACCCGCAGGCCCACAGCCCACAGCTGGGCATCATCACTTCAGAACTGAAATCACAGCCAGGAGGTTTCGGATGCTGGAGGACTGCTCCACTGATTTCCTGTGGTGCCTTCGAGCTCTGGGATCTATTGTTCTGCATAACATAAGCCAGGCTAGAAAATCAGCTCAGTATTTGTGGGCAATACCTGAAAAGAAGATATTTGAATTTGGAGTGTATACCTTCTCCTTGGGTCACACGGTGTCCAAGGGGCCTTGCAAAGGGAACACATCAGATAACACACAATAATGACAAAATATCAACAAGAACAAGGGGCCAGGAACTCATCACATCCATGTAAGAGCAGAGGAAAGCAGGCCTTGGTGGCAGGGACAGACGCAGCCCTGTGAGGCTCCCGCGTGGCCTGGAGCCCACCCCATCAGCCCGCTGAGGAAAGGCCAGCAGAAGATGATTGGGAACACAGGAACCCGGCTCTCCTGGACCGATCGGCAGCCACAGGTTTACTCCTCAAACCAGGTACACAATCTCCTCCCCAAAAGCTTTCATCCTGTTAAGGGCTCCTGCCCCCAATGCAGGAGCCAGTGATGGGATAAGGACCAGTGGCCACAGCCTCCGAGTGGGCATTCTCTGCCCTCATGCACCCCACAGACCACAGTGAGGTAGGGCACTCACCATAGCCCACCTCCACCCTGCAGAGAAAGGAAGCAGGCGGAGCAGGCCCTGCAGGGAGGCCCCATGGGGTCAGACCATGCCCTGTAGCTCCATGGTCCAGCATCTGCCACACACCTCTTAGCTTCCTCTGTTCCAGCCTCAGCTCAAGCCTCTACGTTCCAAAGATCCAAGTTGGTTAGGTATATTTTCTGACTTCCTTGGTATCCCGGGGGACACCCCTACTTCATGTTTTGCTACTGTGCAAGCCTAGTTGCCATTTTTCTGGCCTCTTGTATCAGCTTTTTTGGTGCCTCCTGCCCAACCTTGAAAGTCTTGCCATATATTTTAGCATTTTGCTTCTGGAGTGCCCCACATCTGAACCAATTTCTGTTAGCCAGTGTTTGCCGTGTCAGTGACCTACTTGAACATCTTGGTGCACACAGCCCACTCTGTTGTACTTATGGTGCAGAGTGCCGTGAGCCCGGCAGCTCTCGGCCTCTCCAGGCTCCAGGTCGCCTAGCTGGAATCCAATGGCAGAGCCGATGCTGCAGAGAACCAGGTGCCTCTGTGGCTCCTCTGCAGCTCTGCCTGGCTGGGCATTTGTCAGGGCTGTGCACGGCCTCCGGGCATCGCTGAGGTGCATGCTGTCCTCCAGCACCACATTCTGGGGCTGCAGCTCCCTGGGGGCAGTGCTGTGAGTTCAGGCAGCTGTCCTGTGGCTTGGGTGCCTTCATCTCTTCCTTCCTGATGTGTCCAAGTCATTTGGAAGTTTCTCTGCAACATTTTTCCTGCACCCTTCCTCCTTGTTCTTTATTTTTTTCCTCCTTCACAGACACACAAGGAAAGAAAAATATGTGTTTTTTGGCAAGTAGTTGGTTATGTTTTAAATGAGAAATGTAGAATTAAATCCAAACCCTTCCCTGACCACACTGCCCCAGTGCCCAGCTCTGGCGGTCAGCTCTTCATCTCCCACACCCTCCTCTCCTTCCACCCCTGACCCCAGAGCTCCCTTTGGCCTCATATAAGTGGGATCATGCAGTATTTGTCTTTCTGTCTCACTTATTTCACTTAGCATTCAGGTTCGTCCATGTTGTCCCAAATTGGCAGGATTTCCTTCCTTTTTAAGGGTGAATAATATTCTATTTGTGTGTGTATGTGTGTGTGTGTGTGTGTGTTTGTATGTATATGAAACATGTTTTCTTTATTCATTCATCCATTGTGGACACTTAGGTTGTTTCTGTATCTTGGCTACTGTGAATAAGGTTGCAATGAACATGGCCGCACAGATATCTCCTTGAGATTCTGATTCCATTTCCTTTGGATATAGACCCAGAAGTGGGATTTTTCTCAGTCATATGGTAGATCTATTTTTAAGTTTGGTGAAAGTTCTATATTGCTTTCCATGTGGCTGTACTAATTTGCACCCCCACAGCATACTAGGGTTCCCTTTTCTTCACATCCTACCCAACATTTGTTATCTCCTGTGTTTTTGATAACAGCCATTCTAACAGGTGTTAGGCCATATCTCATTGTGTTTTTGATGTGCATTTCTCTGATGATTAATGATGCTAAGCACCTTTTCATGTACCTGGGGGCCATTTGCATGTCTTCTTTGGGAAAATGTCTATTATCCTTTGCCCATTTTTTGATCAGGTTATTGATTTTTTTGCTCTTGATTCGTATGAGTTCCTTACATATGTTCAATATTAACCCCTTATTAGGTATATGGTTTGCAAATATTTTCTGAGTCTGTAGGTTGTCTTTTCATTTTGTTGTTTGTTTCCTTTGCTGTGCAAAAGCTTTTTAATTTGATATGGTTCCACTTGTTTATTTTTTGCTTTTGTTACCTGGGCTTTTAGTGTTATATCCAAAAAATCATTGTCAAGACCAGCATCAAGGAGCTTTTCTCCTGTGTTTTCTTCCAGAAGTTTTACAGTTTCAAGTCTTACATGTGAGTCTTTAATCAATTTTAAGTCAATTTCTGTATATGGTGTAGGATAGGGTCCACTTTCATTCTTTTGTATGTGGTTATCCAGCTTCCCAATACCATTTATTGAAGAGACTATCCTTTCCCCACTGTGTATTCTTGGCATTCTTGTCAAATATTAGTTGACTGTAACATGCATGGGTTTATTTCTGGGCTGTTGATTCTTCTGTTCTATTGGTCTATATATCTCTTTGTATGCCAGTCATACTGTTTTGATTGCTATAGATGTGTAATATAGTTTGATATCAGGAAGTGTCATGCCTCCAGCTTTTTCCTTCTTACTCAATGTTGACTTGGCTATGTAGGGTCTTCTGTGGTTCCATATAAATTAGAATTTTTTTCTATTTCTATGAAAAATGCCATTGGAATTTTGATAGGGATTGCATTGAATCTGTAGATTGCTTTGAGTAGTTATGGACATTTTAGCAATATTAATTCTTCCAAACCATGAACATGGGATATCTTTCCATTTATTTGTATCTTCTTTGATTTCTTCATTCATGTCTTACTGTCCTGAGTGTACAGATCTTTAAACCTCTTTGGTTAAATTTATTCCTATTTTATTCTTTTTGATGCTATTATAGATGGGATTATTTTCTTTCTTTTTCGGATAGTACATTGTTAGCATATTGAAGTAAAACTGTTATTTTGTATGTGTTCTGATTTTGTATCCTACGAATTTACTGAATTTGTTTATTAGTGTTAGTAGAGTTTTGGTAGAGTCTTTAGGGTTTTCTATATATAAGATCACATCTGTAAACAAATAGAGTTTAACTTCATCCTTTCCAATTTGGACATTTTTAATTTTGTTGTTGTTGTTGTCTAATTGCTCTACTATGTACTTCTGGTACTATGTTGAATAGAAGTGGTGAGAGTGAGCATCCTTGTCTTGTTCCTGACCTTGGAAGAAAAGCTTTCAGCTTTTCACTATGGAGTATAATGTTAGCTGTGGGCTTGTTATATATGGTCTTTATTACGTTGTGGTACATTTATTCTATACCTTATTTGTTGAGAGCTTTTAATTATGAAAGGATGTTGAATTTTCTCAAATGCCTTTTCTGCATTCATTGAGATGATCCTATGATTTTTATCCTTCATTCTGTTAAGGCAATGTATCACATTTATTGATTTGTGTATGTTGAACCTGTCCTTGGATTTGGGAATAATTCCTACTTAATCATGGTATATGATCCTTGTGATGTGCTGCTGAATTCAGTTTGCTAGTATTTTGTTGAGCATTTTTTCTTGTTATACTTTAAGTTTTAGGGTACATGTGCACAATGTGCAGGTTAGTTACATATGTATACATGTGCCATGCTGGTGTGCTGCACCCATTAACTCGTCATTTAGCATTAGGTATATCTCCTAATGCTATCCCTCCCCCCTCTCCCCACCCCACAACAGTCCCCAGAGTGTGATGTTCCCCTTCCTGTGTCCATGTGTTCTCATTGTTCAATTCCCATCTACGAGTGAGAACATGCGGTGTTTGGTTTTTTGTCCTTGCGATAGTTTACTGAGAATGATGATTTCCAATTTCATCCATGTCCCTACAAAGGGCATGAACTCATCATTTTTTATGGCTGCATAGTATTCCATGGTGTATATGTGCCACATTTTCTTAATCCAGTCTATCATTGTTGGACATTTGGGTTGGTTCCAAGTCTTTGCTATTGTGACTAGTGCCGCAATAAACATACATGTGCATGTGTCTTTATAGCAGCATGATTTATAGTCCTTTGGGTATATACTCAGTAATGGGATGGCTGGGTCAAATGGTATTTCTAGTTCTAGATCCCTGAGGAATCGCCACACTGACTTCCACAATGGTTGAACTAGTTTACAGTCCCACCAACAGTGTAAAAGTGTTCCTATTTCTCCACATCCTCTCCAGCACCTGTTGTTTCTTGACTTTTTAATGATCACCATTCTAACTGGTGTGAGATGGTATCTCATTGTGGTTTTGATTTGCATTTCTCTGATGGCCAGTGATGATGAGCATTTTTTCATGTGTCTTTTGGCTGCATAAATGTCTTCTTTTGAGAAGTGTCTGTTCATATCCTTCGCCCACTTTTTGATGGGGTTGTTTGTTTTTTTCTTGTAAATTTGTTTGAGTTAATTGTAGATTCTGGATATTAGCCCTTTGTCAGATGAGTAGGTTGCAAAAATTTTCTCCCATTCTGTAGGTTGCCTGTTCACTCTGATGGTAGTTTCTTTTGCTGTGCAGAAGCTCTTTAGTTTAATTAGATCCCATTTGTCAATTTTGGCTTTTGTTGCCATTGTTTTTGGTGTTTTAGACATGAAGTCCTTGCCCATGCCTATGTCCTGAATGGTATTGCTTAGGTTTTCTTCTAGGGTTTTTATGGTTTTAGGTCTAACATTTAAGTCAATATAAGCAACTTCAGCAAAGTCTCAGGACACAAAATCAATGTACAAAAATCACAAGCATTCTTATACACCAATAACAGACAAACAGAGAGCCAAATCATGAGTGAACTCCCATTCACAATTGCTTCAAAGAGAATAAAATACTTAGGAATCCAACTTACAAGGGACGTGAAGGACCTCTTCAAGGAGAACTACAAACCACTGCTCAATGAAATAAAAGAGAATACAAACAAATGGAAGAACATTCCATGCTCATGGGTAGGAAGAATCAATATCGTGAAAATGGCCATACTGCCCAAGGTAATTTATAGATTCAATGCCATCCCCATCAAGCTACCAATGACTTTCTTCACAGAATTGGAAAAAACTACTTTAAAGTTCATATGGAACCAAAAAAGAGCCCGCATTGCCAAGTCAATCCTAAGCCAAAAGAACAAAGCTGGAGGCATCATGCTACCTGACTTCAAACTATACTACAAGGCTACAGTAAGCAAAACAGCATGGTACTGGTACCAAAACAGAGATATAGATCAATGGAACAGAACAGAGCCCTCAGAAATAACGCCGCATATCTACAACTATCTGATCTTTGACAGACCTGAGAAAAACAAGCAATGGGGAAAGGATTCCCTATTTAATAAATGGTGCTGGGAAAACTGGCTAGCCATATGTAGAAAGCTGAAACTGGATCCCTTCCTTACACCTTATACAAAAATTAATTCAAGATGGATTAAAGACTTGTTGAGCATTTTTACATCTAAGTTCATCAGGGATATTGGCCTGAAATTAATTAATTTTCCCTTTCTTTCTTTCTTTCTTTCTTTCCTCCTTCCTTCCTTTCTTTCTTTCCTTTCCTTTATATCCTTTCCTCTCTTCTTTTCTTTCTCTCTCCTTCCTTCCTTTCTTTCTTTCTTTCTCTCTCTCTCTTCCTTCCTTCCTTCCTTCCTTTCTTTTCTTTCTTCCTTTCTTTCTTTCTCTTTCTTTCTTTCTCTCTCTTTCTCCCTTCCTTCCTTCTTTCCTTCCTTCCTTCTTTCTCTTTCTTTCTCTCTCTCTCTCTTTCTTTCTTTCTTTCTCTCTTTCTCTCTTCTTTTTTTTTGTTGTGTCCTTATCTGGCTTTGGTATGAAGGGTAACACCAGCTTTATAAAACAAGTTTCGAAGTGTTCTCTCTTCATTTTTTGCAAAAGTTTGAAGTTTTACAAAAGTTCCAGTATTGGCATTCTTTAAATGTTTGGTAGAATTTACCTGTGAAGCCATTGGTGAGACTTTCTTTGTTGGAAGGTTTTTGATTAGTGCTTCAATCTTCTTACTTCTTATTGGTCTGTTCAGGTTTTCTATTTTTTCTTGATTCAGTCTTGGTAGGTTGCATGTTTCTAGGAATTTACCAGTTTCTTCTAGGCTATCAATTTGTAGGCATGTAATCTTATGATATCAGTTGTAATGTCTTCTTTTTCATTTATAATTTTATTTATGTGAGTGCTCTTTTTTTTTTCTTGGTAGGTCTAGATAAAGTTCCATCAATTTTGTTTATCCTTTCAAACCCAACTCTTAGTTTTGCTGATCTCTTCAATTGTCTTTCTAGTCTCTGTTTCATTTCTTTCTGCCAATATTTTTTTCCTTCTGTCAACTTTGGGCTTAGCTGGCTCTTCTATTTCCTTGCGGTATAAAGTTAGGTTGTTTATTTGAGCTCTTTCTTCTTTTTTAAAGTTTTATTTTATTTTTAATTAACAAATAAAAATTGTATATATGTATGGGGCACAATGTGGTTTTCAATTCATTTATACACTGTAGTGTCATCCAATCAGGCTAATGATTTTGAGGTAGGTATTCATCACTATAAACTTCCCTCCTAAAACTGCTTTTGCTGTGTCCCATAAATTTTGGTATGTTGTGTTTCCATTTTTGTCTGTCTCAAGATACTTTCTGATTTCCATTTTATTTCTTTTATGACACATTGGTTGCTCAAGAGTGTGTTGCGGCTGGGTGTGGTGGCTCACACCTGTAATCCCAGCACTTCAGGAGGCTGAGGTGGGCAGATCATGAGGTCAGGAGTTCAAGACCATCCTGGCCAACACAATGAAACCCCGTCTCTACTGAAAATACAAAAATTAGTCAGGCATGGTGGTGCTTGCCTGTAGTCCCAGCTACTTGGGAGGCTGAGGCAGGAGAATTGCTTGAACCTGGGAGGCAGAGGCTGCAGTGAGCCAAGACTGCACCACTGCACTCCAGCCTGGGTGACAGAGTGAGACTCCATCTCAAAAAAAAAAAAAAAAAGTGTTGCTTAATTTTTGCATATTTATCAATTTCCCTATTTTCCTTCTGTTATGAATTTCTAGTTTTATACCATTGTGTTCGGAAAATATACTTGATATTATTTACATCTTCTAAAATTTGTTAAGTTCAAGCATGGTGGCTCATGCTTATAATCTTAGTGCTTTAGGAGGTTGAGGCAGGAGGATCACTTGAGACCAGGAGTTCAAGACCAGCTTGGGCAACATAGCAAGACCTCCATCTCTGAAAAAAAAAAAAAATTAGCTGGACATGGTGGTGTACACTTGTAGTCCTAGTTACTCAGGAGGCTGGGGCAAGGGGATTGCTTAAGTCCAGGAGTTCAAGACTAAAGGGAGCTTTGATTACACCACTGCACTCCAGCCTGGGTGACAGAGCAAGACTCTGTCTCTAAGACAAAATTTTTTTTAAAAGAAATAAAATTTGTTAAGACTTGTTTGTGACCTAATATGTGATATATCCTGAAGACTTTTTTGTGTGTGCTAGAGAAGAATGTCTTTTTCTGCTGTTGGGTGGAAAGTTCGGTCTATGTCTGTTAGGTCCACTTGGTGTACAGTGCTGTTCACGTCTGCTGTTTCCTGTCTGGATGTTCTATCCATTGTCTTAAATGGGATATTGAAGTCCCCTATTACATTGCATTGCTGTCAATTTCTCCCTTTATCTCTGTTAATACTGCTGTGCATATTTAGGTGCTCTGGTGTTGGGTGTGTACTTATTTATAACTGTGATAGGTCCCTGTTGAATTGACCATTTTATCAGTGGAAGAGGGTGGGTAATGACCTTCTTTGTCTCTAGAGACAGTTTTTGACTTACAGTCTATTTTGTCTGATATAACTTTAGCTATCCCTGCTGTCTTTTGGTTACCATTTCCATGCAAATGGTAACCAAAAGAAGTTTTGTCTTTCCATCTGCTTGGTATCCCACCTATCTGGAATTTACATGATGACTAGCTGTAAACCTGTGTGACTATGGAGGGGCAGATGCGTGAAGATCAGAGATGCCCTAGATAATTTCCTTGGGGGCTGCCCCCAAACTCTTTCCTTTCTTCTCCCAGGAAGCGATGCTGGCCTTCTGTTTTGCAGGCTCTGTTCATGCATTTTCTGCTTCTCATTTGCTCAGCATGTATTGCTTGCGCTGCAGAGCACTGAAGAAACCAAGAGAGGCACGCCATGCTCACAGGAGCTCACAGCTGGACTCTTGCCAAAGAAACTCGTAGGCACAGAGTGTCGGCTCGACCGGAGAGGAGTGCAGTGATAGAACGGTGGCTGGGTCTGTGAGGCGATGCCTGGGAAGCTAGGTGGTGCGTTCTGTGCCTGGGAAGTGGTTTGGGTGTAGGAAGAGGTGTGCTATATTTCCCAGAGCATGGGCAGGAAGAGAACCTTTGTACAGTCCTTTAAGGCAGTGGTCCCCAACCTTTTTGGCACCAGGGACTAGTTTCATGGAAGACAATTTTTCCATGGACCGTGGGGTGGGACATCATTTTGGGATGAAACTGTTCCACCTCAGATCATCGGGCATTAGTTAGATTCTCATAAGGAGTGTGCAACCTAGATCCCTCACATGCGCAGTTCACAGTAAGGTTCACGCTCCTATGAGAATCTGATGCTGCCGCTGATCTGACAGGAGGCAGAGCCCAGGCGGTCATGCTCACTTGCCCAGCTCACCTCCCACTGTGCGGCCCTGGTACTAGTCCGTGGCAGGGTTAGGAGGGTTGGGGACCCCTGCTTTAAAGCATCTTTTAAGAATTTTTATTATTTTTACTCTTTAGGTCCATTTACCAGAAATTTTTTTATTCCTGATAGCTGAAAATTCTTTTTCTTAAGCATAGAAATTTAGTAGTGTCCATCATTATATCTGAAGTAATGAACTCATCTTCTTCTACAACCATGTAGTTTAAAAAGTTTTATTCCACATCCTAGAGGCGGATCATCAGCGTGCTTTTCCATTTTTTAAATGGGAAGTGATGGTTTCGCCTCCCACGTGGTGTGTGGGGCCCCTTAGCTGGTGGAAGAGGGTGGGTTTCTGAGTGAGGATAGCTGCATCCAGATGTCCCAAGCACTCACTGTGGGCCACAGAGATGCTCATGTGTGGATCACTTGCAAGCCGGTGTGTGTGACGAGGGAGGGGAGAAAGGTGTTGATGGTGGCAGTGGGCGGAGCAAACTTAGCGAGGGTGCTAGGGGTGTCAGTGAGACCACGATGAGCCCAGCTGTCCTGAGAGGGCCATGGCTGTCTGCCTTGTCGTTTGCTCATTTGTGTGTTAATCTGCTAGGACTCATGATTTCATGATGTCCACGGACCTCCTCCAGAGCTGAGGGCTCCTTGAGGTATGTAGTGCAGTTTTCTGATTTTACAAATGAGCAAACAAGGCCCCACGAGGAGAGAGGAGGTGCTCTGGAGTAAGAAAATGCTGGTCTGTATCCTGGGTGCGCGTGTCCTTTGTTTTCCGACACGGGGACAATTATTCAGCTGAGACTGTTTCCTCCTCTGCAAAGTGGATTATCATAGTTCTACTTCATGCAGTTGCTGTGAAAGGTGCAGATGGTGTGTGTAGAGCACTTAATCCAGGGCCGGGTGCACAGTAGTTGCTCAATAAAAATTAGTTATTTTTGCTGCTATCCAATCCTGCTGACCAGTGGCTGGCAGTCATGGCTCTTCACTCTTTTTTGTTTTTTGTTTGAGACGGGGTCTCGCTCTGTTGCCCAGGCTGGAGTGCAGTGGTGCAATCTTGGCTCACTGCAGGCTCTGCCTCCAGGGCTCAAGCAATTCTCCCACCTCAGACTCCCGAGTTACTGGGACTATAGGTGTGTGCCACCACACCTGGCTAATTTTTTTTATTTTTAGTAGAGATGAGGTCTTGTGATGTTGGCCAGGCTGGTCTTGAACACCTGGCCTTAAGCAATCTGCCTGCCTTGGCCTCCCAAAGTGCTGCGATTACAGGTGTGAGCCACCGTGCCAGGCCGGCTCTTTGCTCTTTACTGGAAGTCTCCTTTCCGTCCAGACAAAGTTAGCCCAAAGGTTAAGCCAGAAGAAAGGAACGTGTCATAGAGTGAGGTCACAGGGCTGGCTTGGAGCAGGCTTCATCCCTATCTGCTCTGTCCCTGCAGTGACTTCCTCCTGTCATCCATGGGCTGTATTTGCATGCTGTCACATCCTGTTCTACTAATGAAGACTTAATTAAATATCAAAAAAGAGACATACCAAAGTGGGAAGTGTCTTCGCCTTGTTCTCTGTAGGGCGGATAGGACAGCCTGGCTCTGGTGCCTGCTCACCATGTCCAGCGGGTGACCCTCCACTCTCAGCGCCATGGCTGTCAAGTTGGGGATGAATGCCTGCCCTGCCTGCTTCCTGGGGCCACCCTTGGCATTGGATAAGGAAGTATTCTTAAAATGGGTCCTAAACTGGCTGGGCGCGGTGGCTCATGCCTGTAATCCCAGCAGTTTGGGAGGCGAGGTGGGTGGATCACCTGAGGTCAGGAGTTGGAGACCAGCCTGGCCAACATGGTGAAACCCCGTCTCTACTAAAAATATAAAAACTAGCCAGGTGTGGTGGTGGGTGCCTGTAATTGCAGCTACTTGGGAGGCTGAGGCAAGAGAATTGCTTGAACCCAGGAGATGGAGGTTGCAGTGAGCCAACGTGGTGCCACTGCACTCCAGCCTCGGCAACGGAGTGAGACTCCGTCTCAAAAAAAAAAAAGCGTCCTAAACTAAGACTGAAAAGCAGAGAACGAACAGAAGGAATTATTAGAGTTTGGTAGCAAGTTATTGGATTTTAGGTATTTACATTTAAAACAAACAAAACAACTCTTAAAAAGTGAAACTGTGAAAAGCCAACACCTAGTATCACATTTCCTGAAAATGAACTTTGAATCTAGTACTACACATTATAAATGATATAATTTTAGTCAGAATTTGCATTTCAGGTAATTACTGGTAAAGGGAGTCAGTTTCTGTGAGATGGAAGCTGTGAAAAAATGGAGTGGAAGTCCCTTTAGGGGATTAAGAAATGAATAATGCATGCTAGCGTTTAATTTTCCGCTTGTTCTTGCCACATTCTTTTTGTATTTTTTTAACAAATTTATTGAGGTATAATTTAAATACCATTAATTTCACCCCTTGGAAATGTACAATTAAGTTATTTTTACCAGATTTAGAGTTCTGCCACCATCACAAGTTCTAGAACATTTCATCACCCCATAAGGATCCCTGGGACCCGTTTCCAGTCAACCTTTGTTGCTTTCCCCAGCCTTGGGCAGCCCTGATCTTTCTGTTTCTCTAAATTTACTTTTTCTGGAAAGTTCATATAGATGGACCGACCCCATCTTCTGTGTCTGGCTTCTTTCCCCAGCATCACTTCTAAGCATTCATCCGTGCACGAGCTGTGCCGCATTTTCTTTATCCCTTCACCACGGATGGACATTTGGAAAGTTTCCAGTTTTCGCCTCCTTTGTATAATGTTGTTATGAGCATCAGTGCTTTGTGTGGACATGTGTTTTCATTTCTTTTGGGTGGATTCCTAGTAGAATTGCTGGGTCATATGGTAAATTTATGTTTAACTTCGTAAGAAACTGCCAAACTGCTTTCCACAGTGGCTAGCCCATTTTACATTCCCACTAGCAATGTATGAGGGCTCCAATTCTCCACATCTTGGCCTTTTCTCATATTTTGTCTTAGAAATTCCACTTCCATTTGAATTATAATCAAATAGAAAAGATGCTTTTGTGATAACACAGACATCTCAATTAGATGAAGTGTTGGACTGTGTACCTTTGGTTTAACAGCAGCCTAGTAATTGGGAGGAATTGATTTATGTTGCTGAACAAATGGGCCAGTTGCCAAGGGAGCATATGGCAAATAATTAATGACAGTTTGCTATGGCCTTTCTCATAGAACATACTCCATCTGGCCTTCCGCTGCTTTATCAGGGTCATCTAATTATTTAGGAAATGCAAGCAGCTTCCCTTAGATGGC
The DNA here is from genome assembly GCF_000001405.40 of Homo sapiens. Classification (NCBI taxonomy): domain Eukaryota; kingdom Metazoa; phylum Chordata; class Mammalia; order Primates; family Hominidae; genus Homo; species Homo sapiens. The sequence continues at coordinate 125,101 of NT_187660.1, read as the reverse complement.
ACGTTGGTGGTAGCTGTATGTGTCTGTGGGGTGTCCAGGCCTGAAACATCAAGACCCATGACTTATCATTTGAATAGATGTGGTACACAGTGGCAGATATAGACCCCCTCATGTCCACACAGGCTTTCGTGTGTGCTAACTCCCTCGTGCACTGGAACGCGGTAATTTCCTGTGCTTCTTTCCAGATCGTGCACAGAACTCTGGCAGCCATGCTGGGTTCCCTTGCAGCACTGGCAGCACTGGCTGTGATTGGCGATGTAAGTTGTCACAGTCCCAATCCCTGGCTTACCACTCAGTGGGATGTCAGCTCAAAGATGTTCCAGGATTCAGGCTTTCGCTGGTTTTTTCACTATTTTATATGCCACGTCCATGTTTTTGCCCAAGAACCATGCTAGAGGTATGAACTAACAAGCTACAGCATTGAAGAGTACTTTTCATTAGGTTTTGTCACACACTCACATCCCAGTGGTGTGATTCCTCATCGTGGTGGAGGAAAGGCTCCTCATGGGCATGTTTGCCTAGGGCTGTGGAGCTGGGTTGTGATGGGGCTGGATCTGGGTGTTGGAACTAGAGGGGACCGTCCTAGCTGGTGCAGAAAGGTGGGAGTCAGTTGGGCCAGGGTCTGTCCTGAAGAGATCAGGAGGCCCCTGGAGAGGCGTGTTTGGGGATGAGGGTGTCCTGTTTGGGTCTGAGCAGGGCCTCTCTGGCAGGGACATGGGAAACAAATGTAGGGAAACAACAGAGACCAGTGGCCACTGGGGATGGAGGCCCAGAGTTGTCTGAGAGGCAGTGCTGGAACCCAGCTGAGAGTGGGACAGCTGCCATGCCAGTTCCTGTCATCTGGTCTCAGGCACGGCACTGCAGAGAGCACATACAGACTCCACTCGGAATGTAACCAGGGGCCAGTCCCGCCATGTGGGAGCTGCCAGAGGCAGGGGCTAGAAAAAACTTTATTACTAAATGCATAGATTTGACATTATAGATGCCCTGGGTCAAGACTGTTTTTCAGCAGCGATATAATCCAACTTCAAAGGCAAGTGGATGGTGAGATTTCCAACCCTGGCCCGCCCACTGAGTGGGTCTGCAGCAGGGGGCAGCGCTTCATTAGGCTCATCACTGGGATGGCGGCGCACGGATTAATTGGCAAATTTGTGCTTTGATTGCAGAGACCCAGCCTGACCCATGTGGTGGAGTGGATTGATTTTGAGACGCTGGCCCTGCTGTTTGGCATGGTAATTACAGCTCTCCCCGTGGGACTGGGCTCCACGCCTGCGGTAACCGGGCCTTCTCTGGCCTCCACCGCTGAGGGTCCTTCATTATGTTAAAGACACAGCGCCTAGGGCTTGACTGAGAAGTGTTAGTGCAGGTCTCATGAATCTCCTGAGGAGGAATGGAATGGGGCTATGGTTCGTGGGCGGGAGAATTTCAGCCCAAGGCGTGTCTGACGATGAAGTCATATTGCCATTTAGAAAAGCTAGCAATTCTTTTGAGTTATTTCCGTTAAAATAAAAAAAAATGGACTATCCCAAATAAATAAACCATGTAGGAGTTTCAGTGGGAGAGAGAGTACCTTTCATTATGTGAATAAAGGAAGGTGTCACTCCTAAGTATTAGTTGGGTGTTTACCAATTGATCATAGTGCCCAGTGGCCACTCTGCTGTGAGGAATGCCACCAAGTCCACCTGCAGGATCTCGAAGTGCCCAAGCGGGCTAGTGTGGGACTCACTAGTGTGAGTCCTAACCCAGCTTAACTAGAACCAGTGGAGCCTGGGCAGCAGGGGCAGTCCACGTGTTCCTCAGCAGACCCCAAACAGTCCAGTGGTCTGCAGGAGGGCTCTTCCTCTCTGGGCTAGAAGACTTGCTCTGTGTACAGCTGGGCACGATAGATCCTCATTTTCCTTGCCAACATTTCGTCCCTCCCAAGGCTGGCTGACATAACGGAGGGCCCAGCTATGTGACCTGATGGAAACCGTGCCGCCATCCTCTGTGGGTGGTGCGCAGGGAGGCAGGCCAGTGCTCTAACCCTGGCTTCACAGAGTAACTAATACTTGTGTCGGGCCTGAGACGTATACAGAGTTTGGGCATCTGGATAGAAGAGAGGAAGTGTACCAGATATCCCTGAGATACGCCTTTTTTAAAAAAGGAATGCTATATTAGTTTGCTAGGACTATGTAACAAAGTACCACAGACCGTGTGGCTTAAATAATATAAATGTATTTTCTCACAGCTCTGGAGGCTGCAAGTCTGAGATCACGGTGTGGGCAGGCATGCTTTCTCCTGAGCCTCCCTCCTGGGCTTGTAGATGGCACCTTCTCCCAGCGTTTTCACTTTGTCTTCCCCGTGTGTTTCTGATTCCTGAGACCCTCATCCTATAAGGACATCAGTCACACTGAATGAGGGCTCACCCTAACAACCTCATTTTAATTTAATTACCTCCTTCAACGCCCTCACTCCAAATACAGTCTCACATTCCCAGGTACTAGGGGCTAGGAGGTGAACATATGAATTTTGGGGGACACAGCCTATAAAAATGGCTTCAGCACGTTTTTCTCGGTGGAATTCAGTTCAGCGAGCACTGGCAGGTTCTGTGATTCTGGAACTGCAGGGTACAGGGTCGTTACAACCAGGTCCCTGCCTCTTCTCCCCCATTTCCTGGCAGCCAACCACCCATGGGACCATTTACCCCCATCCCTGAGTTCTAGTCTCCCAGGGTGGTTCTGTCAGCAAATGTGTAAAACACCACATGGGTCTCCACACGCCTGTCTCCTCATGCGTATTCACGTGAAGCTACATTGGTGTGCGAAGCCCCACGCTCCACCGTCAGCTCTCAGTGGCCTTTTGGGTGAGGATGAACATTGATGGTCACTCTGGACATGGTGGATATTTACACTGGGTCTAAATTGACTGGGGACATTTTTGTTTTCTATAGTTTATTTGAGAGACAATAGTGTCTGTTGGGACTCCTGTTTACTGAGTATTGTAATTTGAATAATTATATTGCATTTTCATAACCTGACAAAGTATAGAACATTCACAGGTAAGGTGAGAAAACTGAAGGACAGAAAGGTTAATTCATATTTTTGTTCAAGTTCGGACTTTTTTTTTTGAGACAGAGTCTCGCTCTGTCTCCAGGCTGGAGTGCAGTGGCGTGATCTTGGCTCACTGCAAGCTCCCCGTCCTGGGTTCATGCCATTCTCCTGCCTCAGCCTCCTGAGTAGCTGGGACTACAGGCGCCCGCCACCCCACCCAGCTAATTTTTTGTATTTTTTTTTTTTTTTTAGTAGAGATGGGGTTTCACCATGTTAGCCAGGAGGGTCTCGATCTCCTGATCTCGTGATCCGCCCGCCTTGGCCTCCCAAAGTGCTGGGATTACAGGCGTGAGCCACCACACCCAGCCTCAAGTTCAGACTATTTTTAAGTGGCAGAATCAGGATCTGAACTTGCATCTTCTCATTCCAAGTTCAACACATGGTGACTGCCATCAAAGAGGTGAAGCAGAGGAACTTCCAGAACATTCACTAGCTGAGATGTCTGGTTGATAAAATTCAGAATAACTGGGACATGACTTTTTATTAGGATCCAGGATGGCTGTTTCTGTTTTCACTAACTCATCATCCTCACTGGAAAGAAACAGGTGATAGGCATTCTGGGTTCACCTGGAACCCAGGGAGCAATCATTTCAATAAAACTCTCAAATTGGTGACAAAAATCAGTTTAATTATTTTAGAAAACAAAATTGAACCCAATTTTAGCATCATAGAATGTTTAAGTGTTGCTTGTGTGGACACGTAGGTGCAGAAGGCCACATGCTGGCTCCCGCCCGGCTTCTAGATTTGTGGCTGTGAGCAACCCACCTCGCACTCTGATCCCATTTTCTAGTCTATAAAACAGAGGGTGAAAATAACACCTGATTTTTTTGTGTGTGAGGATCAGATGGGATGGTAATGTGCCTTGAGGACAAATCCCTGGACACACATATAGGCACAAAACTGCTAGCAAGAGGCTCCATTCAAGGAGTGAGTGAGTGTACTATTCCAGGAAGTGACGGTCTTTCTGCATCTCAGAGTGAGGAGCTTGGTGATGTGGTGGCTTTCAGAGGCCAGAGCTCAAATGTGTAAGGGATCATGCTGATGTCGTTTTAATATGGTGTCCTGCTAAAAGATTATCCTTGTCTTCTTCTTTTCCCCGTAGATGATCTTAGTAGCCATATTTTCAGAAACGGGATTTTTCGATTATTGTGCTGTAAAGGTAGGTATGATGTTGCATTTAATAATTCTATCCTGATTAATTTATATATGTATTTTTCTGACATTATATATTTAGGAAACAAACATTTAAAACAAACATTGAAAAATTCCATCCTTCTTTTAAAGGTTGCTTCTGCAGGGCAGGGTATACTTGCTATGTTAAGTTGTATGGCTCTGAGCAGCACTTTCAGCTGCTCAGTAAATAAATGAAGAAGGAGGTCAAGGAAAAGGGTACTCAGGTTGAATCGTTGTGTATTATTTAAATTGTCTGGTGAGAGCTACACATCAAAAATTGTTTTACATATTAGAGTATCCCAATATTTCAAGCCATTAGCTTCTGATTACTTTGCTTTTTGGTGAAATAATTTCCATGATTACTTCCTAAATATTGAATATATACACATTTACATTTTTAACTGGAACCCTGGGGAGCTTCACCAGCCAGCTCTGGCCTCCAGGATTTGTACCTGTCCTGTCATTCAGGGTTGGCAAGAGGAGAGCTCAACATGTACCATGCCCTGCTAATGCAGTCTAGTGCTGTGCTTGAATATATATTATTTTTGAAACTGAAAAGGTCTTTTTAAAAATTACTCAACAGGCTGGGCGCAGTGGCTCACGCCTGTAATCCTAGTACTTTGGGAGCCCAAGGTGGGCAGATCACGAGGTCAAGAGGTTGAGACCATCCTGGTGAACATGGTGAAACCTCATCTCTACTAAAAATACAAAAATTAGCTGGGCGTGGTAGCACACGCCTGTAATCCCAGCTACTCGGGAGGCTGAGGCGAGAGAATTGCTTGAACCCCAGGCGTGGAGGTTGCAGTGAGCCGAGATCACACCACCAAACTCCAGCCTGGGTGGCAGAGTGAGACTCTGTCTCAAAAAAAAAAAAAAATTACTCAACAAAGCCCTTTGCAAACTCTGAATGATGGAACTGTGCTGTGATTTTTGTCATCTTTGAGCCCCACCTTATACATGCCAGGTAGATATTTGGTCTATTACTCCTTACTATTAAAAGTATCCCTTAGTTCCCCAGAGATCAGCAGACACTAGGCTCACATGGATCCCAAATGTCAAAGCCCAGGTTGTCTAACCAGAATACCGATGGCATTACGGGGACTGAGGGTCATCACCTTGTGACAAATTAACCATCACAGGGGCTCTGTGAAGGAAGAGGATCAGAGGGGTGACAGTGCTGGCTAGGGAGGATTTAGAATGTCTAGGAACTTCGATGGCCAGCACTGTCTCATCTCGGCCCCCCTAGGACTCCGTGGGTCTATGTCTTAACCCATGGGGTAATGTTAGTTTGGCTCCCTGTTCTTAAAGTCACTAATGAAAGGCTGCCTCTGTTCTACGAGCCTGCTCACTCTGGCTTGTACTCTCTCTGTGTGTGTGTGGCCAGGCATACCGGCTCTCCCGGGGACGGGTGTGGGCCATGATCATCATGCTCTGTCTCATCGCGGCCGTCCTCTCTGCCTTCTTGGACAACGTCACCACCATGCTCCTCTTCACGCCTGTGACCATAAGGTACGCAAAGCACCTCTGCCGTGGGAGTTGCGGCCAGGTTCTGGCAGGCAGGGGCTCTGCCTGCACTGCCTGGCTCCAGGTTCCATTCTCAGGTGCATGAAAAGGTGGGGGCAGTTGAGCCCACAGCTCACTGCATTCCAGTCCAGCTCGTGTCTGCTTTGTGTGACTGCAGTACATGCTACAAGCAGTGGGGCCTCAGAAGCTGGTGGCAGAAATGCCTGCAGGAGGTGGAAGACATAGGCCTTGCTTTCCTGGAGATTGTGGTCTCATGGGGAGACATGTGGACAAGAATGGCTCACCCCTGGTGAAACCCCGTCTCTACTAAAAATACAGAAATTAGCCAGGCGTGGTGGCACGTGCCTGTAATCCCAGCTACTGGGGAGGCTGAGGCAGGAGAATCCCTTGAACCCGGGAGGCGGAGGTTGCAGTGAGCTGAGATTGCGCCACCACACTCCAGCCTGGGCAACAGAGCGAGACTCCGTCTCAAAAAACAAACAAACAAACAAACAAAAAACGGCTCACCCCAGACCACCAGGTGCCCAGGTGCCAGGAGTCCCTGTCCATGTTCTTCTCCATCACCATCTGCTGAGGTGGTGGGAGGCCTCTGAGTGAGACCCAAGGCCGGGTCCTGTGTGGGAGTGGGCTGTGTGGATGAGCAGGTGTAGGGGATGCTGTGATGTGCCTTCTACACTTTCTTTAGAGCAATGTTTCCCAGCTGTGTGCATACTGGGTCCCCTGGGGAGCTGTAGAGCACCACTGCCCGGGCCCACTCCCAGGCACTGGTCTGCGCTGGGCGAGTCGTAGGACTCCCAGATTCCAGCACAAATCTAGTGTGAGGCCATGGTGGAGCTCCACAGCTGTAGAATGTGGCTTAGACAGATCTGTAGGGTGAATACAGTTAGCATGAATTGATTGTACACTCCAAGATAGCTAGAAGAGAATAACTGGAATGCTCCCAGGGTAAAGAACAGATTGATATTTAAGGGGATGGTTATCCTAGTTACCTGGTTTGATTATGTGAATTATTACATTATCATATGCACCCTGAAAATGTATGTATGTATATATATATCTAGTATGTTTTATAGCAATACAAAGTAAATACATAGAAAATACATAGATGAATAAAACAAAGGGAGGGGGTGAGAAGAGAGCCTAGGGCCTTGGTGTCCAGGAAGGGGGAGGTGGGAAAGGGGCTGAGTCAGCAGGCCCTGTGTGAGCCATCCGCACTGCCTCCACACTGACCCCCACAGCACTGGCTTGCCTGTGGAGGGCCTGCCCTGCCCTGGGGGCCAGTGCTCCCTCCAGACCTGGGAGCATTGGGGAAAGGGTACCTGACCACACCGAGGGTTTGGTGGCTGGAGGCTCACTCTGGAAAGGAATGTAACTCTCGGAGTGAGCTGTGGCCTGCGGGGGTTGTTGCAGTTGTTCATTCCCCCCAGCACTGCCTTCCCCACAGGGGTGTGTGTGTGTGCGCGCCTCCCTTATACGAGCAAGCGCCTTAAAAATCTCTGGGTTGCATGTGGGCCTTTCACGATGTGTATAGTGGGACTACTTTCATTTTCTTCCATTTGTGACAGGTTGTGTGAGGTGCTCAACCTTGATCCAAGACAAGTCCTGATTGCAGAAGTGATCTTCACAAACATTGGAGGAGCTGCCACTGCCATCGGGGACCCTCCAAATGTCATTATTGTTTCCAACCAAGAGCTGAGGAAGATGGTACGTACCAGCATGCTAGGGTTGCTTCCAGTAAACGCACACCTCCACTTAGTTAGAGCTCTACCCCACATGGACGCCTTTGTTAGAAATCAAGATCATCACGCCACCTCTTCACAGTAAGTGCTACTGGGCATCTCAAGACTGGGATGTTAGGTGACTGGTCCTTCAATCCTAGAGTTAACTGGCTTGAATTGACTTCATACTCATTCTGATCAGTTTTTAAAGAAATGACTGGATAGCATGATGTAGTTAGTCATAGTATGTTATATTAATTGTATTAATAGGAACTGAGGTTTCTTCCAACCTACATTAAAAACAAAATGACCTGTTCCCTCTCACTGGAGATATGGGATTCCCAAACTGTGGTGGATTAGTTTACTGATGAAGGACTTAAAATTTATTTTTTAAGGGTCAGAAATGAATGTCTTTAGAAATTCTTTGAAAGCCCCATATAAATATTAGGGTATAATTTCTTTGTATACTGTAATAAAGACAAAGTATTAGAAAGTGCAAGGTATTCTACATATCTTCAAGGTGAAAATTGAACTATATCATTAATTTTTATTCTCTACTCTTTGATCATTAGAATTTTCTCAATCTTCCTCCTCTGAGGCATCAGTGAAAATGCTTCCACATTGGTGTTATTTCTTGTAGATGATGTGTTTGTGTGTGTGTGTGCCTGAAGGGTAGCAGTGTGTTTGTATTTGAACGCTGTGTTCCATAAAAATATTTAAACATTTGAGAATCCATGGCTCCAGGGTGTTAATGGCCGCTTCATGGAAGCAGTGCGCTCCAGAGGTTCTGGGTATGGCTCTGCATTCCCTAGCTGCCGTGGGAAACTGCTTGGCAACACTTCACCAACTTTGCCATGTGAACTGAGGTGTGCAGCCATGGTCATGCCACCCTGGAGCATGTCAGGTGGTAACAGACCCTGCAGTTTATGCTAGGGGCACCTGTTATCCAGGATGGAGCTCATGCTCATGGAATAGAAGTATTTTTAGAAAAAAATTGTATTGTTAGTTTCATTCCATAAACAGGTAATACTTTTTTTGGTAGAAAACAGAAGTCTCACAGACATGCACATGCACATACAATAAAAATTCATAATTCCAAAAACCAGAGGTAAATTCTTTTAATATTTTGGTGCAAATAGCATCCTAGAGTGTTTGTATGTGGATATAGATGAGTACAAAAGACAGCACAGCTTCTGCTTCTGGCCAACATGGAATAACAGGGCCTGGATTTACTCTCTTGCCTGGGATAGTCAAACAAAACAAAAATAAACCAAAACCAGACAAAACACATGGAACAATGGTAACCAAGTCACTGGATAACAGGCACAAAGGGACAGTGATCCCTGTGAGACGGGAAACAAATGCGGTGAGCTCTATGACTGCTCCAGCTCACTACCTCAAGAGAGCTTCCAGAGTGCAGTGCAGGGAGGGACGACCCTGGCCAAGCCCATGACACCCCCTGAGTTGAGAGGATGAAGCTGAAAGTCTGGGGAGACCAGGGCAGCGAGAGTCCAGAGAGGACACAGCCGAACCACAGAGATCCTCAGAGGGTCCCTTTGGAGTGTTCAGCAGAGTGTTCAGATCAGTGCATTCATGCGAGGAGACTACATGAGACCCGGGGAGAACAACCCAGAAAGATGAGAGGGACAAGTGCTTGACGCACACGACAGGAATAGTAATGATATCTGTTCTGCCAGGCAGACTGGAACCTCTTAATTTATGGAGCACTGGGTAGAGTACTCACAAGTGTCTTGCCTCAGTTATGAGGGGTAATTAACTATAAACTGAACACTGCTCTGCTTCCACCTAAGAAATCTTGAAACTAAGACCCCAAAGAACCAAACTGTTTCTAAGTATTTTAACTGCATCCTAGAACAAATGTCAAGAATATTTAGAGTGATACAAAAATATTCAACAACACACAGGGTAAAATTTACAATGTCTGGCAACCAATCACTGATTATCAGGCATGTAAAGAAGCAAGAAAATATAACCTATGACAGCGATGATACAAACCATTTGAAACTAACGTAGAACAGGCACAGGTGTTAGAATTAGCAGACTAGGACATTAAAAGTGTTATTATAATGGTGTTACAGATATTCACCAAGTAGCAACATTAAAGATATTAAAAAAGCCCCACATCAAACATCTAGACATGAACATTACAATGTCTGAGATAGAAATACACTTGCTGGGATTAGTGGCATATTAAATATTACATAAGGAAAGATTAATGAAGACATAAATCCAAAATGAAATGGAGTAAAAAGATAATAACAAGGACTGAAAAGCATTAGTGAGCTATGGGAAAATTTCAAGTGGCCTAACATATGCAATTCTCATCTCTGAAGGAGAGAGGGGAACGGAAAAAGGCATCTGAAAAATGGTCCTAAATTCCAAATTTTATGAATGGTATAAACCCACAGAATCAAGAAGTTCAATGAAGCCAGAGCCCAAGAAACACGTAGAATACTACAGTAAGACACATCATAATCAAATTATTTGAAAGCAAGATGAAGAGAAAATCTTAGTTTCCAAAGAAAAAGACATGTTACAGGCGAGGAAACAGAGATAAAGACGACAATATATTTCTCTTTAGAGATAATGCACGTGTGAAGGCAACGGAGCAATACCTTTAAATACTGAAAGAAAACACCTGTGATCTCAGAATACTACACCCGGTGAAAATCTTTTTCTTATGTACAAAAAACAGACTTTTTCTCATATAGAAAAGCTAAAAAGAATGCATCAGCAGCAGACCCACATGGTAAGACATACTAAAGGAAGTCCTTAAGGCAGAAGGAAAATAACACCAAATGGAAACATGGATCTTCACAAAGTCATGAAGAATACTGAAAAGGGTAACTACATGGGGAAATTCACATAATTTAAAAAATTACTGGCCGTGCGCGGTGGCTCACGCCTGTAATCCCAGCACTTTGGGAGGCTGAGGCGGTCGGATCATGAGGTCAGGAGATCAGGACCATCCTGGTTAACAAGGTGAAACCCCGTCTCTACTAAAAATACAAAAACTTAGCCAGGCGTGGTATTGGGTGCCTGTAGTCCCAGCTACTCTGGAGGCTGAGGCAGGAGAATGGCGTGAACCCATGAGGCGGAGCTTGCAGCGAGCCGAGATCGTGCCACTGCACTCCATCCAGCCTGGGCAACAGAGCGAGACTCTGTCTCAAAAAACAAAAAAAAATTAAGCCACTTTGAGATAATTGTTTAAAGAAAACAGTAATGTAACATGTAAGTAGAATTGATGACAACAATAAAATAAAGCCTGGAAGGGAAGAAATTAAAGTATATTAATGTGTCAGGTGCGGTGGCTCACACCTGTAATCCCAGCACTTTGGGAGGCTGAGGCGGGTGGATCATGAGGTGTGGAGATCGAGACCATCCTGGCTAACACGGTTAAAACCCGTCTCTACTAGAAATACAAAAAAAAAAAAAAAAAACACTAGCTGGGCATGGTGGCACGTGCTTGTAGTCCCAGCTACTCAGGAGGCTGAGGCAGAAGGATTGCTTGAACCCAGGAGGCGGAGGTTGCAGTGAGCCAAGACTGTGCCACTGCACTCCAGCCTGGGTGAAAGAGTGAGACTCTGTCTCAAAAAAAAAAAAAAAGTATATTAATGTAAGATTTTTTATAGTATATGTAAACTAATATAATTTGAAGGTAGTCCGTGAAAGTTAAAAATGTATATGATAAACTCTAAAGCAACCGCTAAAAGGAAAAACAAAGAGTAACAGCTAATGCCAACAAAGAATATAAGTGGAATCATAAATAGTATTTATTTAATGGAATGGAATTTAGAAAAAAGGCAAAAGGAAGCAAAGAAATGGTGGAACAAATATAAAACAAATTGCAAGAGTTAAACCTAACTATATTTAATAATTACATAACATATAAATAGTTTAAATATCCCAATTAAAAAGCAGGGATTGTCAGATCAAACAAACAAGCCCCATCCAACTATAGATGCTCCTCAGCTAACTTTGGGATTACATCCAGATAAACTTACTGTAAGTTAAAAATATCATAAGCCAAAATGTGTTTAATATACCTAACCTACTGAACATCATAGCTTAGCCTAAGCCCACCTTAAATGTGCTCAGAACACTTACATTAGCATATAGTTGGGCAAAATCTAACACAAAGTCTACTTTATAATAAAGTGCTGGATAGCTCATGTAACTTATTGAATATTGTACATTACATCAAAGTTGAGATGCTTTTGCACCATTGTGAAATTGAAAAATTGTAAATGGAACCAAATTAAGTCAGGGAACATCTGCATTATGCTGCTTACAAGACACAAGTTTAAAATATAAAGATACAAGGCCAGGCGCGGTGGCTCATGCCTGTAATCCCAGCACTTTGGGAGGCCGAGGCTGGTGGATCACCTAAGATCAAGAGTTCAAGACCATCCTGGCTAACATGGTGAAACCCCGTCTCTACTAAAAGTACAAAATATTAGCCGGGCATGGTGGCAGGCACGTGGAATCCTAGCTACTTGGGAGACTGAGGCAGGAGAATCGCTTGAACCCGGAAGATGGAGGTTGCAGTGAGACAAGATCACCCCATTGCACTCCAGCCTGGGTGACGAGTGAAACTCCGTCTCAGGAAAAAAAAAAACGTCTCTCTCTCTCTCTATATATATATACACACATATATACATATAGACACAAGTTAAAAGTAAAGGAATGGCAAAAGATTCATCAGAACAAAGTGGCTATATTAATATCTGACAAAGTAGACTGCAGAGCAAAGAATATTTCTAGGATTAAAGAACATTTCATCATAATAAAGGGGTAAATTCATATAGTGAACATAAAAATTACATTTATACAACCAATGACAGAGCTTTAAAATATGTGAAACTTGATAGTACTGCAGGAGGAATAGATAAATCCTTAATTATAGTTGGAGAGTTCAGTACAATTCTCACAATAATTGAAAGAACAAGTAGAGAGAAAATCTACAAGGATATAGAAAACTTCATTATTGTTAACTAACATGACCTAGTTGATATTTATAGAAAACGCCACTCAATATCAGAAGAATGTATATGTTTTTCCAACTGCACTTGAAACATTAACCGAAATGGATTCTAGGCCATAAGACAGATCTCAATAAACTTAAAAAGATTCAAGTAATATAAAATATTTTCTGTGACCACAGTTGAATTAAATTAGAATATAATAACAAGGATATGTGGAAAATCCTCAAATATCTGGAAACTAAATAACACACATTTCAGTAATCCAAGGGTCAAAGAAGAAAGTGAGATTGAAATTAGAAAGTATTTTTGTACTCATCAGCTTGGAATGCGATAACCAAATACCATAGACTGGGCAGCTTAAATAACAGCAATTTATTCCTCACAGTCGGGAGGCTAGAAAGTTCAAGATCCAGTGGATCTCATTCCCTGGTGAGGGCTGTCTTCCAGGCTTGCAGATGGCCGCTCTCTCACTGTGTCCTCATGTGGCAGGGAGGCGGGGAGAAGAGGCAGAGATGAAGCTCTCTGGTGTCTCTTCTTATACAGGCATTAATCCCAGTGTGAGGGCTCCACCCTCATGACCTCATCTAAGCCCTATCACCTCCAAAAGACTCCATCTCCTAATACCACCCCATTGAGGGGGCGAGGTAGGGCTTTGGCCACAGTACTTTCGGGGAAACACAATTCAGTCCTGAGCAATTTTGTGTTGAATTATAGTGAAAACAGAACATATCAGAATTTGTGGGATTCCTCTATAGCAGAAGTCAGTAGACTTCTTAAAAGGCCATATATAGTTAATTTTATAGACGTGTGGGCTGTATGGTCTCCATTGCAATTACTCAGCTGCACCACTATATAGCAAGAAAGCAGCCATAGACAACACATAAATGAATGGATATGGCTATATTCCAGCTCCACGTGTGCTAGTCCCTACTCTAAAGCAGTATTTAGAAGGAAATTTATAACACTAAACACCTGTATTTGAAAAGATGTGTCTCAAATCCATAACCTCAGCTTTATCCTATGGAATCAGAAAGAGAAATTAAACTAAAAGTAAGCAGAAGAAAAAAATATATACAGACTAGAAAAATAGGGAACATCAACGAAAGCAAAAGCTGGTTCTTTGACAAGATCAATAATATTGATAAACATCTCGCCAAGCTGATGAGGAAAATGAGACAGAAGATTCAAGTTACTAATATCAAGAATAAGAGTTGTTATATTACAACAGAGCATACAGACATTAATACTATTCTTAGAGAAGATCATGGACAACTCTATGTAAACTATTTGACAACTTAGATAAAATAAACAATTTTTTGGAAACACACACTCTTTAAAACTTCACTCAAGAAGAAGTAGGTAACCTGAGTAGCCCTGTATCTATAGAAAGAATCAAATATGTAGTTAAAAACCTTCCCACAAAGAACAAAACAAACATAAACAAACAACTCAGGCTAAGATAGCTTCTTTGGTGAATTCTCCCAAATAATTAAGGAAAAAATAATGTTATAATACCAATTCTATACAAAGCTTTACAGTAAATTGAAGAGGTGAGAATATTTCCCAATTAATTCTATGAGGCCTTGATATGTGAACTAGACAAAACCAGTATGAGAAAAGGCAACTATAGATAAATATTTCTTGTGAACATAGATTTAATATTTAAAAAATTAGTAAATCCAATTTAACAATATCTAAATAGGTAATACATCTTAACCAAGTAGAATTTATCCAGGAATGGAAGATTCTTATATTTGAAATATTAATCAATGTAATTTACTATACTAACAAACTAAATGAGAAAACCATATGATCATCTCAATAGATGCAGAAAAAACATTTGGCAAAATCCGATATCTATTACTGATAAAATCTCTCAAGAAACTAAGGATAAAAGAGAAATTCATCAACCCAATAAAGAACATCTGAGAATCTATAGCTAGCATCATACTTCATTGAGAATAACTGAATGATTTCCCTCTAACATCAGAAACAAGACAAGGATATCTGTTCTCACTATTTTTATTCAACATTTTATTGGAGGCTGTAGCTCACGTGATAATGCAAGAAAAGAAATACAAAGCATCAATATTGGTAAGGAAGAATTAAAAGTCTTTATTTGCGGATGACACAATCGTCCATGTAGAAGATTTGGTGCAGTCCACAAAAGAGCTCCTACAAATAAATAAATTTGACAAGGTTGCAGGATACGGAGTCCATATACAAAAATTAATGGTTTTCTATATTTAGCAATAAATAACTGAAAATTAAAATTAAAATTTCACTTACAGTAGCACAAAACATATGCTGTATTCGGTATTGCATATGACCAAACATATGCAAGGCCTATATACTGAAAACTACAAAACTGCAGAGTAATTAAAGAAGATCTAAATAAATTAAGAGGTACACCTTGTTTATGGGCTGGAAAACTCAATATGGTTAAGCTATCCATTCTTTCCAAATTAATCTATAAATTCAAGCAATCCCCATCAAAACTATAGCAGGTTTTCTCTTTGGGTAGAAATTGACAAGCTGATTCTAAAATTTATACAGAAATTCAGAGTATCCAGAATGACAAAAAAAGAAAACAAAAACAAATGGAAAGGGCTAGTACTTCCTGACACCAAGATTTATTATAAAGTCTCAGTAACCAAGACAGTGGTTTTGGCATCAAGACAGACAAATAGATAAATGGAATAAAGTAGGGAGTGTAGATACAGGCCCACCCATAAGTGAACTACTGATTTTTGACAAAGGTGCAAAGCCAAGTCAGCAGAGACAAGATAGCGTTTTCCACAAATTGTCCTGGAACAAATGTATATTCATATTCAGGAAAAATGAACTTTAGTCCACACCTCTCACTATATCCACAAATTAACTCAAACTGGATCATAGATGTAAGTGTAAAACCTAAAACCTTAATTTCTAGTGGAAAACCTAAGTTGTAGTAGAATAGGTAGAAAAATAGTTCAAGTGAAGATGTGGCTACTGTACTTCATTACACTCTTTAGAACTTGGCTTTCAACTTATTTTTTTTTCTTCTTTTTAAGACAATATTTAATGAATGCTGCAACAGTTTAACTCTCCTGACTAGCATCACATTAGTGTTAATGTAAAATCCTAGGCATGGTGTATTTCTTACACACAATCTGAATTAACTCTGCATCATTTTAAGCCTGCCCTTACAGTCCTAGATCGAAATATTCTGAACTAAACAATATGATATGACCCAAGACAGACACTGGCTGTGTTTCTACCAAGCCACGTAGAAAACTGAGGGCAAAGAGCAGTCTGTCAGACCATTGCTACAATCCTCCATGGCATATGACGAGCCTTTTTAAGATATCCAGGTTTTAAATACGATGGTAGGAAAGAAAGGTGAGGACCCTGGAGGTGAGTACACCCTATGGTCTTGCTGAGGCTCAGCCCAGGCTTGTCATACAATTTTCTGCCAAAGTGACATTCTCTGGGAAGATGGCCTTAGGACTGTCCTTATTTTACTGAAGACAGCATTCCTTGTCTTCTACTTAATGACTTTCTCTGAATTTGGGAATTAAACTGTAATGGAGTCTCACCCTATTGCCCAGGCTGGAGTGCAGTAGCGTGATCTTGGCTCACTGCAACCTCCGCCTCCTGGGTTCAAGCAATTCTCCTGCCTCAGCCTCCTGAGTAGCTGGGATTACAGGTGCATACCACCACGC
The DNA here is from genome assembly GCF_000001405.40 of Homo sapiens. Taxonomy (NCBI): domain Eukaryota; kingdom Metazoa; phylum Chordata; class Mammalia; order Primates; family Hominidae; genus Homo; species Homo sapiens. Next base: position 108,887 of record NT_187660.1, on the reverse strand, counting down.
CTGGCTAATTTTTATATTTTTAGTAGAGATGGGGTTTCACTGTGTTGCCCAAGCTGGTCTTGGAATTACTGACCTCAGGTGATCCATCTGCCTCGGCCTCCCAAAGTGCTGAGATTATAGGCATGAGCCGCCATGCCCGGCCTTGATTTTAATTTATTTCACAGTAGTTTGGAGATAAGGAAATACTTCTCTGTATGGAGACACAGATGCACTCATAGTTTCAGGGACAGTGTCTTCAGTAGAGATAAATTTATAAAGCCTCATTATCAATAGTGACAGCACAGCCATACATTTGCCTCACATGATGTGCATATTTATTTTGCATTGTTTACTTGTTCATCAAGGAACTCAAATAGGAAGAAAACAGATTATGAAATAAAACTTAAGTTTGAAATTAATTTTAAAATTATTCCTGAAGAGGAAGTCCTAGTCAGAGTAATCAGACAAGAGAAAGAAATAAAGAGTACCCAAATTGGAAAAGAGGAAGTCAAACTATGTCTGTTTGCCACTGATATGATCTTATACCTAGAAAAGTCTAGACTCCTCCAAGACTCCTAGATTTGATAAATGAATTCAGTAAAATCTCAGGTTACAAAATCAATGTACACAAATCAGTAGCACTGCTATATACCAACAATGACCAAGCCAAGAATCAAATCAAGAACTCAATCCCTTTCACAATAGCTACCAAAAAAATAAAATACCTAGGGATATACTTAACCAAGGAGTTGAAAGATGTCTAAAAGGAGAGCTACAAAACACTGCTGAAAGAAATCATAGATGACACAAACAAATGGAAATGCATCCCATACTTATGGATTGGAAGAGTCAGTATCACAAAATGACCATATTGCCCAAAGTAACTTACAGATTCAATGCAATTCCTATCAAAATGCCAATATCATTTTTCACAGAATTAGAAAAACCAATCTTGAAATTCATATGGAACCAAAAAAGAGCCTGAATAGCCGCCAAAGCAATCCTAAATAAAAATAACAAATCTAGAGACATCACATTACTCAACTTCAAATTATACTAAAAGGCTATAGTAACCAAAACAGCATGGTACTAGTATAAAAGTAGACACATAGAGCAATGGAACAGAATTGAGAACCCAGACATAAAGCCAAATACTTACAACCAACTGATCTTCAACAAAGTATACAAAAACATAAACTGGGTAAAAGACACTCTCTTCAGTAAATGATGCTGGGAAAACTGGCTAGCCACATGTAGAAGAATGAAACTGGATCCCTATCTCTCACGATATACAATATAACTGAAGATGGATTAAAGACTTAAATCTAAGACTTGAAACCATAAAAATTCTAGAAGAAAACCTATGAAAAACTCCTTTGGACACTGACCCAGGCAAAGAATTTAGGACAAAGACCCCAAAAACAAATGCTGCAGAAACAAAAATAAATGGGATCTAATTAAACTGAAAAGCTAATGCAGACTGGGCATGGTGGCTCATGCCTGTAATCCCAGCACTTTGGGAGGCCAAGGTGGGAGGATCACTTCAGGTCAGGAGTTAGAGACCAGCCTGGCCAACACGGTGAAACCCCATCTCTACTAAAAATAAAATAAAAAAATAGCTGGGCGTGGTGGTGCATGCTTGTAATCCCAGCTACTCGGGAGGCTGAGGCAGGAGAATCACTTGAACCAGGGAGGCAGAGGTTGCAGTGAGCCGAGATTGCACCACTGCACTCCAGCTTGGGTGAGAAAGAGAGACTCTGTCACAAAAAAAAAAAAAAATAAAATAAAATAAAAGAAAAGAAAATAACCATCAAAGTAAACAGAAAACCTACAGAATGGGAGACAATGTTTGCAAACTATGAATCTGACAAAGGACTAATATCCAGAATCTATAAGAAACTCAAACAAATTAGCAAGAAAAAAAAAATAATCCCAATAAAAAGTAGGCAAATGACATGAGTAGACATTTTTGAAGAAGATATGCAACTGGCCAAGAAACATATGAAAAAATGCTGAACATCACTAATCATCAGGAAATACAAATTAAAAGAATGAGATATCACCTTATTACAGCCAGAATGGCCATTATGGCCATTATTAAAAAGTCAAAAAACAATAGATGTTGGCACAGATGTGGTAAAAAGGGAATGCTTATACACTGCTGGTTTGAATGTAAATTAATACAACCCTTATGGAAAATACTGTGGAGATTTCTCAATGAACTAAAAGTATATCTACCATTCAATCCAGCAATCCAGTCACTGGGTATCTACCCAAAGGAAAAGAAGTCATTATATCAAAAAGACACCGGCACACTTATGTTTATCACAGCACAATTCACAACTGCAGAGATATGGACTCAACCTAAATGCCTATCAACAGATAAGTGGATAAAGAAAATTTGAGAGAGAGAGAGATATGCGTGTATATACACCCACACACACCATAGAATACTACTCAGCCATAAAAAAGAATGAACTAATGTCTTTTGCAGCAACTTGGATGGAACTGGAGACCATTATTCTAAGTGAAGTAACTCAGAAATGGAAAAGCAAATACCGCATGTTCTCACATATAAGTGGGAGCTAAGTTGTGAGTATGCAAAGGCATACACTGGTAACGAGAACATTGGAGACTAGGAAGAGGGGAGGTCAGGAGGGGTTGATGGATGAAAAACTACATATTATGTACAATGTCCACTACTCTGGTGATGGGTGCACTAAAATCCCAGACTTCACCAGTATATAATTTATCCATGTAACTGAAAACCACTTGCACCCCTAAAGCTAATGAAAAAAAAATTCACAAAGAAAATGAATACTTATGTAGTTTGGAGGAATAATAAACAAATCAGCACTAGAGTTTGGAACAGTAAAGAAGTCACATCTGAAAACTCGTCCACATTTTCCGAGCATTAGGCAGAAACGACAGGAAGTTGTGAGGAAAGTTCTTGCCACCTACCATTGCTGCACGAGGCTTAGGTCTCTCAGGTCTCTTGGGATAACTCTCTGTCGGTGGAATTTCCAGCACTGGACAGGTAGGTAGGGAGGACCTCCAGGACCCACCACATGGACAACCACTTATTCCCCAGCCACAAGCCTCCCTTGGGTAAGCATGAGTCGGCCTGGCTGTAGCATCCACGCGCACCAACCCACTGCACCTTCAGCTCCTAACAAGCTGACAGGATAAAGTTTTACTTTGCTGGTTACATTTGCTCCTTTATGCCTGTTCTACAGAGACTCACCATGGTGAGCAAAACTATTCAACTATCTTTAAAATAATACCTGAAAAGTCTCTTGAGGGAAGCGTGCCCCTATGCTTCTGAATAGCATCTTTGTAAGAAGACAGGTTTCCCTTCATGCCCCACGTTGTGTACTTGGATGCTTTTTATACTTTTCCCACTATACTGTGCGCTGGGCTTGCTGGGACATTCTTCCCGTTTTCCCACCATGCCATGCGTGCTGGGGCGTTCTTCACGTTTTCCCATCATGTCTTGCATGCTGGGAGGTTCTTTCCGTGTTCTCACCATGCCGGGCATGCTGGGGCGTTCTTCAGGCTTTCCTGCCATACTGTGCTTGCTGGGACATTATAATTATGTTTTCCCACCATGCCTTGCATGCTGGGGCATTTTTCACGTTTTCCCACCATGCCGTGCTTGCTGGGGAGTTCTTCAGGCTTTCCCTGCCGTACTGTGCATGCTGGGACGTTCTTTACGTTTTCCCATCATGCCGTGGGTGCTGCCACGTTCTTCCTGTTTTCCCACCATCCCATGTGTGCAGGGACGTTTTTCACGTTTTCCCACCATGCCATACGTACTGGGGTATTCTTCAGGCTTTCCCTGCCATACTGTGCATGCTGGGATGTTCTTTATGTTTTCCCAACATTCTGTGTGTGCTGGGATGTTTTTCACGTTTTCCCAGCATGCGTTCTTCAGGCTTTCCCTGCCGTACTGCGTATGCTGGGACATTCTTAATGTTTTCCCACCATGCCGTGTGTGCTGGGGCGTTCTTCAGGCTTTCCCTGCCATACTGTGCATGCTGGGACATTCTTCATGTTTTCCCATCATGCTGTGCGTGCTGGGACATTCTTTACATTTTCCCACCGTGCTGTGTGTGCTGGGACCTTCTTCATATTTTCCCACCATGCCGTGCCTGCTGGGGCGTTTTTCCTGCGTTCCTGCCATGCTGCATGTGCTGTGAAGTTCTTTGGCTTCTCCTCCACTACTGCTTTTCCCCCACTCCCTTGGGTGTTAATTGAGACAGTGTCTCTCTCTTGTGGGCCCTGCTCTGCCTCTCTGGCCCCCTCTGAATTTCCTTTATGGGGTTTTTTTTTGGTTTGTTGGTTTCCACACACCTATTTAATATCTGTGGGCTCAGGGGTCTTCGTTTTTGACCTTTTTCTCCTCTCAGATCAGCACTGGCTAGCAAAGCTCATCCCCTCCGTGGCTTGCTCCGTTTTCAGCTTGCTGGGATCTGTGTCTCTGCCAGAGGCTCTTCCTTTAGACCCATGTGTGCCAGGACCCCTGCACCTATGCTTGATGGATCCCTTACAAGCAGCGAGACCCACACCCCCGTCTGGCCCACACGCATTCCTGCAGTGCTGGGTCCTCTCCTTACTGGCCATCTAGACAGGATTATATTTTCAAATTACACCATGCATATTTTACTAAAATATTCAATAGATTCAGCTAAACACTTCATAAGAAGCTTTTTTTTTTTTTTTTTAAATTTTCACATGGAAGAATTCAAGAAATCATTTTGGCTTGAGCCCCTCCTTTGCAACCTAATGGACCATTTTGACTTGTCACAGAGCTAGCCTGAAGCGTCATTCCTAGAAAATGATATTGGTGGGCCAGAAGTCCCTCAGGCGTGTCCCCTTAAATGTATGTAGATTATGAATCTGGGAATGTTCTGATCTGATTGAGGGTTCCTCTTTTGTTTGGTTTACGTGCCTAATATTTGGCCATTTAATCCATCAAATGAGGACAGTGGGGAAAATTAAGAAGAAAATGACTGAATGGAGCCTATAATAAAACAATACAAAGCAGAAGTGGCACCTTGAAGCAGAAAGAGCGCATTTAGGCGCTGAATTGATGTGAGTGTGCTGGTGGATAGTTTTGTTACTGGGAACACAGACGAGAGTCTAGGAAATTACAGAGGCATGTAAAAGCAGCAGGGTGTCCCAGATACCTGCGCCTAATAAGCTTAGTGCAAACATCTGCATCCCACTGCACACTGCATCTGCCTGTTTCCTAAAGTGATCAGTTTGGATTTTTCCCTTATCATTGCTCTTTTGATGAATCCACCCATCGCAAGTCTAGTAGCAACCAAATGCTTCACTCAGTGCTGTGTCATTTTGCTGTGGACGCACACCCAGGACCTCCTTACTTTTTTTTTTTTCTTTTATCTACTCATCACTTTTTTCTCCAATTGCCCCAACATTTCAAATGGGGCAAAACTTTATAGTTATTATGTTCTAGAGGGACCAAGAATTACTCAGGATATAGGTACTTCTGTCTTCTTGGGACATTTTCTCTAAAAAATATTAACAATTGCATTTCATGACCCAGCTAGTGTATAAATATATTAGTACTATAGTTTAAATCATTTTCTCTGACGCAACAGTTCCTTTTTTTTTTTTTTTGCCTCTGAGTTTAGAAGAATTTAAAACAGTTTCATAAGCCCCTAAAAGTATCGTGGATCTTTTTCAGATATCTGGGGTATGAATTATAGAGATAAACACAAAATTCAATGTAATACCCCCATTGAAGAACTATCGGGAAAGTGGTGAATTCTTCTATATGATCACCCAAAGCATTCCATGAGTCCCGCCTCTGTGTGGTTTCCCTGCCATCTGTCCAGGAATTAGCTTATATAGCTCCACCTGTCATTTGTAATGCTGTTTTCAAGGACAACCATTGGATGTGCCGGTAACTGCAAGGGATTAAGCATTTCAGATTATTGTATATTGGCAAGCTCTAAACTTTTACACAACTTCATTGATAATGGCCTCTAGTTGTGTTGTATCTTTAATAATGTTGAAAGTGATTTCACATATTTTCTAAAAGTGAGAGGAAAAATACATAAATTTTAATAAGGAACAATTAATATAGTTTAAATCACTCAAACCCAGACCTTTGGAAGGTGATTTTCCAAACTCCCAACGTGGGATCCTCACTAACGTTCTGTGTGACTTGCCACCCCTCTACCTATGTAAGAGGTTCCTAAGGGTCCCAAGGCAGAGCTGGACTGCCCGTGGTCCCTCCCACCCTGCCCCTGTCATTCCCCATGGTCGTGCATTGTCACTGTGCCTCTGACCCCCTTTGTGGCACCTGTGATTCATGGACACTACAGAAAAGACCTTGAGTTCTTGCCAGATGGCCAGCTTCATGGGGATAAGAGCCTCATCTGTCCTGCTGGGGGCTCAGGAGGTGCCTGCACAGATGTGCTGAAGGTGTAAAAGCACATGGTCTGTGAAAGAACAGAACCAACCAATGACGCTGCTGACTTACTCCAGGACGTCTGTGAAAGAACAGAACCAACCAATGACGCTGCTGACTTATTCCAGGACGTCAGCGAAAGAACAGAACCAACCAATGACGCTGCTGACTTATTCCAGGACGCCAGTGAAAGAACAGAACCAACCAATGACGCTGCTGACTTATTCCAGGACGTCAGTGAAAGAACAGAACCAACCAATGACGCTGCTGACTTATTCCAGGACGTCAGTGAAAGAACAGAACCAACCAATGATGCTGCTGACTTATTCCAGGACGTTTGTGTGTGAAAGAACAGAACCAACCAATGACGCCGCTGACTTATTCCAGGACAAATCAACCTAGTGGGGATTTGCCCAACTCTAAAGATACCCTCAGTGGCCGGCCACGTGCAGAGCCCTAGGCAGGCAAAGGAAGCGTGCCGGGAAGGAGAGGTTCCTGCTTGAGTCCCTGCGGCTGGTCCCCATGCTCTAAGCGATCCCAGCCCTGATGGGCCCTGAGTGCCCTGCAAAGGGCTGTGCTCTCCAGCCACGAGGACACTTTCAAACCGATGGCAGGGACTTAAATGAAGTGTTTAAAAATTCAACTTACCTTTAAATGGGCAAATATTATCATATAGTTTAGTATTTTGTCCCATTCAGTCTTTTTTCACCCTATCTTGGGGAAGGCATCAATCTAGTGGTGAAGATGGACCAAGCCAAGGTTGAGTTAGATGTGGTAGCCTGTTTTTGTTTCTTCCTATGATGGCTTGTCATTTGTGTAAGAATTGGTTTTTGGTTTTCGACATGAAAGAAACAAACGTTAACAATTTTCAAAATCATGGTAAGGAATCCGTGGTCTTTCGTGGGCTTTGTGTTGGGCTCCAGGACCTCTGCCTAAGGTCCTGGAACTCCTGGTGAGCCCCTTCCCTCCTGGGCTCTGGCCCTCCCTGGACCCTGACTCAGGGAGCTGCTGCCTGTGCGGAGGAAAGGCCCGTCTTCCGTTTCTTTTTGTTTGTTTGTTTTGAGACGGAGTCTCGCTCTGTCGCCCAGGCTGGAGTGCAGTGGCATGATCTCGGCTCACTGCAAGTTCCGCCTCTCGGGTTCACGCCATTCTCCTGCCTCAGCCTCCCGAGTAGCTGGGACTACAGGCACCCGCCACCACGCCCAGTTAATTTTTTGTATTTTTTAGTAGAGACAGGTTTTCACTGTGTTAGCCAGGATGGTCTCCATCTCCGGACCTCGTGATCCACCCACCTCGGAAAGTGCTGGGATTACAGGCGTGAGCCACCATGCCTGGGCTGCCATTTCATTTCCCCTTGTTTATTTCCAGGGCCTGGACTTTGCCGGATTCACTGCACACATGTTCATTGGGATTTGTCTTGTTCTCCTGGTCTGCTTTCCGCTCCTCAGACTCCTTTACTGGAACAGAAAGCTTTATAACAAGGAACCCAGTGAGATTGTTGGTGAGTACAAGTGCAACCTCATGTAGGCTCAGATTTCATGACCATAATATTGTTTGTTTACCAGGAGAAGTTCTTATCAGGAAGTATCTGTTGATGGGTTGCTGGATGCTCAATACCAGTGACTCTCCACGTCCACCTTCTAGTATACACTGTTTTCAGGGCTGCTATCATGAGCTGTGCCTCTTTAGTTTTCTGTGAAGTGTACTGTGGTAAAATGTGGGAAGTAATGGCCACCATGTACAACTCACATGTCATAACCCCCTAAAGCCACGTGTATATGGTACAAATACACTAACATATAGACTGCAGTGCTCTAATAGTGTATCATAGCTTGAGTCTTAAATATGACTGGAAATAACAGCAACATAACCCAGCACAGGAGGTGATGGGCCCTGTCAATCAAGAGCACATGCTAGGCCAGGCACGGTGGCTCACGCCTGTAATCCCAGCACTTTGGGAGGCCAAGGTGGGCGGATCACCTGAATCAGGTCAGGAGTTCGACTCCAGCCTGGCAAACATGGTGAAACCCCGTCTCTACTAAAAATACAGAAATTAGCCGGGCATGGTGGCACAGGCCTGTAATCCCAGCTACTCAGGAGGCTGAGGCAGGAGAATTGCTTGAACCCAGGAGGTGGAGGTTGCAGTGAGCCAAGATCGTGCCACTGCACTCCAGCCTGGGCGACAGAGTGAAACTCTGTCTCAAAAACAAACAAACAAACAAACAAACAGCAGATGCTGAGCACCAGCCAGCAGGATGAGGGCTTAGGGCCATCTTATCGTTTTGCATTTTCATCACTAAAACACTTTAGTAGATGTTTTACTGAGATCATTACTGATTAGAATATATTAGGAACAATAGATTATTTGGGAAACAAGCAGCCTTTCCTTGACGAGCTCCAGAATATGGATGCTGTGCAGGTTGCCTGGGTAACAGGGGCATCAGGCGACCAGAGCTCAGCAGATGAAGGCGCTCTTCTTTGGGAATTTGTAGAGCTCACGGATTGCATGTTGATCTCTCTCAGCCTTTGTGATTCTGCTGGCCTGTGTTTTACAGGATCTCAGTTTGTCTTTGTTCTGGATAAGATACCCAGATTCCATTTCCACATGGGTGGCTGGAGGCCACGACATGGTCCTGCCATACTCCAGTTCCTCCGATGCTGACTGTCCAAGACAGATCTGTGTGACTTTCATGTTATTCAGAATTTGAGTATTTAAAAAATCTCATTAAGAAAACATTGTTTTGCATTCCTCCTCAGGATTCATCTGTCAAAACAAGCTTGTTCTTGGGAATATCTACTCATCTTACCTGGGGGCTGGACCTAGTTCAACCCATAACAACTAGTTAGAGGTGTTTAGAATGTTTTATAATCAACTAATATATGCAAAGTAAGATAAATTAATATATAGGTTTCTTTTTCTGATGAAAATGTTAGAACTAAGGGAGAGTGAAGGAGACTGTGATCGTGGTGGATAATTGTCCTGTCTCTTGGAGCTTGTGTGTGCACAGCTGTGTCTTAGTGGAGAGCTCAACCGTCATCCTGCCCAACTATGCCAGCCTCTCCCAACCTCCCTGGTGATCACAGTGACCTGGGACAATTGTTGTATATGCAGATTTTCAGCGTCATCCCCAGGAATTCTGTGTTGTTAGTAAGCTGTCCTGAAGAGTCTAATCTTGAGATGAATTTGGGATACACAGATTTAGACACACAGAAAATAATCTCTGTAATGAATTCCTCACCGTTCCTGAGTAAGGAACAGAGAAAAGCTTCGAGGGAAGTGGGGAGTGATGGTTGGAAGTGGACACACCTGGTGATGCAGGAACCCTATGGCCGGGCTAAGACCAGCAGTGCAAGGTGGGGTGATTGCTCTGTGCCACTGTGGGGCTTAGAGGGCTCCAAATTTGGAGTGGTGGGTAAAACTGCAGATTCCCAAGCCCCACTCAAGAGATCTGAGTTTAGCAGGCCTGTGGTGGTGTACAGAGCATTGTCAGAACAGGCTTGGTTATGTTGCAGTGAAAAAGTAACCCTGAAATCTCAGTGACTTCCAGAACTGTGTTTTCTTCCTTGTGTTGGCTTTGTACCCCCCGCCCCCTCCCCAATGGACTGGCAGGGGCCCTGATCATCATCTGTTCTTAGAGTCCTGAGCGGCTAGCCTTGAAGGCAAAGAGAATAGCATGGTCCCATTCTGCCATCCAGTGACACAGGCAGGCCCCACCCAGTCACAAGGGACCAGGACAGGCCAGCCTGCCAGGTGCTCAGAATGGGAGAGAGCATGACTTACATGGTGAAAAGAACAATAATCACCAGAGCCTATCCCTCTGATCACCAAATGTTCAACTCATGCTGCTTCTTGCTAATACTTTGTTTAGCATTTTGTTTTTGTGTACATTAGGGATCTTGATTGTAGTTTCCTTTCTTGTAATGTCTTTTTTGTTGTCCTCATAGGAGGAATATGGAAATATTTCCTCATCTTCAATTTTTTGGAAGAATTTCTGTAGAATTGCTATTACTTTTTTCTTAAATGTTTATTTGGACATTTATAGGCCTGGATGTTTTTGTGGAAAGGTTTTTAACTACAAATTCAAATCCCTTAATATACATATAGGGATGGCTATTCAAGTTATCTGTTTCTCCTTGAGTGTTGACTGGTAGTTGGTGTCTTTCAAGGAATTTGTCCATTTAATCTAAGTTGTTGAATGTATTGTTATAAAATTGTTCATAATATTCTTTCATTATCCTTTTAAGGGCTATCAAATTTTTGATAATGTCATATCTCTCATTCCTGATGTTGGTAGTTTGATAGTTTGTGTCTTCTCTCTCTCTTTGGTTGGTTTATCAATTTTATTGATCTCAAAGAACCAGCTTTTGATTATATAGATTTTTCTCTACAATTTTTTTCTCTTTTAATAATGTCTATTGTGCTCTTTATTTATTTTTTTTCTGCTTACTTTCAGGCTTGCTTATTTTTTCACTGGTTTCTTAAAGTGGAGGCTAAGGTTATTGATTTTATGTGCATCTTATTTTCTAATATAGGCCTTTAGTGCTCTAAATTTCCTTCTAAGTATTACTTTAGTGGCCTCTCACTAATTTATTATTTTTATTTCATTTTCATTCAGTTCAAATTATCTTATAATGCATCTTTTTATTTTTTCTTTGATCCTTGGATAATTTAGATGGTTTATATACCTTCCAAGTATTTGGGAAAGTTTTTGCAGTTACCTAATTTAGTTCCACTGTAGTAAGAGAATATATTTCATAAATCTTGAATCCTTTAACATTTATTGAGGCTTGTATGGCTATAGAATGTGGTCTACCTTTGTAAACATTCTGTGTGCACTAGAAATGAAAACGTATTCTGCTCTTGTTAGGAGGGATGTTCAGTGATGTCAATTATATAGCTTAGGTCAGATTGGCTGATAATGTTATTCAAGTATTCTATATTCTTGCTGATTTTCTATCTACTTGTTTAATTATTGAGAGATGGATACAGACGTGTCTAAGGTTGATTATAGATTTGTTTATTTCTCTTTGTAATTCTATTATTTTGCTTTATGCATTTTAAAAGTTTACTATTAGGGCACATAAATATTTAGGATTGTTCTTTCATCTTGATGATTTAACACCTTGCTATAAAAACAATCTTTGCGATCCATGATAATATTCTTTGCTCTGAAATATACTTTGTTGTTAATATAACAATTTCATTTTTCTCTTGACTAGTGTTAGTGTGGTGTATCTTTTTCCATCTTTTTACTTTTAACTTATTTATATCTTTAAAGTACAGTTCTTGTAAGCAGCATATATTAGCATCCTGATTTTTTATCTACTCTGATAGTCTGTCTCTTAAACCATTTATATTTAATGTGCTTAGTGATGCGATTGAATTTAAGTGTAACATCATATTATTGTTTTATATTTGTGCTTCATTATTACCCTTTTCTTCATTTATGCCTTCTTTTGAATTAATTGAGTATTTAAATACATTCTATATTTTCTCCTCTGTTGGTTGTTACTTTTTTTGGCTTTAATTCTGTTTTGTGATTTTAGTGACTATTATACCACTAACTTTGAGCGATATTATACTACCTAACATACAGTAGAAGAACTTAACACTAGTATAGTTCCATTTCTCTCTTTCTGGCCTAGGCTTCTTCTCCTGAGATTCCCAGCTCTGAGCTCACTACTCTAGGCTTCCCTGGAAGCCATCACCTCCTGTGTCAGAGCACATCCCACACGGCACTTTCTTTGCCTGTTTGAAACATGTATGTGGCCACTCTAAGTAATACCATCAGAAGTTGGTTGAGAAGCTCAGAAAGATAGAGGCTGATAGAGAGGTAAGACATGGGATATCTGATGATGTCTCCTAGTAAGAGGCTAGGGTGGCAAAGACAAAGAGTTGAAACTTATATGGCAGAATCAGAGCTCACAATGGTGCTGGGCATTTGGGGTTTTGAGTCTTCTCTGAAGATCTTTGACATCTTTAGCTTTATTCTACAGGCCACGGGGAACTACTGGATATTTGAAAGAAGGAATTTATCTGTCTATCTTCTATTTATCTATCTGTAATCTATCATCTAATCTAGGAAATGATAGATCTAGGAAGATGATAGCTAGATAAATATCAGTCATCTTCCTATCATCTGGGAAATAGATTTATTTTGTTTTATTATTTTAATTAATTAATTTAAAAATGTTTAAATTATTTTTATTTTTATTTATTTTATTTTATTTCTCAATTACACTTTAAGTTCTGGGATATATGTGCAGAATGTGCAGGTTTGTTACATAGGTATACACATGCCATGGTGGTTTGCTGCACCCATGAACCTGTCATCTGCACTAGGTATTTCTCCTAATGCTATCCCTCCCCTAGCCCCCAACCCTCCGACAGCCCCCGGTGTGTGATGATCCCCTCCCTGTGTCCATGTGTTCTCATTGTTCAACTCCCACTTATGAGTGAGAACATTCAGTGTTTGGTTTTCTGTTCCTGTGTTAGTTTGCTGAGAATGATGGTTTCCAGCTTAATCCATGTCCCTGCAAAGGACATGAACTCATCCTTTTTATGGCTGCATAGTATTCCATGGTGTATATGTGCCACATTTTCTTTATCCAGTCTGTCATTGATGGGCATTTGGGTTGGTTCCAAGTCTTTGCTATTGTGAACAGTGCTGCAATAAGCATACGTGTGCATGTGTCTTTATAGTAGAATGATTTATAATCCTTTGGTTATATACCCAGTAATGGGATTGCTGGGTCAAATGGTATTTCTGGTTCTAGATCCTTGAGGAACCGCCACACTGTCTTCCACAATGGCTGAACTAGTTTACAGTTCCACCAACAGTGTAAAAGCATTCCTATTTCTCCATATCCTCTCCAGCATTTGTTGTTTCCTGACTTTTTAATGATCATCATTCTAACTGGAGTGAGATGGTATCTCATCGTGGTTTTGATTTGCGTTTCTCTAATGACCAGTGGTAATGAGCTTTTTTTCATATGTTTGTTGGTCGCATAAATGTCTTCTTTTGAGAAGTGTCTGCTCATATCCTTTGCCCACTTTTTGATGGGGTTGTTTTTTTCTTGTAAATTTGTTTAAGTTCTTTGTAGGTTCTGCATATTAGCCCTTTGTCAGATGGATAGATTACAAAAATTTTCTGCCATTCTATAGGTTGCCTGTTCACTCTGATGGTAGTTTCTTTTGCTGTGCAGAAGCTCTTTAGTTTAATTAGATCCCATTTGTCAATTTTGGCTTTTGTTACCATTTTTTTTTTTTTTTTTTTGAGATGGAGCCTTGCTCTGTCATGCCCAGGCTGGAGTGGAGTGAAGCAATCTTGGCTCACTGCAACCTCCACCTCCTGGGTTCAAGCAATTCTCCTACCTTAGTCTTCCAAGCAGCTGAGATTACTGGTGCCTGCCACCATGCCCAGCTAATTTTTTGTATTTTTAGTAGAGTCAGAGTTTCACCATATTGGCCAGGCTGGCCTCGAACTCCCGACCTCAGGTGATCTGCTCGCCTCAGCCTCCCAAAGTGCTAGGATTACAGGCGGGAGATAGATACATAGATACATAGATAGATAGATAGATAGATAGATAGAGCAAATGGTGTTTTATGATTAAGCAGGGGCAGGTTTATAGCAAGTGACTGTAGTTAAAGGTTACTAAGGAACAATAAGAATTAAGAAATGTGAGAGGGTGAGGCCTGGACAAGAAGGTAACCTAGGACAGGAAGAAGCAGACAAGGCAAGAGCTGTGCCAGCATATCCTGGGTGGCTCTTGAGGCTCACACTACCCTAGCGTATGTTTATTTATGATATATCTTATATCTCTTTCCAGTTTTGGAAGGCCATCTTGTAACTTACCAATGAAATTTTATCCTTTAGCATCAAACACAGATCTGACACCTGTGACACAATAATGTTAATGTGGAAATATAAAAGAGAATGACATTGACAAGACCAGGATGACATTTCAGTCTTGTGTACCTGGAAGAGCAATTGCATTATATAAAAACTAAGAAGGTAAGGGTAGGAGAGAAACTTTATGGGAGGAAGATAAAGTGTTTAGCTATGAGTTTGCAGCACAGGGTTCAGAGGGAAATATTGGGTAGCCAGCTGGGTCTATGGTCTTGGACCTCAGCAGAGTAGACAGGGTGGGGAAATGACAGAGGAGGTGCAGAGGAAGCCTGGGAACTGATACATGGACAGGTTTTGGTAAACTGAGTTCTGGGTGAACCCTTCTGGGCAAAATCCCTCCCGACTAAATTCCTTCATAATTTGTATATTACATTCCACAACTAGGAATACAAAAGTGTACTACCTGAGTATTAATGCGTGGGTTGATCTGAGTGGAGCAGCACTTCCTTTTTGGTTTTATGGGTTAGAAGGCAGGTAGGTGCTGGGTGTGCATGAAGGTGGCTGAGGCTCCACTGGAGAGTAAGCACCTGCAGTAGTCGCACAGAGACTGGGAGGTCAGCTCCACCAGCATAGCCTTGGTTCCCAGGCTTTGCTTCTCCAAACATAAAGGCATGGAGAGACTTCCAGCCCGCACCCAGGGGCTGGCACCAGAGATGAACCACGCAGAGGTGTGAGCACTTTAAAGCTGATCAGCTGCTTCAGAAAGTGGCCCTTCACCGTGATGCCTTTAGAGAATGGCTGGAAAGTCTCTGGTACTTTATGGACGGGCTTTTAGCAAGATTTAGAGCACTGGATGAAATACTGGCTCTGTCTGAACTTACATTGGAGACCTTCCACAGATGGTGTTTTTGTGTTCAGTGTTTCAGAGAGTGAGTTCATTAGTTTTTTCCTTCACTTCCTCTTCCCCTTTCTTTTTATGTTATCATAGCCTCATAGGTGGTTTAACGAAGTGTGAGACTTTTCAAGAGGAAATTTTGGATCTGTTTCTCTGAAGAGGCCTTTGAATTATACCCAAGTTCCTTTTATTTTAGTAAGCTACAAAGCATCCATATGTACTGAATGAAAACATATTATGTATCTTAGTTCTAAAGGTTTTCATCTTGGTAGGGCTGAAGCTTTAGAGAAAGCCATGTGCTAACTGAAATAGTTCTGGTGCTCCCAGGCTCTGCGCATTCTCTCTGAGTCATGACATGCTTCGTTTCCAGACTGCCTCCCTCTGCCTAACTCATCTTTGTTGTTGCAGTAGGTCTGCCACGCAGTGGGTGATGAGCACTCACGTACTGAACAGAAGGGGCTTAAAAGGTGGCGTTTTCCCATTCCACTGAACCCACGATGTTCATGCTGCTTCCCAGGTCTTCGGGTGATCACCATGCCTTGAATCTGCCCCGAGCTGCTCTTCCAGTGCCCCAGCGCCTGCTTGAAAGGCTTTGTCTTTTCATCCTATCTTTAATTCTTGCTATAGGCAGTGTGGAGTATTGCACGTAAGGGATGGTTCATGAAAATATTGTGCTTTCTTATATTCTTTTAATGGATATTTTGAGAAACATATGTAATGTTTTTAACAGTAAAATAGAGGTTAAATGTAGGTTTTCATGAAATATTTGAATATCTTAAGAGGCAATGAATTGACACATCATTTCCTCTCTACTCTTCTCTATCAGAAGGTGTCTGAATTCAGTGATGGGTGAAAATTCTGCTCATTCTATAGATTTCAGCATCTCATCAAGTCATCTACCTCTCTCTTTCGCCTGTGTCAGAGACAGCTCAGTGGCGCCTGGTTGGAGGGCGCCTCCCTGTCTTCTGCTGCTTACCAAATGCCCTGTTGGAGAGCGCTGAGCACCTTCTCCTGAGAATTACACTTGTGTTTTCAATTTTCACTAGATCTGCTCCTGAAACCCCTCAAAGATTGGGCAATGTCTAGATTTTGGCTGGAAGCAGATCCGAAATATTTCCTGCAAGAAGGGGAAATGTTGTTGGGTGCTAGCTTTGATGTGTTGGTTCAAGAAAGGAATTTATTCTTCACTGAAAGTGTTGAAATTGCATTACTTCGCTTTCGTGATAATTTTTTTTTTATTACACTTTAAGTTCTAGGGTACATGTGCACAACGTGCAGGTTTGTTACGTAGGTATACATGTGCCATGTTAGTGTGCTGTACCCATTAACTCGTCATTTATATTAGGTATATCTCCTAATGCTATCCCTGCCCCCTACCCCCACCCCACAACAGGCCCTGGTGTGTGATGTTCCCCTTGCTATGTCCAAGTGTTCTCATTGTTCAATTCCCACCTATGAGTGAGAACATGTGGTGTTTGGTTTTTTGTCCTTGCAATTTGTGATAATTTTTAAATGTCGGCTTTGTCGTCTGGGCTCCATTGCAATAGCTCAGGTGCTGAGAAGCTCTGGGTGACCCTGGGCTACCTGCACGTCTCGAGTGTGTGTCTGCTCTGTCAGGCATCGACTGTGTGGGGAACAGAGGAGGGTGTTGCTGATATCTGAGGTCATGGGAGACCCAAGCTTCGCCTTCCTTTCTCTGCAGAACTGAAGCACGAGATTCACGTCTGGCGCCTGACTGCTCAGCGCATCAGCCCGGCCAGCCGCGAGGAGACAGCTGTGCGCCGCCTGCTGCTGGGGAAGGTGCTGGCACTGGAGCACCTGCTCGCCCGGAGGCTGCACACCTTCCACAGGTACCGGGCGGGGTCCTGCTCAGACTGTGCTTGGTGTGCAGCAGAACATTCCATGGGCCTACAAAATAGCGACATTAGCTGTATACTAATACGTGATATTTAGGTGACGCACACTGTGCTAAGCCTCTTATAGTACATTTTATCTAACCCTCACTGAGCTCTGCAGGGGGTACACAGCCGAGTTTAAGGACCAAAGAAACAACACAAAACCAGAGGCTCAGAGAATTTGAGCGGCGTGCCCAGGGTTGTGCAGCTCGGAAGGAGTGGCACTGGGGATGGGGCTCTCACTGTCAACCGCTGGGCTGTCCCATCTCTCTACATTGTAATTGTTGCACGACAAAAACCAAAAACCATTAATGCAAAGACTAATTTGACAAAATATTCTGCCAGCAGTTGATTTTCAGGCACCTGCAAGAATATGAAAGCCCCACTCAATTTGTTTCCTGGCATTCGTTGTTAATTGAAGCTGAGATTTAAAGGGTAACCATGAATTGGTGGTTTTTCTCCTTGCTATGACATGTTGCTGAGTTCCAAGCAGTCTTTGTTCTGGAAGCTCAGACAGAAGAAGCAGGAGCCTGGTGGCCCCCCAAGGGATGCTGAAGCTGAAGCGTCCCCACAGCTGAGCTGAGAGGGGGTGGAGATGTCCATCTAGGCAAGGGGAAATGTGAACCCTTATGAACAAAATCTAGAATGGTCTTGCCTGTTGCCATTCGCTGTGCACTGAGGGGTCACCCTGCATGGGTGTCTCAAGGTCTGGTCTGTTAGTGGGAGGATTCACAGGCAGTCACATGGAGTCCCACACAATCCCGGGATGAAGTGCCGGCTCAGTGCCATTGGCTTCATCCCCGGTCCGGGACCCATCTCGCCCAGTAATGCTGGAGCAGCAGGACCAGTGTCCTCAGGCCACAGGGAGGCCCTGAGTTACAGGCTGGGGAAAGAATGACCAACTTTGGCAGCAAGCACAGATCTTAAAGGAGACGCTTCATAAACTAAAGATGGAATAAATTGTGCTGGTGTTGGGTGTTAAAGACACACTCAGTGCATCTCAGGTTACAAACATGAGGAAACATGTGGGCTCCGAGGCTCACCACGTTCCCATCAGCTCCTCTGGTGTTAGTCACACATGAGGAAACAGACCTGGGGAGGGCGTGGCTTCCCAAGGCCACACAGTTGCTGAGAAGCAGATTACCATGAGGGTGTCCTAAAGCAAGGTCGAGCTCTGCAGGTTTTATTTTTTTGAGACGGAGTTTCGCTCTTGTTCCCCAGGCTGGAGTGCAGTGGCATGATCTCGGCTCACTGCAACCTCTGCCTCCTGGGTTCAAGTGATTCTCCTGCCTCAGCCTCCCGAGTAGCTGGGATTACAGGCATGTACCAACCCTCCTGGCTAATTTTGTATTTTTAGTAGAGACGGGGTTTCTCCGTGTTGGTCAGGCTGATCTCGAACTCCCAACCTCAGGTGATCCGCCTGCCTCAGCCTCCCAAAGTACTGGGATTATAGATGTGAGTCACCACGCCCGTCCTGCAAGTCTTATTTTTACATTTTCTTTTTAAAAATTGTCCTCAGAATCATTCGACTGTGTCTGCTGTGATTTCTTACGACCCAGACTGCCTGTGTGGTCAGCCTCTTTTGATACTAAAACTGCATTCTTCATTGTGCAGCCCCTTTTCCCTAATTGGTTTGGGAGGAAGTCAGCCAGGAGGGGTGGGCTGAGTCAGAAACATGAAAAAGAAGAGGCAAGTGGGAGCCACTGAAGGGGCTGAAACAGGCGGGAGGAGACCACCCCGGCAGGAGCAGCATGGACAGAAAAGACTTCAAAGCTGATCTTCCCCAACTGCTGGCCTCAAGTGATCCTTCCCCCTCGGCCCCCCAAAGTCCTAGGATTTCAGGCGTGGAAGTGATCATCGATTGATAAAAAACAACATTAAAGCAAGTGACATTTCTTTTACCACGTTTTTCTTTAGTTGGTTGTAATAGTTGTATAGGTTCAGTGCCCTCATTTTGGAAACAAAGAGATTCAGGACCGTAGAAGTGTGCATAAAGAGGAAAATAAAGAGACTGACGGTCGCTGCCCTCCTCCACGCACTGCTGCGGGGTTTTCGTGAAGCTTCCCCTGCGCAAGCTGTCACATGTACCTCCTCACACACACTCCTTTCATCATTCAGGTCATTATATGTATTTTTTTGGGAAAATAGAGAGTGAGCACCTTTTCCAGCCAACAAATGAAGCCCCACCGGCCCCCCATGACTAGTCCTGCCAGCCAGGCTCCAAGTCACAGACCGCGTCCAGGCACGAAGCGCTGGGGACTGCTGCTCCGCGATCTCACCACGCAGCGTGACCAGGGAAGTAATGAGTCTCTTCTTTTCTCTTTTAGACAGATCTCACAGGAGGACAAAAATTGGGAGACCAATATCCAAGAACTCCAAAAAAAGGTACCCAGCTTTCTTTCCTCAGGGATTTCTGATTCACTTCTCCAAGAAGAGAGTGAGTGATGCCTTTTCCTTCCCTCACGTGACTGAATGCCGTTTCTCTTTTTATTTCTGTGGTTATACACAAGACGTTGAGGTTTATGTGTGTGAGTGGATGGGGAAAAATGTTTTCTGGATACAGCAGGCTGATTTTGTGAGGATGTGGAAAGCAAACATCTTTATAGAGCCTTTCCCTGTCCCTGCACGTTGCAGGGCCCGCCCTCTGAGCGGGTGTCCCTGACCACCAGCCCGCTCCTGGCCCTGAAGGGCAGGCCCAAGGTTCACACTTTGCGGAGGGGAGACCGGCAAGGCATGCTGCATGAAGTGGAGCAGCTTTAGGGGCAGACATAGGATGCGTGAGTGTGCTGCCGATGGCTGTGACTTCCTGGGGCAGAGCTTGTTTTCTTTTGTTTTGTTTTTTTTGGCTCATTCTTCCATGGGGGTGGACTTTCTCAGCCCATTTATGAACACAGAGGACCCCTTCCCAGTCGAGAGAGCTCTGCTCAAGATCTGCTAGGAGTCATTTGCATCTCAGTGACATTTCAGATCCATGCAGTTTGTTTTCTAGGGAGAGATTGAATACCCACTCTAATTTTGATGGGCACACTCTCCATGCGAGTCAGGTGTTTCCTCAAAGGGCTTCAGAACACCTCACATCTATCGTGCTTATTTTCCATAAAGATGTTGGATGCAATCTGATGAGGTGCCTCAGTGCCTTCACACTCTGTCCCATGTGGATGGCCAGGGTTAGAAAAGAAAGGTATAGCTGTGATACTCTTGCAGGCCCCAAGTTCATACAGATTATGCCTGCCTTGCTAGACTGTGGTGTTTTAGTCATGAGTTGGAGAACTGTGTGCCTCTCTGTACACCTGGACGAGGACTACAGTGAGATGAAATGGAGAGGTAAGGCTTGGCAACATCCCTGTATCACATCTAAGAATTCTTACAGAAATGACCCTAGGTGTGTGTGTGTGTGTGTGTGTGTGTGTGTGTGTGTGTGTGTGTATGCCATGGAATACTACTCAGCCATAGAAAGGAATGAAATAATGGCATTCACAGCAACCTGGATGGACTTGGTGACCAGTGAAGTAACTCAGGAATGGAAAATCAAACATTGTATGTTCTCACTTATAAGTGGGAGCCAACCTATGAGGACACAAAGGCATAAGAATGATATAATGGACTTTGGGGACTTGAGGGGAAGGGTGGGAGTGGGGCGAGGGATAAAAGACTACACATTGGGTACTGTGTACACTGTTCAGGCTATGGGAGCACCAAAAATCTCAGAAATCACCACTAAAGAACTTACCCATATAACCAAACATCACCTGTCTTCCTGAAACCTATTGAAATAAGAAAAAGAAAAAAAAAAGAAAACAGAAAAAAAGAAATGACCTCAGGTATCCAGAAGGAGCAAATTTGAATGATACCCCCAAAAAACCTCCACTTCCATGAGCTGCAGGATGCTGGAATGCTCTTTGACCTGCCTACTCCTCCACCTCCAATCTTTGCACTGGCTGTGGCAATAGCCACTTTCTGTGGTTGCTGCGACCTCAGGGAAGGTTTGCAGTGCCTCCCCTCATGCCTGGTGAGAATCCGCATCACTCTCCTCTGAGCATTTCAAATCTTTTTCCTGCCATGCTCCTTTGGCCCTAATTCTTCAGCACAGAATCATGTAGGAAAATCGGCCTTCCCCAGAGAGGCGACAGGGAAGATGAGAAGGGGCTGGCCCAGCCATGAGCCTTCACGGTGGGCAGGGAGGGGCAGATGCTCACCAGTGGCCCCACTGCACATAGAGGAGGGGCTGTGTCAGCTGTTGTGACACAGAGGGCCTTGCATGTGTTTTTGATGGCAGCAGCTTTACCTTTGTGACCAGAGGAAGCAAGAGAGAGAATCTCTTTGTAGCTCTAGCTCTACCTCTGTGTGTCTATATCTATATATCTATATGTCTATATCTGTCCAAATCCAGATAGCTATAGATCACTATGATGGTAGATATCGAGATCCACCTGCATCCATGAAGCTACAGACATTGACATTCATCATCATTGCTGTCTCCATCTAATCCACCTAGACAGATTAGACAGATGGGTAGACAGGTGTGCTGGTGGGACCAGACTCAAGAAAGGATCTGATGCTTGCCAGGCGTGGTGGCTCACACCTGTAATCCTAGCACTTTGGGAGGCAGAGGTGGACGCATTGCTTGAGCCCAGGAGTTCAACACCAGCCTGGGCAACATGGTGAAACCCTATCTCTACTAAAAATACAAAAACTAGCTGGGCATGGTGGTGCACACCTGTAGTCCCAGCTACTGGGGAGGGAGGCTGAGGTAGGAGGATCACGTGACCCTGGGAGGCGGAGGTTGCGTTGAGCTGAGACTGTGCCACTGCACTCCAGCCTGGGTGATAGAGTGAGACTGTCTCAAAAAATGAAAATGAAAATAAAAATAAAAATAAATAAATAAATAAATGAAAGAAAGAAAGAAAGAGAAAGGACCTGGTGCAGTTATCCTTTCACACAGTGGGCCGGCATTCACACGGGGACCTTGTTAACAGGGCAGGCCTACCAGGTGCCCATCTGTGCGTGCTTCCCTGCCCTGGCCCCACGCAGCCATGGCCTGTGGAGCACAGTACCCTTGGGGCCTCATAGGGAGAGCCCCGTCTCGTGCCGTCTCCTAGGTACTCCTAGGTTGATGGAGGCCTTGCGGAGGATGAGGTGCCTCGGGGCCTGCCCTCCCCCTATGACCAGGTGGATTCTCGCGGGTGTCATTCCAGCGCTAAGAGTGCACCCCCTGCATTCCAGGGGCCTCATGCATGTCGTGTAAAGAACATGGCCAGAGCCTTATCTGGGAGTCACAGTTCCGTGAGAAGGCTCAGCCTCATGGCCCCACCCGCATGCTTGGCGTGGTAGAGAAAGGAACAGTGAAGACAGCATAGGCCCCTGTAGAAACGCCCCGTCATCCTCTGATACCTGCCGGCCAGGTGTTTCATAACAGGGCTGTGCTACTCTTGACATCTGTGTTTATCTTTCATAAAGATTTTGAATGCAGTAATCCTGAATCTGTACGGGTTTCCTTGTAACACAGTACTTTGCCATTTTCTTTCAAGTTCGAGAGGTTACATTTTTCATCCTCGTGAAATCTGTCGTGATTCCAGTTGCGTAGGTTATGACACGCTGCAGGAGTCAGAAGGTTGTGCAGAGTAAATGAGCTGTGGTTTCTCTCTTACAGCATAGGATATCTGACGGGATTCTGCTCGCCAAATGCCTGACAGTGTTGGGATTTGTTATCTTCATGTTTTTCCTCAATTCGTTTGTCCCTGGCATTCATCTTGATCTTGGTGAGTCTAATTTAGCTTTGGTTCATAGGCTTTGTCACATTCTGGATGGGAAGGTTTCAGAGCCTGTTCCCAGACACTGACTTTGCCCACAGGCAGCCGGGCTGGTGGAAGGCCAGAGAGGGCTGAGATGGAGGGTGGGCAGCCTGCCCTGGGAAGAAGGGCGCCTTTCCTTTTGGTTTCCTGGGCAGGAGGGAGGGAGAGAGAGATGCATCTCTGGCCCCTTAGACTCTGTGCCATGGGTCCTCAGCCCCTCCAGGGATGACCATGAGGAGGAATATAGAGTGGGCACTGTCCTGTCTATTGTAGTTAATAACCACATCTTTACATGGTTCCCAGAAGAGATGGAGCCACATGGGCAAGGCCAGCGCTGCCATCTGTGCCGCCTACCATGCCAGTTAGGTGACAGTCTGTTCGGGAGAGCCCTGGCGAATGGCCGGTGCTCTGCAGGGCCCACTTGCCTTGTCTGAGGGTGCATCTGGCGCATGAAACTGTTCTCCCACCGTCCACCATTGGTTTCTCTTCTCCCACGTTCACCACACCCATGGCTCTCAGACCTCTCCACTTTCTCTAGCCTGTGCTGTGGCCAGGACCTATCCCCACCTGAGATGTGGCTCTCTCAGGGGGAGCTCACCACAGAGCTTGTCAACCCCTGGCCTCCTCCACCCTCCATAAACGTTCTCCACTCTCCCAGGCGTTTCTTATCAATTTCACAGTTATCTCCATTGGTATCCTTATTGAAAACAAAACAAAACCCACCCCACATGAAAGTGTAGGTTTATAAGAAGCATAAATTTGAGGTGGTGTCACAGTCTTTTCTTTTACCAAAGCTTTACCCATAGTTTTCCTTCAAAAGTGAGCTCTGCTAAGATGGTTAAAATACCCAACTTTTATCTTATTTTGTATAAAACCTTGGTTCACTGTGAAATTTGAGGAGTGCAGCTGCCGTAGAAAGTGAAGCCTCTTAATTTTGTAAAATAGATGGATAATGCCTCAAGCTTCAGCGATTCGCACCACATCATTGCTTCCGGGGTTCCTGGAAACCATCAGACATTCATGGGCTAGAAGTTGGTCTTCCTTTTCTCTTATGTAAAAAAGCCGCATTTCTAGATTCTCACACAACACATGATGTATGTGCTTTTGACTGGAGTTCCAGCTTTGTGTTATGTATTTGCAGCCCCTCCATTTCTTTCTCTTGATAATCTCAAATCCAACTTGCCAGGTGGCCTGGGCTTGGTTCAAGCTGGCAGGTATTATTTATCCACACCTGAGAGCTGATCTGCTTGGAATCCTGATGAGGTAATGATCCAAAGCTGGAGTGGTAACGATTTTGTGAATTTCAATTGTATTTGGTGGATTACATCTAGAAATTGCTGCAGTGTAATTATTTTTAATTACGCCTCAGGCCTAATGTAATTTTAACATTAGAAACCTTAATGACTACAAGAATGTTACGTGGTCACCACTGGTAATTAAACAAATTTAAAAAACTAGTGTTTTGTGGGCAGAGAGGTTCCATTAGGTGTTCACAGATAATTTTGCTCCTGATTTTATTTGAGAGTCTACTTTAGAGGAACATAGCAGGCATTTTAAAAACTAAAAAGATATAAGAGCTTGCATTCAATTTTATTAACATTTGGCAACAGTCTTTGTATTAAAAACAATACTTTAATACTTAAAGTCACATCTTTAACTATATGGACTTAAAAAATCTTGGTTACTATGAAACTTTTAGCCTGCAAGTCTACGTTTTTTTTACAAAATGTCTCATCTCCTTTTGTGTGGTTGTTACATCTGTGAATGATGGACATGTTTATTTTCTGCTTTTAAATCCTGTTTTGTTTTTAGTTAGGGCTTGTGTTCAGGTGATTTTATCTGGGGATCCAGATACTGCATATTTATCAAGATAGGTTAGGTTGACTAGGAGAAAAGTTTGATTGGCATATATTTTAATGGAATACAGTTTCCTTAGAGTTATAAGAACTTTTCTGATAGAACAAGGGCAAAATGGATACAAGATCTTCCCGGGTCTTCAGCCAGTAGCAATGTGATCATTTATCTTTGGTGAAGTTCTGTTTTCTTTTTAATTTTTTTAAATGTAACAGTGTTTTTTTAAATTTTTTTGAGACAGAGTCTCACTCTGTTGCTCAGGCTGGAGTGCAGTGGCACAATCTCAACTCAGTGCAGCCTCTGCCTCCTGGGCTCAAGCAATTCTCCTGCCTCAGCCTCCTAAGTAGTTGGCATTACAGGAATGCGCCACCACACCCGGCTAATTTTTGTATTTTTAGTAGAGCTGGAGTTTCACTATGTTGGCCAGGCTGGTCTCAAACTGCTGACCTCAGGTGATCCTCCCGCCTCAGCCTCCCAAAGTGCGGGGATTACAGGCACGAGCTACTATGCCCGGCCAGAAGTTCTGTTTTCAATGTGTCCTGCTGTGTAAGTTGAGCCTCGTTCAATGTGATGTCATATGATATGAAATGATGTCGTATCACACGATGTACATCATGTAACGTGACATCATCTAATACAGCGCACACACTGTACACTACGTGACATTATAACAATGTAATTTCATATAACATAGGGTGCTGTCATATAAAAATGTGCATTGTGAAACAAAATGTGACATCAGATAACATTCCTTCATTTAGGAATCCTAACCTAGACATAGCATTGACTCTTTCTCTTTATTTTTTTTTTATTATCATAGAGCAAAACTGACTTTTCCTTTGAATGTAGCGTTCTTTGGATTTTAACACATAGGTAGGTTTGTGTAACTGCCACTGCAGTCAGAGCACAGGCCAGCTCCGTTACAGAACTTTCTCAGCTGTCCTTTTGTAGCCACCCTCCCCCGGTCCTGGCAAGGACTGATCTTGTCTCCATCACTATGGTTTTGTGTTTTTGGGGCTGTCATATACATGGAATCAGATCGTATGCCACCTTTCGAGACTGGCTTGTCTCACACAGTGTAATGCCTTTATGGTTCACCCAAGTTGCTGTGTGCATCAATGGTTCATGTTTGGCCGGGCACAGTGGCTCATGCCCGTAATCCTAGCACTTTGGAAGGCCGAGGAGGGTGGATTGCTTGAGCCCAGGAGTTCGAGACCGGCCTGGGCAACATGGCAAAATCCCGTCTCTACAAAAAATACAAAAATTAGCTGGGTGTGGTGGTGCACGCCTGTAGTCTCAGCTACTTGGGAGGCTGAGGCAGGAGGATTGCTTGAGCCTGGGAGGTGGAGGTTGTAGTGAGCTGAGATTGCACCACTGGGCTCAGCCTCGATGACAGAGCCAGACTATTTCAGAAAAACAAAAAACAGAAAACAAAAAAACCCCAAAAAACAAAAAAACTACTCCAGACACTTCTGAGCACATGGTTTTCTGTGAACTTAGGGTTTTATTCTCTGGGTTGATTTCCTTCTCTTGAGTGGCACTGCTGTGTCATATGGTGGGTGTAGATTTTATTTTAAAAGCAGCTGCTGCCCTGTTTTCTAGCAAGGCCAACCCCGTTGCGTTCCCACAGCATGTATGGGAGTTCCAGCTGTTTCACACCCTTGCTGGCACGTGGCACAATGAGAATCCCCCTGGAGTTCCGCAGCACCTTATGCAAACCTTAAATATATTCTTATGATTTCTTTCCTCGTCTGTCCTCTGTCCTCCCCCTTCCCAGCTAGACTCAAGGACATGGTCTGTGTGTCTGCATTTCCCCTCCCTGGTGCCTGCTGCTAATGCCTGGTTCATTAGTAGAAGCAAGGTGTAGGTTCTCAGGATGCACGAACAAAGTTCTCATTGCTGCTCACAGATTCCAACTTAACTATTGTGGGGAATTTCCTATGTGGCTGACCCAGCCTGGGGCACAGCCTGAGGCAAAGGCTCACATGTGTGTTCTTCATCCGGGAGCTTCAACCCAGAGAAGAGGAGTGAGGGATGGGGGCCGGGCAGTGAGGAGAGTGAGCGCAGGCACCACTGCCCCAGCGTGCTGGCCTTCGTGACGGGCCACTGGGGCTCCATCCTGCAAGGCTGCCTGAGTGGAGGTACCAAATGCACCTCAGGGCTGTCTGTGGGGTTGAGTAGAGCAAGAAGGAATGTTTACTGGCTGGTGCGCATGGCCCATTGGTCATAGCTCCTTCCCGTGGGATGCCAGAGTGCATGTGTCCAGCTGCATGTGCCGAGGCCATGCGACCGCACCCGCAGGGCGGCCCAGGCAGAGAAGGCATCAGGGGCATGGGCTCCAGGGCAGACCTTCCAGGTGCATCTGTGTGAGGGTTGTCGGGCCACACGGAGCTGGCTGTGGTGACAGAGAGGAGAGCCCTGAGGGACCCAGGGGTGTGCAAGAGGTGGCACAATGGCAAAGAAGGGTGAGCAAGGGCCAGGGTCACAGTTCACACCCATCCGGTAAAGAGGTGGCTCCCAATGTGCAGGGACCATCACCTCACAGCACAGCAAGACCAAGCCCAGCCTGGGCGCTGGCTCTGCAGAGGTCTGCAGTGCCTGCATGAGACCCTTAGTGCCAGATGGGTTTCACAGGGGCCAAGGGAGAGCTTTCCCCTTGGGCCTCTTGAGTTTTGCTGAAAAACCAACTCACAGAAGGCAGAGTAATAGGAGAAAAGGCAAACACATTCATTTAACATGTGTACACAGGAGCCTTCAGAATGAAGACCCAAAGATACAGGAGAAATTGTTCATGTTAAAGCTTAGGTTCAGCCAAGTGTGGACAGCCATGTAGAAATGGGATTGGAGAAAAAGTGTATGATTGGGTACTGATAGACTGAGTGGGAAACCCAGCAGGGCCTGTCTGTCCAGGGTCCTCCTGGCCTCTCTGAGCGGCACTCCTTCCTTCTGAGTGTGGGGCAGGCCCCTTTCTGGAATGGGAGTTGTAGGACCCACAGTCAAACAAGGCAGGCCAGACAGTTTCTTCATGGCCAGTTTTCACACAGAAAGGCAGAGGGAAAATGAGAATAACACTTTAGATTTTATGGCTGGCTTTGCAGAAAAGGATTCTGGTTTCAATGACCTGCCTTGGGAAAGATTCTAGTGTCTTTGGCAGTCTCAGGGGAGAATGGGACTGAGAGATGGGCAGGCAGGAGGACGGCAGAGAAAACTTTTCCTTCTGATAAAACAAAAACTTCAGCCGAATTAAATGTAAAGGAGTTTGATTGAATGATGAACGATTCGCAAATTGGGCAGCCCCCAGAATCACAGCAGATTCACAGAGACTCCAGGGGTGCCTCATGGTCAGAACAAACTTATAGACAAAAAAGGTAAAGTGACGTACGGGAATCGGAAGTGAGGTACAGAAACAGTGACATTGGTTACAGCTCGGCGTTTGCCTTATTTGAACACAGTTTGAACATACAGCAGCCTATGAGTGGTTGAAGTATGGCTGCGGGGATTGGCTGACACTCAGCCATTGTTAGAGGTGCATACTATTAAGTTAGGTTTTCGCTTTGTCTGACTATTAAGCTAGGTTACAGTTCATCCACAAGGACTCAAATAGAGAAGTACAGAGTCCTTCTCAGGCCATCGTTAGCTTGCTTTAACACTTCTGAGGCCTTCATTTTGGGGTATTGCTTTCTGAGCCCCAGAAGTTTCAAAATTCAGATTTTTTTATGTGTTTTAGAAAGATAATTCAGTGAGCATACTGAATTTTGGATATAATGTAACACACCCTGAGAGGTTCAGGGCCAGCACCCTGTCATCCGAGCATGATTTCTGCAGTGAAACATGAATATTTACACAAAGTGGGACAAATAAAGACTGCAAACAACCTCATTCCTATTCAAGTCAGGGTTTTTTGAATTTTTTTACATCAAAATATATAGAAAAAGTTTGCTTTTCTGAAATTAGGGTTTCAAGATTGTGGATAACTGATTATGAACCTGTGAAAAGAATCAGCGAGGCAGGCTTGAAAATGTTATCTTTGGCCTTAAAATTCAGAGCCTTGATGAGCTGTTTCCTAGGCCTCCTCCTTTGATAATTAGTTCAGAATGTACCCCAGATTCTCTCATGATGTGTTTGATTAGATTTCAGTTCTGGAAAATTTTCCGTCATTATTTCCCTGATTATGGTTTTGAAATTGCTGGTCTTCTCCCTGTCCCTTGGTGTCCCTCTGGTTGAGCAATTTTATTGTTGTCTTTGTGAAAGTATTTTTAGCTACAAATAAAGCAATCTATTGGATCTGTCTTAAGCAAAATGGAGGATTATTAGAATAATAACAGGCTGACAGGCTCCAAGGACACTGGGGCCTCTTGGGGGCAGGCTCAGGAAGGAGGAAGGGTCCGGATGGAGGGCGCCCACCCACCCCGGCATCTGCAGTGCTCTGCCCTCAGCTCCTTGCTTCTCCGTGACCAGTTAGTGCATCTTTTTTCTGCTCATGGCAGAATAGTGCTTGCCTGATCAGTTTCCCAGTTTATAGGACCTCGATTTCAGCCACACACAGAGAAATGGCTATTTTGAACCCCCAATTTCCAGGCGAAGAGGAGTCTGCTTGGCCTTGTTGGTTTCTTTCATCTCCTAGCACAGGAAATTCTGAGCAGGTGGACGGGAACAAGTGGTGAGATGTGGCCTGGAGTGGCTGAGGCATACTTCTTAGAGGAGGTCACTATGAGCTGGACAGACATTCCCAAGGCTTCCTAATATATGTTCTATGCACTCTAGTTTCTAGTAAGATTCATTTCAGCTAAGCCATTCACATATCCATCCTCTCACTTATTCATGCATTTGTACAACACATGCAGGCAGTGGCCTAGGGGTTGATTGGGGCTAGTGTGGTGAACATAAAAACCATATCGCTGCTCTCCTAGGTCGTCTTCTCTAGAGGGGAGATGGATCTATATTTACTCTACCAGGGACTCATGTAACTGTCCAGCGGGTTCCTCTTGCCCACTGCTGAGGTAGACCAGATTTATGGAGGCAGAGTTGTTGCAGTAGGGAAGGAGTTTTACCCATGTAGGACCTGGCTAAATGGAAGACGGGAGTTGTATTATTACTGAAATCTGCCTCTCTGATTTGGAGGCTAGGGCTTTTCAAGGACAATTTTGGGGAAGAATGGCGGGGAGGGTGGTTAGGCAATGGGTGCTTGCTGCCAATTGGTTGAGGGTGTAAATCATAGGGGTGTGGGAAATGGTTCTCCTGCATGCAGAGTCATTTCTGAGTAAGCCACAGGAGCAGCTGGCCAGTCCAGGTGGAGCCATCAGTCTCAAACATGCAAAAACCCTGAAAACGTATCTCAAAAGGCCAGTCTTAGGCTCTCCAATAGCGATGTTATCTGCAGGAGTAACTGGGGAAGTTGCATATCTTGTGACCTCCAGAATAATGGCTGGCAATCTTCTATGTCTACACTTTAGCAGAATTCAGTCTCTCCTATCCTCCTAGCCTGGTGTTCTTTGATTAGCTTTACAAATGCAATTGAGTTTTGGGGAAGGGCTGTTATCATTTAAGCTATAAACTAAACGTCTGCCAAAGTTAGCTTGCCTTAAGCCCAAGAATAATTGAGGGCAGCTTGAAGGCTAGAGGCAAGAAGGGGATTGGATAGATCAGATCTCCCTCACTGTCATAATTTTCTCACTGATGCAATTTTTGCAAAGGTGGTTTCAGTCACATTAGGGCCAGCAAGGACTACACAGCTAATTTAGACACCAAGACCTTCAGAGCTCTGATGTGGAGACAAGCCAAGGGTACCAAATGGTAAAGCCAAAAACGATAATTTCCATAGTCAAGGTGTCGATGAAAAGAGTGAAACTCTGTAAATTATTTGAAGAGATCTATTCTGAGGCAAAAATGAGTGAACACGGCCCATGACACCACTCCAGGAGATCCTGAGAACATGTACCCAAGGTGGTTGAGTTACAGCTTGATTTTATACATGTTAGGAGGACAGAAGTTACAGGAAGATATTCACCAATACATGTAAGTTGTGTATTGGTTCAGTCCGGCAAGGTGCGACAACTCGAAGCAGGGGGCAGGATAAGGGCTTCCAGGTCATAGGTGGATTCAAAGACTTTCTGATTGGCAATTGGTTGAAAGAGTTATTATCTAAAGTCCCAGAATCAATAGAAAGAAGAGCCTGGGTTAAGATATGGGGTTGCAGAGACCAAGGTTTTTTTTTTTTTTTTTTTTAAATTATACTTTAAGTTTTAGGGCACATGTGCACATTGTGCAGGTTAGTTACATATGTATACGTGTGCCGAGACCAAGGTTTTTATCATGCAGATGAAGCCTCCAGGTAGCAGGTTTCAGAGCTCTTATCAGACCTAAAAAATTACCAGAGTCTTAGGGAAAGGTTTTGGAAAGGGAAGGGGATTCTCTACAGAATATAGATTTTCCCCACAAAAGACAACTTTGCAAGGCCATCTCCAAATGTGTCAAAGAAGCGTATTTTGGGGTAAAATACTTTGATTTCTTTCAGGGCCTGCTGTCTGTCATGTGATGTTATACTAGAGTCAGGATGGAATTTGGTATCTTATTGCTACATCTATTCTATCGGTCTGAAGATCCCTGTTTTAATGTGAATGCTGGTGAGTTGTGTCTGAATTCCAAAGGGAGTGGGGTACAGTGAGGCACGGCTGACCCCCTTCATGCCCTGAACTAGTTTTTCAGATTTCTTTGAAATGTCCTTGGCTGAGAGGGGGTCCGTCAGTTGGTTGAGGGGCTTAGAGATTTGTTTTTGGTTTACAAAGTTACAGATGAAAGGCCTAATGAAATCCCCAAAAGAAATGAGGAGCTCTTACTGGAAAGGCTTTGGCATATTAGAAAATAGCCCTGATATATGTAAACTATTTAAGGCAGTTATTACATACAGTTTGTGTTAACCTGATAATAAAAATATTTACATCCCTGGATGGCTCTATTCTAATTTTCATCAAATATTCATCTTAGATGAATGTAAATATCCAAGAGATTATTTCAGAATGATGATAAATATAATATAATGCAATATAATATAACATAATGTAAAGTAATATAATATGGATCTTGGATTTATAAGTCAATTAGAATAATTAGCTGCTTTCCTTACTATCCTCACCGTGGGTAGAATTACCAAATTTCATCATAACACTGAAGAAATGAAATCATGGGGGAGAGAGAATGACTCAGTTTTTTAAAAATGGAGATATAGAATTCACACAACATAAAATTTATCTTGCAAAATTATATCATTCAGTGTATTTTAGTATATTCACAAAGTTGTACAACCATTGTCAGTATCCAATTCCAGAACACTTTCCTCATTCCCCAAATAATCCTATACCCATTAGTAGTCACTCACACACTGCTTCCCCCCTTTCCCCAACCCCCAGACCCTGGAAACCACTAATCCTACTTTCTGTTCCTGGATTTGCCTATTCTGGACATCTCATTTAATGGAATCATTTAACATGTGGTCTTTTGTGTCCAGCTTCTTTCACTTAGCATAACATTTTCAAGGTGCATCCGTGTTGCATCATGGATTAGTGCTTCATTTCATTTGGCTGTATGATATTCATATATATGTTTTCTATTAAACTATGTATATTATATATGTATATCATATATATTATGTATATCGTATGTATATCATATATAATATCATATATTATATATAGTAATATATAATATGTATCACAATTTATTTATCCATTTATTAGCTGTTTGACCTAGGAGTGGAATTGCAAGGTCATATGCAACTCTCTGTTGAACTTTTAGAAACCCTGCCTAACTGCTTTTCCAGAGCAGATGCACCTTTACATTCCTGGTGGTAATGCATGAGCGTTCTGATTTCTCCACACTTTCACCAGCACTTGTTATTGTGTGTGTCCTTGATTATGCTCATCATACCAGGCGTGAAGTGGTACTTCATTACAGCTTTGATTTGCATTTCCTAGTGATGAATGACATTGAGCATCTTTTCATGTGCTTATTGGCCATTTATGAAATGCTCTTTTACTAAATAACATGTGAACTTGTTTTTTCCATCTGTTTGGAAATTTCAGCTGTGATTTACATTAACAACAGCCTTCTTTTGCTATGAAGATTTGTTCCTAACTCTGGAGCATTTTTGCCCATTTGAATCTCCCTTCCTGAGCATCATGCACACATATGAGGATGAGGAAGGCCAGTGTCTCTCCTCTAGTTGCTTAAAACCGCAGCCTTGCCAGGAGCCTAGTGAAGCATTTCATAGGGTTGGTCATGATTCTCCACATGCGGGGATTCATCGTTGGTTGCGGTCTCCTTTTATTAGCTCCAAAATGTTTTCAATAATGCAGCCAATATCCTCCATTGAGTACCCACAGGTTAATGAATTTGGGGGTAGAGCAAATCCATTTAATGACTGTTTCTCACTTCATTTTTCATTCCAAATGGCTTGGATCACATAGGTCTGCATATAACAGTAAGACTGCGAGATTTTTAAAAGGTTGGATAATTTTGACGGAGTACCACATTAGCTTTTAAACTGTGGATTTTCAGAAATGTTAGTGGTCTCTATTTGAATAAAAGTATCTGTGAGTTATGGGTGGGAGAGTAAGGTGTTAGATATGCATTCATCAAGAGATTGTTAACATTCTCACATCGAATGATTACTACTTACAATTTTTTCATTGGTCATTACCCTTAAGATTCTACATTGTCTCAATATATATTAACATTTTTCTATGTAAATTATATTTTCCCCTTAGCATTAATAAGAAAGACAGTCTTTATATTCACTATAGAAAACCAAGTCTGGAGAAATCACAGCTACAGAATTATTAGAAATATTGGGACCAAGAGATTCTTCCTTTCAGGGCTCAGGATATCCCTAACTTTGCAGTCACAATGCTAAGAAGAGTTAGGTTGTGTCAACATTTTCACTTGCTTGTCTGAAGCTACACTGTGGTCACATTTAAATTCCTCAACATTAATAATCTGAAGAAGAATTTAAATAAATTATGAGAGAATAGTGCTGTGGCCATTCACTTCTCAAACTTTTAATAATAAAAAGCAGTTTTTCGGTGATGTTTATGATGTGCATTTGTGGAAATTAGGTATTCCATTGCTAGTGAATGACACAGTTAATTGGAACAAAACTGAACAACTGCAAACATGACTGACCTAATTTTTCTTTCAACGTTTGCAAACAGACCAGATGACATATAGCCTATCCATTTGATATTTTCTTGTGCCGGATGTATCAGGATAGGATAGGCTTTGCTGAGTGAAACACTGGCCCTGCTGTCTTGGAAGCTTGACACAACCACACTTTTTCTTGGTGACATCTTTAGTGCTGGTCAGTAGGGTCCCTGCTGGACAGAGACACTGGCGTTTTGTGATGCCACCATAGAAACAGCAGCTTTCAGGATCATCTTGGCAAGGAAGAGACAGGGGATAGAACTGACAGCTGCCTGTAAATGCCAGGCTAGGAATGTGTGTCTCATTTGCTCATGGCCCAATGGCCGGGTTGGTCTTGTGGCTTCACCTAACTACAGGGCTGGAAACCTTTCTGGGGGTCCAGTAGGGAGAAGAGTGACAGGTGTGGGGAGCTCTGACAAGCTACTAGTGAACCGATACACAAAACACCTCCTACACGATTTGTTAAGGGTTTTACATGATATGATGTTTTATCTGGTACTTTAGAATATTACATAGTGGCCCACCAGTGGGGGTGACTAAAATCTGCTTGGATGCTGGTGAGCATGGAATGTATCAATCAGAAATGCATTCTATTTGGATTTTGAGGAGCCTGAGAAGAAAGGGGGTTCAGTCCCAACGGCAAAGCTGTGTGATGTCCAAGAAGAGCTGGGTGTGTTTCTCAGGGTCAGGCTGCTCTGTGGCCCGCCTCTCCAGGCTCCATCCACATGGAATGCAGCTCACTGCAGTTGTGCAGTCAGTGACCTGGGTGGTTCCCGAGGACCACAGGAAAACCTGCAATGAGGAGTAAACGTTACTTGCTACAAGAAGATCCAAGTTGTGTGGCATTCTGAGAATTTGCATTCCGTGTTTAATGCAGATACTTTAGCTGCTTGTTCATTCACTTGTTGATTCGTTATTTTTGAGTGTGTTTTTACCCACTCCTCACTGTGAGAGGCACCAGGGATACCTGTGAATGAGGCACGATTCCTGACCGTGTCTAATGCACCTGCAGCACTGACCTGCCTCTGTGATAACGAACCTGATTCTTTAACAAAGCCCAAATGCACAAGTGCAAAATGAGAATTCTTAACTGCATTTAGCATTATTTCTTTATGCTTAGTTATTCTTGTGTAAGGATTACTCATTTTAATGAATAAATGAGCATATGAAAAGGTGCTCAACCTCGTAAGTCATCAGTAAAATGCAGAATTTAACCACAATGAGATGACATCATTTTAAGCACTCACAATTTTAATTCTACTCCTTCATGATATCTAGGGAGCATAATATTCATATTTTACATATCACTGCATTTAATAGGCCCCGAGGGTACCAGAAATTGAGTACAAATGTTAGCAGAGTCTTGTTTGGAGTGGTGAATAATACTCATCATAAACATGGCCAACATTTCAATTAATTTTTTAAAAGTAGAGGTTAGAAAATCATTTGATATTGAGACCTAAAATAGTGAAAATAAAAGTAAGTTAAGAAAACAGCTATGATGCCTTCCTTTCTTGCTGACATTTTTATGAGTTTGTCATAGATGTTCTAGTTCACATGAGTTTTAACAGTCAAGAATATGAAGCTCCTCAGAGCCTGTTTGATTTTCAACATGTTTCAAAGATGCTTGAGACCACAGAAGAGCTCCAATGTTCAGTTAAGCTCTGGTTGGTTCCCCCATGGCCTCAGCAAGCGTATGGATTTAGCTGAGAGACCCCTATGGTACCTTGGTGTGTGAGGCTAGCATAGCCGTCACAGGTCCATCACGGCAGTTGTATGTGAGCTGTCTTCTCCATGAGCCTGTGCAGTCCTCGGGGCAGAGCTCAGTCCAGTCCGCCACTCCCAAGGCCACAGAGACCATACTTGAGTGTGCTCAGGGCATGTGCATCGATGCAGCTGTCTCTCAGTCCATCCCGGGAGCTCAGCCTGCCACTGTCTTTCTCTGACAATGTGAGTGCTTTAGAATGTGAATGAGCTGGCATTCAGGGGACAGCCTGGGTAACTGGTACTTGTGTTTATCAAGGACAAAAATCCTGCCTCTGTGTCTGTGTCTGTGTGTTCTCATTAGAGGTCTTCATATTTGGTGAAACTTACCAGCCTCTAAGCACAGTAACCCTTGAGTGTCCTGAAAGTTTTAGTTACTGCCTTCTAATGGCATATTTGTAGGGCTGTACCATTCCCTGACCCTGCCATCACAATTTTCTCCCTTCCATTTTTGGAAGTGGGGTGGAATGCATACATTGAAACACTTTTGCTGATGAAAAGCTGGAATCAGCCCACTTGGTCTAGTGAGCAATGAGCCTGGAGTCTTGCCTCTGCAAGTTGTGGGCAGAAGGGCTAGAATGCCGCCTGGTGAGACAGGGTGGATGCTTAGCTACCTCCTGACCCTCATCAGATCTTAGGTGGCACGTAAGCTGAGGCAGGTGTGTATCTTCTTCCCCTCCTGCACAGCTACATGCACTTCCCTCCCCAACGTGCCCATTTGGTTTAAGAGGACCTAATCTATGTAAGGTTCAGTGGCCTCTGTAAAATAGGGATCCTGCTGAGTGTCTTCATCACATCATATTATGTCATCAAACATCTCCATGTGACTCAACTCCTTTTTTTGTTATGTAGCTTTATTGCAGCAATAACTTACCAACATACCTTACAGTCTATTCATGCATAACATGCAATCACTAGGGTAAGCTGGCCCATCATTTTCTTATTTATATTTGTGACTCAGCTTTTTAAATTGGATATGAAAAGTGCTAATGGTAAAAGATTAGGTTGATAACTTTGACTATCTTAAAATTAGGAACTTATGTCTCAAAGTGTACTACTAAATGAGTGAACAAGAAGCCACAGAGTGAAAAAAGTGTGTGCAAAAGCATCCATTGTCACATTTGGAAATTATATCTAAAATATAAAAAGAACATCTATAGAGCAATAAGAAAAGACAGAACCCCCCAATAGAAAAATGGACGGAATCTTAAGTAGACACTTCACAGAAGAAGATATTGAAATTACTGAAAGTATTAGTAAGCATATGAGAAGGTGTTCAACCTTGTAAGTCATGAGTAAAATGCAAAATTTAACCACAACGAGATGCCATTATATGCACACCTAAATGGTTAGAAAAAAAGACTGACAGTACTGAGTGCTGAAAGATTGTGGAGCAGTAGGAAGTGTCATGCATTGCTGATAAGATTGTAAATTTGTACAATGACTTTTGAAAATGATTTGACAGCATCTACTAAAGTTTAGAACAATGTATATCTTCTGCTTAGTAATTTTGTTCACAGTGGTATGCCCAACAAAAATATGTACATTTGCACACCAAAAGACTCTCTGAAAATGCTCATAGCAGCCTATTTATAATAGCCCCAAACTGGAAACAACTCAAATATCAACCCCTAGAACGGACAAATGGTGGGAGAGTCATATAGTGGAATACTATACAGAAATAAAAAATGAACGTATTACATGACTGGATCTCACAAATGTGTTGGCCAAAAGAAAAATCTGACAGAAAAGAGTATATGCTATATGATTCCATTTATGAAGAACTCAGAAACAGGCACATTTACTCTCTGGTTGTGAAGGGCAGAGCCTGACTGGCATCCTCGGTCATGAAACCTTTTGATGTGGTCTGCACAATTCAGCCTCTGGGGCAGAGAATGTGGGGGGACGGTGAAGAGAGAGGGAGGGGAAAGTCAGCAGCGTCCCCTCCCCCGCCACTGGCCTGTCTGTATTGGTGGAAATCTTTATTTGAGGCAAAATGCTCAGAAATAGAATAATCTTTATTCTTTCCAACCTCAACTCTTTTAAATGACTCACTTGATGTAATTGAGGCATTTCCTAAGCCAGATTGGAAACCACGCAGAAGCTTCCAGGTGTTGAATGGAAGCCATTAGCTTCACTCCGAGCTTTGGTGTTGCAGCTACAGCGGGTATCTTGGGCAGTCACAGCCACTTTCTGGGTCTAGGAGGGAGAGGGCAGATCTGGAGCTCAATCTTCCTGGTTCTAAGCCTGTGTCCTGCAGCACACAGCAGGTGCCCATAAGAGCCACTGAGTGTTGGAGCTAGGCTTTAAAATTGCTGTGAGGATTGAATCAGGTAATACACACAGGCCTGAAGAGCAGTGCCTGGTGCACGATTGCATGAGATATGAACAAACAGTTCAGGCTGATGGCCAAGCAGTGCAGGAAGACACGAAGATTATAAAAAATGGTCTTTCTTTTGCTGGATTTTAAAGGGAAACTAGAAAGAATGGGAGTTTTCTCTTGAGAGAAAGCCTGTGCAGTCTACATGATAATTGAGTAAGTAGTTAGGTGCTCCCTCCTTCTGCTGCCATAGCAACTGCCTGATGCATGGTGCTATAATAGACCTTAACCCCCTGGTCACTCGGCTCCTTCTGACTTTCTAAGCCAGCTCATCCCATGTGCCCTGTCCTACTCACCCACCCAACTGTGGAGTGGGTGCTCCCCACAAGGAAGCACTGGGTTTGCACCCTGGAGGTTGAGTGCTTGGGTAAGTGAGAGAGCTAGAATTACCCAAGGAACAACCACAGTGTAGCTGTGCAACAGAAAGTCCTTGATTATTTGTGATCTTACTTGGTCTATTTCAGGCAGTTGATGGCCAGTACTCATGTAGTACTTCATGAAAGGGTGGCAGGCAGGGTGGTTTGTACTGTATATGGTATGCACAGTCCATCTGTGGGTTTTCCTGTTTGGAAGGATGAATATGAGATGAGTAACTGTTGAGATACTCTCTGGAGATGCATCCTGTGTGCCTCAAGGTACATAGGTTAGTTCATCTTAATTGATCAGGACAGTACTGCCTTTGGTCAAAGTCAGTTACACAATGTCCAGGGCAAGGAACTGTACAGTATATCTTTTATAAAAGATGACAAGGTTTCAAATAGAACAAAATTAAGTTACATTTC
The DNA here is from genome assembly GCF_000001405.40 of Homo sapiens. NCBI lineage: Eukaryota > Metazoa > Chordata > Mammalia > Primates > Hominidae > Homo > Homo sapiens. Next base: position 70,062 of record NT_187660.1, on the reverse strand, counting down.
TCAGTATATTCATCCAATCACACTGTGACAAGAGATTTGAAATAAATAAACCAGATCTGTTCATAATTAGCAAAATCATTCCATCAGAAGCCTGAGCATATCAGAGGAATATAACGTGGCAGCATGGAAGGAAATTCTTGCAGACTGGGGATTGAATCCTGGCTTCACCCCAGCAAGCTGTGCAGCCTGGAGAAAACCAGTCCATCTTCGGGAGCCTCAGTTTCCCCCTGGGCTGGGGTGCTGAGAGATGCCCAGCAAATGCCTGTGCGGAGGAGGCTGCTGGGGGACTGGTGAAAGCCCTTTCCTACTTTCCTTTGAATCATGTTGCCCAGGGCTTTAGGAATGAGGGAAAAGAGGCTCCTTTAGCTATTTGTTCGGCATAGAAACTTGACTCTGTTGGAGACACAAATGAAAGTACAGAGCCACTTATCTCAGATTTTTTGAGTTGAGAAATGGCAAAGCTCTTGGTGAGAGATTAATGCCCACTCGAGGAAAGCGTTTGATAGAAGCTCCACAGGATAAAGACAGGTCACGTAAATGGTACTTTTTATCTGTATTCATCTCCACTCAACTGCATTTTTAATTTTTAGGAAAAGAGTCTCAATGACACATTGTTAGAATTTGTAATAGAATGTGAAGCTGGAAACTGGGATGTTTCCGTCAGTGGCTTTTGCTTCCAGTACACTGTGGAAGAACCACTGCCTCACCCTTTGTCAGTGTCCCTGAGGAGCCGGTGCTGAGCAGAGCAGCCTGGAGCATTGCTCACAGGGACCGGGGCTGCAGTGGAAAGTGTGGTCTGGACTCAGAGCAGGACCAGGCAATACCAAGCAGACGAGCTTATGCACCGGCAGCCTGATTAGTGCCGCTGGCTCTGCAGGCAGTGCGATTAAAAGTAAGAGGGAATTGAGGTTTTGCAGGGACAAGGTCTTCATTCGATTGTAGGCTATTGCAGGGAATTTTTCTAACAAGACAAATCTCCGTGACTATGGAAACTTTCTGAAGTTGGATGGATGAGTGCTATAGCAGGAGTTTTGGCTGGAGGAAAGCTCAGGCCTCCACAATTGATAAGAGAAAGCAGAACTATAAAAAGAGCCCTAAAGGACCTTCCAGCTTTTTGTCATGACTGAAATTTCTCTCAGAATCATGGAAAAGAACTTGTGTTCTTACTGACTTTTAGAGAGAGCTTCTTATTGCTATATAGCAGAGAAAACAAGGGATGCCATTTCTGGGGTCAAAAAGCTTTACCCAGGAGAAGTGAAATTGGAGCAATTATTTCTTACTGAGAATTTAAAGAAAAGATGTGGTGATCTGTGTTAGAGGAGCGGTGAAGGAATCACCATCAGATGTGATGATCAGATAAGCAAGTGTCTGTTTGTCTTCTGAACTGTGTGGTACGTGCCCTGGAGAATTCAAAGAAAAGTAACATTCTGGTTAGGAGACAAAGCTAACATAAGTAGAAATTAGGCCACTGCAGCCTCTTTGCTGAGAAATCTCATTGACTTCTCCCTGTCTAAGACTGGGGTCCCAACATTTTTGCATGATATAAAACATGGTCTGCCCTTCACATGCTAAATGACAATGTCCTTCCCAACCCCATCTTCCTTTTTAAAATGTTGCTGTTGTAGTAAGAAAAATAATATATCATATGCTTAAAAAAATATATGGTTAAAATGGCAAGGCTTGTGTGATATATATGTATATCACATAAAATTGTGTATGCATATAAAGTATGTGATATGTATATGTATATAGATATGTATATATCCATATGTGATATATACATATATGTGTTATGTATATATCAAATACATATGTGATATGTATATAACACATACAACTTGTCATTTTAACTATTTTTAATTGTACAACTCAGTGGCATTAATTACATCACTGTCAGGCCTCTGAGCACAAGGCTGCACCAGATAGCCTGAGGCAACTGAAAAGTACAAAAGAAGTGAAACAGCCAGCTCTTGTCTTAATTGATTGACCAACCTTACAACATTCCGCTATGACTTGTTCCTGCGCTGTCCCAACTGATGGATCCATCGACCTCATGACATTCTTCTTCTGGACAATGAGTCTTATGTTCTCTCCAGCATGCACGTTGTGACTCCCGCCCTGGCCTGCAAGAGAAAAACCCCCTTTAACTGTAACTTTCCACTGCTTACCCCAGTCCTATAAAACTGCCCCATCCCTAACTCCCTTCGCTGACTCTCTTTTCGAACTCAGCTCGCCTGCACCCAGGTGATTAAAAAGCTTTATTGCTCACACAAAGCCTGTTTGGTGGTCTCTTCATACGGACACGCGTGACAATCACCATTACCGTTATCTCCAAAACATTTCATTAACCCCAAGAAGAAACCCTATAATCATTAAGCAATGACTCCATTTCACCTCCCACCCTGCCCACCCCTGGTAATCTCTTAATCTACCTTCTGTCTGTTTAATGTAATCACATTTGTTTATTTCTGCTTTTTTTCACTTTTGCTGTCATAGCCTAGAAATCACTGCCAAGTCCAATATACTGAATATTTTCCTCCATGTTTTCTTTTAGGAGTTTTATAGTTTTAGACTTTATGTTTAGGTCTCTAATCGATTTTGAATTAGTTTCTGTATATGGTGTAAGATAAGGGTCCAACTTTATTCTTTTGCATGCAGATATCCAGTTTCCTCAACACCATTTGTTAAACAGACTGCGATTGAGTAGTCTTGGCATTCTCATCAAAGATCATTTGACCATAAGCATACGTGTTTATTTCGGGGCTCTATATTCTATTCCATTAGCCTGTTTTTTTTTTCTATGCCTTGTGATTTATTTTTGGTTGAACACTGAACATTTGAATATTATATTGTGGTAAATCTGGAAATCAGTTTCACTCCCTTCCCCGGGGTTATTATTATTATTTTTTATAATCGAAGGCTGTAGTAGTCTTGTTTGTTTTGTGACATTTCCAAACTATTTTTGAAAAGACTGTATTCCTTGTCATGTATGGTCACTGGAATCTCTGTTCCTTAGTGATTGCTTACTGTGTTCGGCTAGTGTTTTGACACAGATTGATTTGAATTCCAGGAGCTAAAAGCAAACAAACCACCACAACAAAAATACCTCTTCCTGTTTTATAGATTGGCTCTGTGCTAGAACCCTCCTTCAAAACTTAGCCAGGCTTGCACTGAGACTAGGCATCAGCACAAGCTGAAAGTTTTGGGAATTCTCCAGTCTTTTCTGAGCATGGGCCTTTCCCTAGGCATGCAGGTGGCTTTCCTTATCTCTGCCTGCCCCCACCGCCCCCTAGCTCTGCCCTGCCCCGCCCCATGTTTGTTTTTGAATATCTCAGTTTCACAAAGAAACTCTCCCCAGATTTTGCTCCTATTCCTCAGGTGGCGCATTACATGCTTGTCTTTTCCCCAGGCATCTGTGGTTTGGCTTGCAGTGATTTTGAACAATGCCTGCCATTTTCCTGGCCTAAGTTCTGCCTTAGGTGAAACAGATGAATGCCTTGCTTCAGTGCCTCAGCTACCCTCCAGCCAGGTTAGAACAGACATTCACAATAGTTTGTGAATAATGCTGCTCTTCTCTACCTGAACCAGGGAGCAGGGTTCACCTCCTTTGTGGAACCTTCTCTCAGTCCCCATATATTGTTATTTTTTTCTGGGTGCTCTCCAGTGGTTCACATCTACCTATAGTATTGCATTAAGTATAACGTTATTTACATACATGTGTTCTCCACTGGACGGCGAGGCCCTTGGAATTCAAAGTGGTGCCTTGCTTACATTCCCATCTGTATCCCTTAAGCTCAGAGGCAGGTACAGAGCAGGTTTCCAAAAGTGGCATACAGAACAATTTGGATTTAGGGGACATTCAGTGAGGACCAGATGAACAGGAGTGTTTCCTGATATTGTGAGACAGTGGTCTTGCAAAAGTAGACAAGTGGGTATACTTTGGAAAGCAGGAGGAACCGTAGGAGACAAAAGGGTAGTTTGGATACCTCTTCAAATTCTATACATCGTATTCAATAACTGTCATTGTTTTCCAGAAAATAATCTATATTTAAGCCCTTGAAGGTAGAGTAAGAGTAATAGAAATAATTTGAGAAAATAAGAACAGATCATTTTTGTTTTTTTTTTTAAATGCAAGGTACAGGCTGGGCGTGGTGGCTCACGCCTGTAATCCTAGCACTTTGGGAGGCTGAGGCTGGTGGATCACCTGAGGTCAGGAGTTTGAGACCAGCCTGGCCAACATGGTGAAACCCCGTCTCTGCTAAAAATACAAAAAATTAGCCAGGTGTGGTGGCAGGCACCTGTAATCCCAGCTACTCAGGAGGCTGAGGCAGGAGAATCACTTGAACCTGGGAGGCAAAGGTTGCAGTGAGCCAAGATTGTGCCACTGCACTCCAGCCTGGGCGACAAGAGCAAAACTCCATCTCAAAAAAATTAAAAAGAAAAATAAATAAATAAATAGATAAAATAAAATGCAAGGTATAGAATTGTCAAGAACTGTTTAAAAGGATACGTTATCCATCCAGGTAATTCTTATTTAAGAGATTTTTTTTTCCCCTCAAATACGTAAACAATTGAGATCTTAGTACTTTTTTTGTTTTGTTTTGTTTTTAAACTGAATAGTATTCTGTTTCTCCTAGTTGCAAGCCGGCCTGATCCACTCTGGTCTTGGAGAACTCCTTTATCTTTTGGTGGACCCTAACTGTAGTCTCTAACTCTTGAAAGTGGGAGATGGCTAGCTCTGTAGTGCTTATAATGAAAGTCACACACATAACTATCAATCAGATCCATATTTAGTTGTGAGCAGGCATATGTCAGTTTGTGCAACGTGTTTGGCTAATTTGATGATGCCCCAGTTCTTTGAACTTTTAGTGTTCTAAGCACATCTTGTCTACAGTGTTTACTGGAGACAGCAAAAAATATTCTAAGAAAATTCAGTGAACCTTAGAGTTGGAATCAGAGTGTTTAGAGATGAAGTGTCAGACCCCTGCCCTGATGAAGAGCCTGGCTCAGTCACCACACTGAGGAGCTCCTTGAGCCTCTTGATACTCGCTTACTCCTGACCTCCCAGCACCTCCATCCTCAGGCAGTCTCTGACCTGTTTTCTGTCACTGTAGATTAAGAGTTGGCAAGCTTTTCCATAAAAGAGTAGATAGAAAATACTTGAGGCTTTTTAGCCAGACACTCTCTCTCACAAATACTAAATGACTGGGTTGTGGTAAAGCAGTCATAGAAAGTATGTAAATGGGTGGCTGTGGATGTATTTCAATAAGATTATATTTATAGAAACAAGCAGGGGGTCAGATTTGACCCATGGACTATAGCTTGTCAAACCCTGCTATTTAAATTTTCTAGAACTTTATATTAAAAATGGTATATATGTATATTTGGTCTGGCTTCTTTCATTCAGCATAATTATTATGAGATTCATCCATGTGGTAGCATACATCAATAATTCATTCCTGTTATTACTGAGTAGTATTCCATGGTTTGAGTATTACACCATCTTTTTGTACACACATTCACCTGTTGATGGATATTTGAATTGTTTCCAGTTCTTGACCATCAAAACTAAGACTACAGCAAACATCGTGTTCAATTCTTTGTGTTACCTTATGCTTTAATTTCTCTTGGGTAAATACTTGAAAGTGGAATGGTGGGTTCATATTGGTAGGTGTATGGATCATGTTTTTAAAAACTGCCACGCTGTTTTCCGGAATGGTTGAACCATTTTACACTCCCACCAGCAGTGCTTGAAAGTTCCTGTTCCTTCATCTCCTTGTCAACATTTACTTTAGTCAGTGTTTTTGATTTTACACATTCTAAGGTAGATAGTGAAATGTCATTGTGGTTTTACTCCACGTTTCCCTAATGGCTAGTGATATTTGACCATCTTTTCATGTAATCATTTGTCAATCTTATGTCTTCTTTGTTGAAGTGTCTGTTTAAAATATTTCCCATTTGAATTGTGTTGTTTACTTGTTGAATTTGAGAATTAAAAATTTATATATATATATTCTAGATATTAGTCTTTTATCAGATAGATGATTTGGAAATATTTTCTCCCAGTTTGTGGCATTTCTCTACTTTAACTTAACAGTGCCCTTTGAAAAACAGGAATTCATAATTTTGATAAAGTCCAATTAATATGATTTTTTTCTTTTCATATATTATGTTTTTACTGTTATGTCTAAGAAAACCTTTAACTCAGGGTCAGAGATTTTTTCCTATATTTTCTTCCAGAAGTTTTATAGTTGTGTTTTACATTCAGACCTATAATCCATTTGTATTAAATTTCGTATATGATTAGTGAGCAGATCAAAGTAAAAGTTCTTTTGCATGTGGATATCCAACTGTTCCAGCACCATATGTGGAAAAGACTTCTCCTTCTGTATTAAACCACCATTGAATCTTTGCAAAAAAATCAATTGACCATAAATATATGGGTATATTTTTGGATTCTCCATTGATCAATTTATTTTGATGCAATATCACATTGTTTTTATTGTTGTTGCTTTATAATAAATCTTGAGGTGAGATAAAGTATATTCTCAAACCTTGTTCTTTTTTATTTTTTTATAAAAGTTGCATTGGTTATTCTAGTCCTTTGCATTCTTATGTGAATTTTAGAATCAGTTTGTTAATTTCTACACAAAAGAGTGCTGGGATTTATACAAAACATTCTTAGGAAAAATGAAAGAAGACATAAATAATTGGAGCTATATATTGTGTTTATAGATCAGAAGCCCCTATATTGTTAAAATGTTAATTTTCCCCAAATTAATTCGTACATACCTCTCTGCTTCAAAGGAGTCCACCCTGTAGTCCCTGATATTAATGGCCATATATGTTATATTACATAGCCAAGGAACTTTGCAGGTGGATTTAGGTTATAAACCTCCATAAAGGGAGATTTTTCTGGATTATCCAGGTAGATCCAATGTAATCATAAGGGCCCTTAAAAATAAAGTGAAAGATAGAAGAGCCAGTTAGAGAGCTGTGACAGAAGAAGAGGCAGGAGAGATTTGAAGTGTGAGAGGGACATTGCTGACTTTGAAGATGGAGGAATGGAGGCATGAGGCTGGGAATGTGGGTGCCTCTGGAAGCTCAGCACAGCTTTTGGGTGACAGCCAGTAAGGAAACAGGGGCCTCAGTCTTACAGCTGCAGGGAACTGGATTATGTCAACACCTGAATGAGCAGAGAAACAAATCCTCCCCTAGAGCCTCCAGACAGGAACGCAGCCCTGCCAACACTGTGGCTGTGACTTCATGAGACTCTAAGCAGACATCCTGCTGTGAACCAGCATCCTCTGACCTATGAAAATCATGATATAATTGAAAACTAGTACACCTTTTTATATCTATAGCATCTATAGTCATGCCACTGATCTTCTTCTTGATACTGGAAATTTTGTTTTCTCACTTGCTCTATTCAGATTGGCTAAAAGTTGACTGATCTTACTGAGCTTTTGAAAGAAGCCAGTTTTGGTATCATTGCTTTTCTCTAACATTTTTTCCATTTTCTATTTCATTGATTTCTACTCCAGTCTTTATTATTTCTTTTCTTCTACTTATTTTGGGTTTCATTTGCTCTAACCAGTAAGGAAAAATATAACCAGAACAATTAAACAAAAACTTTATGAAAGAAGATATATGGATGTCAAGTAAGTAAAAGATGCTCAGTGTTGGCTGGGCATGGTGGCTCATGCCTGTAATTCCAGCGCTTTGGGAAGTCAAGGTGGGTGGATCACTTGAGGTCAGGAGTTCGTGACCAGCCTGGCCAACATGGTGAAACCCCATCTCTACTGAAAATACAAAAATTAGCTGGGCATGGTGGTGCACACTTGTAATCCCAGCTACTCGGGAGGCTGAGGCAGGAACATCACTTGAATCTGAGAGATGGAGGTTGCAGTGAGCTGAGATTGCACCACTGCACTCCAGCCTGGGCCACAGAGTAAGACTCCATCTCAAAAAAAAAAAAAAAAAAAAAAAAAGATGCTCAAAGTCATTAGTCATGAGAAAAATGCAATTGGAAACCACAGTAAGATCCCACTACACAACCATTGGAATGTCTAAAATCAGAAAGGCTGATCAAATGTTGGTGAAGATGTGGAAGAACTGGAATTCTCATCCACTGCTGGTGGGATTGTAAAATGATAAAATTATTTTGGAAAATAGTTTTGCAGTTTCCTAAAGCATAAATGTTGCATATAACATTGCATAGTATTAAGCTATCATATATCCAACCATCTCATTCCTAGGTATTTAGCCAAGAGAACTGAAAGCATGTGTACATACAAAAACTTGTATATGAATGTTCATAGCATGTTTATTTGAAATAGCCAGACACTGGAAACAATCCATGTGTCCATCAATAGGTGAATGGTATGTACATTGTAATATAGCCACACACTAGCATACTACTACACATTAAAAAAGATGAACTACTGACTCACACACCAACAGCGAAGGATCTTTTTTTTGTTTTTGAGATGGAGTTTGGCTCTCATTGCCCAGGCTGGAGTGCAATGGCGTGATCTCGGCTCACCACAACCTCTGCCTCCCAGGTTCAAGCAATTCTCCTGCCTCAGCCTCCCAAGTAGCTGGGATTACAGGCATGTGCTACCACATCCAGCTAATTTTGTATTTTTAGTAGAGACGGGGTTTCTCCATGTTGGTCAGGATGGTCTCGAACTCCTGACCTCAGGTGATCTGCCTGCCTGGGCCTGCCAAAGTGCTGGGATTACAGGCGTGAGCCATCGGGCCCGGCCAACAGTGAAGGATCTTAACATGATTATGCTGAATATTAATTTTTTTGTCTGGATGATCTGTCTATTGAGAAACAGTCAGACAAAAAATACAACAGGTGGGGCATGGTGGCTTATGCCTGTAATCCCAGCAGTTTGGGAGTCTGAGGTGGGCGGATCACTTGAGGGCAAGAGTGTGAGACCAGCCTGGTCAACATAGTGAAACCTCATCTCTACTAAAAATAGAAAAAGTTAACTGGGTGTGGTGGTGCATGACTGTAATCCCAGCTACTTGGGAAGCTGAGGCTCCCCAGCTTGAGCCTGGGAGGTGGAGGTTGCAGTGAGCTGAACTGCAGCCCAGCCTGGGTGACAGAGCAAAACTGTGTCTCAAAAAGGCCCCCAAAACAACAACAACAAAAAACTATGGTGCAATTTACAGAAAACCTGCATTTATAGAAAATTTAAGCCAATCTATAGTGAAAGAAAAGAGATGAATGGTTTACTGGGAGTGTGGGGGTTGACAAGAGGAGCTAGAGGAGGTACAAGAACATAGGCATGAATAAACTTGTGGGTCAATGGGCATGTTCATTATCTTGATTACAGTGTTGGTTTCATGAGTATACACATAACCAAATAGAAATTATATGCATTTTACATATATGCGGTTTGTAGTATGACAATTATTCTTGATAAAGAAAAAGGCAACCAGAGGTTAAAGAAATGAATCGGTGTGTTAACAGTGGAACTATATCTCTATGTCTATTTACTTATTTTCAGGATGGATTGCTATTCTGGGTGCCATCTGGTTGCTAATTTTAGCTGATATTCATGATTTTGAGATAATTCTACACAGAGTGGAATGGGCAACCCTTCTGTTTTTTGCAGCGCTCTTTGTTCTGATGGAGGTAAGATTTTAGAACTTTTGCCATATGGCATTTTACCTGATTTTTGTATTTCATGTTTTATTTGGTGAATGAAGAAAGCCTACATCTATTAATCTTTCCTTATATTCTCTAAGTGGAAAACAATGAAGGTTGTAATTGGACTATTTTAAGTTAACCAGCTTTACCTTAGCCACTGAGAGATTTCTGACAGCACTGCGTATTTGTTTTTTTTCTTGAATTATCTTTGTGGTTTGTAAACTCATTCTAATTTCATTTTCTATAAAATATAATTTACTATAAGTTGAGTTTGGAGCTAAATTACTTATAACAGCAAGTTTAGGAGGTAGTGTGACCTTGATGATCTGTTTCATTTTGTGTGATATTTGAGTAACATTTCCGTTATCACGGAAAAGACTACATCAGTAATATGTATTGTTTCCATTACAATTGTTGTTACAAAATTACTCACAAAATCTTGAGACTTCATTTATAAATTTGTGTCCTCCTCAAACAGAAAGGTTTACTAACACAGAAAGATACTACTCCTCAAACCATGCCCCCAGCACCACTTCTTTGCATTTCTTCAATTTAACATGTAACGTGCTTTCATTTTCATTAAGCTAGAAATATTTTCTAATTTTCCATATAATTTCTTTTTTTGACTTATGGGTTATTTCAAAGTATGTTTTGAAGGCTCCAAATATTTGTGGATTGCCCATGTTTCTTTATGTTTTTGACTTTTAATTTAATTCAGTTGTGGTCACAGGACATACATTGCACAATTGCAGTCCTTTTAATTTTATTAAGACTTGTTTTACGGTCTAGCATTTGATCTGTCTTGGAGAATATTCTACTTGTGATGTGTATTCTGCTGCTGTTTTGTGGAGCATTCTATCAGTGTTAGATTTGTCTTGCTTGTTAACAGTTCTGTTTGTCTCTTGCACATTATTAGTGATATTCTGTGAAACTGTTCTATCAGTTATTGAGAGTGGGGTATTGCAGTCTTCAACTATTTTGTTGGATTGGGTATTTTTCCTTTCAAGTATGTCAGCTTTTGCTTCATGTATCTTGAGGATCGGTTGTTAAGTGTATATACTTTTATAATTATTACATCATCCAAATGAATTGAACTTTATCATTACTAAATGTCTCTTTTTCTCTGGTAATGTTTTTGTCTTAGGGTCTATTTGCCTGATACTGGTATAGCCACTTCAGCCCACTTTTGTTTACTGTTTGCATGACTTATCATTTTAAAAATGATAAAATCTAGCCTGACAATTTCTACATTTTAATTGAAATATTCAATCCACCCCCATTTAATACTTATTCATACGCTTGGCTTCACGTCTGCTACTTTGCTATTTTCACTATATCTCATATCTTTTTTCCTCTCTTTATCTTTTACTGCTTTCTTACTGTGTTAAATTACATTTTATTGTATACTAATTCTCTTCTTTGTTTCTATTTTTAAAACTGTGTTTTTGAGTTATTTTATTATTGATTGCTCTAAGGGTTAAACTGTACATCTTAGTTTAATATGATCTGTGCTGGATTAATACTAACTTATCTCGTGGAAAATACAGACATTGTGTTCCAGTAGAGCTCCATTTGTCCTCCCTTGTTTGTGCTTTGATGGTCACGTATGTTGTACTTCTACGTTATATGCCTAACATATATAATAGTTTTATCATTTCAATTATTTTGTGCAATGTATTTTATATTAAGAGAAAAAAGAAAAATGATAAAAAAAAGACATACAATTGACCCTTGAACAACATGGATTTGAACTGCATGGGTCTACTTATATGGAGATCTTTTTCAATAAATGTATGGGAATTTTTTTTGGAGATTTGTGATAATTTGAAAAAACACAGATGAACTGCATAGCTTAGAAATATTGAAAAAAATTAAGTCAAAGTTAGGTATGTCACATAGACCAATGGAACAGAACAGAGAGCCCAGAAATAAGGCTGTACACCTATGACCATCTGATCTTCGACAAAGCTGACCAAAACAAGCAGTGGGGCAGGCAGTCTCTACTCAATAAATGGTGCTGGGAGAACTGGCTACCCACATGCAGAAGATTGAAATCGGACCCCTTCCTTATACCATATACAAAAATCAACTCAAGTTGGATTAAAGACTTAAACGTAAACCCCAAACTATAAAACCCTGGAAGACAATCTAGGCAATACCATTCTGCACATAGGCACGGGAAAAGATTTTATGACAAAGGTGCCAAAAGCAATTGCAACAAAAACAAAAATTGACAAATGGGATCTATTAAACTAAAGAGCTTCTGCACAGCAAAAGGAACTATCAACAGAGTAAACAATCTACAGAATGGGAAAAAAATTTAGCAAATTATGCATCTCTGACAAAGGTCTAATAGGAACCAAAGTCTATAAGGAACTTAAACAAATTTACAAGAAAAAGAAACCAAACAGCTGCACTAAAAAGTGAGCAAAGGACATGAATGCTTTCAAAAGAAGACATACACGCAGCCAATAAGTGTATGATAAAAGCTCAATATCACCTATCATTAGAAAAATGTATATCAAAACTACAATGCAATGCCATCTCACACCAGTCATATAGCTATTATTAAAGAGTCAACAAATAACACATGCTAATGAAGTTGCAGAGAAAAGAGATCACTTATACACTGCTGGCAGGAGTGTAAATTAGTTCAACCATTGTAGAAAGCAGTGTGGTGATTCCTTAAAGAGCTAAAGAGCTAAAAAACTGAATTGCCATTTGACTCAGGAAATCCCATTACTGGGTATATATAAAAAAAGAATATAAATTCTTGTACTGTAAAGACATATGCACATGTGTGTTCATTGCAGCATTATTCACCATAGCAAAGATATGGAATTGATCTAAATGTCCTTCAGTGGTAGACTGGATAAAGAAAAGTGGATAAAGTGGTAGACTGGATAAAGTAAAGTATATGTATAAACATATACACCATGGAACACTATGCAGCCATTAAAAAGAATGAGGTAATATCTTTTGCAGAAACATGGATGGAGCCAGAGGCCATTACCTTTAGCAAACTAACACAGGAACAGAAAACCAAATACCACATGTTTTCACTTATAAGTGGGAGCTGAATGATGAGAACACATGGACACAAAGAGGGGAACAACACACACTGGGGCCTACTGGAGGATGAAAGGTGGGAGGAGGGAGAGGATCAGGAAAAATAAGTAATGGGTGCTAGGCTTAATACCTGGGTGACAAAATAATCTGTACAACAAACTCCTGTGACATGAGTCTACCTATATAATAAACCTGCACATGTACCCCTGGACTTAAAAGTTAAAAAAATTGTCCTTTGAACCAGTTATTAAAAAAAAAATGATGGTGGGTTGTGAGTGGCCAGGGGCCAAAATAAGCACATGGGAGAAACAAACACAGAAACACACACACACACACACACACACACACACACACACACACACCCCAAACAAAAAACCACAAAAGCTATGTCATGAATGCATAAAATTTTTGTAGATACTAGTCTATCTTATTTACTCCTATAAAATATACACAAATCTATTATAAAAAGTTAAAATGTATCAAAGCTTACACAAACACAGACAGTACATGGTACCATTCACAGCCAAGGGAAATGTAAACAAATGTAAAGATGCAGGATTCAATCATAACTGTGTAAAGTTAACTGTGGTACATACTGTGCTACTGTAATAATTTCACAGCCACCTCCTGTTGCCATTGCAGTGAGTGAGGATCTACTTAAGATGCTATATGGTGCTGATCATCTCCATGAGTGGTTAATCCCTTCAGTAAATTGCCTATTGCAGTAAAAAGTGATCTCTCAATTCCCATGTATTTCTTGGTTTACTGCAATGCTTAAACCGTGGATGACACATGGGACCCATAGCAAGTGCCATTAGTGATGCTGGAAGTGCTCTAAAGAAGCAGAGAAAGGTCGTAACATTACAGGAGAAAGTTGGATTGCTTGATATGTACCATAGATTGCGGTCTGCAGCTGCAGTTGCCTACTATTTCTGACAGATGATTCACCTTGTAAACAGACGATGTAAACTTATGGTATCGATAAACACAGTACAGTACTGTAAATGTAGTTTTTGTTTCTTATGATTGTCTTAATAACATTTTCTTTTCTGTAGCTTACTTTATTGTAAGAATACAGTGTATAAGACATATAACATACAAAATACATGTTTCAGGAGTTTGAGACCAGCCTGGGTAACATAGTGAGACTTCATCTCTATAAAAATATTAAAAAATTAGCTGGCATGGTGGTGCATGCCTGTAGTCCCAGCTACTCAGGAGGCTGATGTGGGAGGAGCACTATGCTCCTGGGAGGTTGAGACTGCAGTGAGCCACGATTGTGCCACTGCACACCAGCCTGGATGACAGAGCAAGACCATGTATCAAAACAAAAGAAAATGAAATATGTGTTAATTGACTGTTTATGTTATTGGTAAGGCTCCCAGTCAATAGTAGGCTGTTAGTAGTTAAGATCTGGGGGAGTCAAAATTTATACACGGATTTTCGACTTTGTAGGGGGCTGGTGCCCCTAAAACCCACAATGTTTGAGGGTCAGTTTGTGTGTGTGTGTGTGTGTTTGTGTGTATCTTTCCTACAATTCTTTACTTCTTTGTATGGATTTAAGTTGCCACATGATGTCAGCCTGAAGAATTTCCTTTAGTAGATCTTGTAAAGCAAATCTTTTGGAAACAAATTCTCTCTTTGTTTATGTGTGAATGCCTTTATTTTGTCTTTTTAAAATACAGTTTTGTTTCACTTATATAGAATCCCTGATAGTTTTTTTTTCTTTCACCAGTCCAAATCTGTCATTCTGACTTCGGGTCTCCATTGCTTCTTATGAGAAATTAGCTGTTAATCATTGTTTCCCCTATATGCGCATTGAGTCATTTTTCTGTTACTGCTTTTGAGGCTTTACTTTGTCTTTCAATAGTGTGACTATTATGCATCTAGGTGTGGATCTTTTTGTGTTTCTCCTACTTACGTGTATGTTTTTTGAAAGTTTTAACTTTTAAGATCTTTAGATTAATTTTGAAATTAATTTTGGGTATTTGGATAGTTTTTGGTTACTATTTTTCACATATATTATTCTCTCTTTTTTTAAAAAAAATTATTCTCTTCCTTTTCTGGGATTCCTATTACAGACATGTTGGTTTGCTTGATTGCGTCCCATAGGTTTTGACACTTTATTCATTTTTCTTCATTCTTTTTTCTTCTATGTTCTTCAGATTGAGTAATTTCTATTGATCTATTTTAATTTTTGATGAGTAATTTTTATGTCATCTCAATTTTATGTCATCTCAAATATTATATTGAGTCCCTCATGTAAGTGAATTTTTTATTTCACTTGTATTGTTCAATTCCAGAATTTCTATTCTGTTGTCTTAAAAATAATTTTTATTTCCTTGTGATATTCTCTACTTAATGCATCATTGTTATCATTTTTCAATTTTTAAAGCATGATTCTTTAATTCTCTAAACATATTTAAAATTCTGCTTTGAAGTCTTTCCTAACTTCAGCATCCAGGCTCCCCTCACAGATAGTTTCTATTGGCAGTTTTTACCCCAGAGCAGGGGTCACACTTTCCTTTATTTTTTGCATATCTTATAATTTTTGTAAAAAATTAGAAATTTTAGATAATGTATTTTAGCAACTGTAGATGCTGATTTATCTCCCTGAATTTGTTATTGATTTCATTTATATGAAATCATAATAAAATGTCCTTCTTTGACCCTAAAAACAATTTTTGTCTTAAGGTCAGTTTTGTCTGATGTTAGCATAGTTACTCCAGCTCTTTTTTTGTTGTTGTTGTTACTATTTGTGTGGTCTACCTTTTTCCATCTTTTTCCTTTCAATCTATTTGGGTCTTTTAATCTAATGTGACAGCAGTAAGCTCTTGTAGACAGCATACAGTTGAATCACATTTAAAAAATCTATTTAGCCCATATCTGCCCTTTAATTGGTATGTCTATTCCATTTACAGTTTATGTAAATGCTAAGAAGGTAGTATTTATATCTGACATTTTTCTATTTGTTTTTTTCCTTATCTTTGTCTCTTTCCCTGGCCTCTCTGTTAAGGCATCTGTCTTTGCTGATATCACATACAACCTTCAGGCTTCACTAATTCCCAGTTGATTGCTCTATTTAAGTCTTAAGTTTTTAAGAATAGTTTTAGGTTCACAGCAAAATTGAGGGGAAAGTAAAGAGATTTTCCATATACTCCAACCCCCACACATGCATAGCTTCCCCCATTATCAACTTCCTCCATCACAGTGGTACAGTTGTTATGATTTATGAACCTAAATTGATGCATTATAGTCATCCAGAGTCCATAGTTTATATTAGTGCTCATTCTTGGTTCTTGGTGTTGTACATTCTGTGGGTTTGGACAAGGTATAATGACATGTATCCATCATTATGGTATCATACAGAGTAGTTCCACTGCCCTAAAATTCCTCTGTGCTCCACTTGTTCATCCCTTCTTCTCCCCCAGCCCCTGGAAATCACTGATCTTATTCCTGTCTCCATAGTTTTGAATTTTCCAGAATGTCTTATAATTGGAAGAGCACAGTATGTGGTCTTTTCACATTGGCCTCTTTCATTTAGTAATATGCATTTAACTTTCCTTCTTGTCTTTTCATGGCTTAACAGCTCATTTCTTTTTAGCTCTGAATACCATTCCATTGTCTGGATGTACCACACTTTATTTGTCCACCCACCATGACTTAAGGACATCTTGCCTGCTTCCAAGTTTTGGCAATTTTAAATAAAGCTGCTACGAACGTCTATGTGCAACTTTTTGTGTGGACCTAAGTCTTCAAATCGTTTGGGTAAATATGAAGGATTATGGCCAGAGGATAATTGCACCACCTAGAGCACTCCCAAGTTGCTGAAGTCCTCAGCATATATTCCAGGAGCTTATGGGATCGATCAGGACTATTCTTGTGTGTCTTTACTACCCAATACCTAGCACCTCCTCATATAATTGTGGGTATGAGAGTAATCATGATTCTTTGAGGAGAACTATATGATGTTTATTGTCTTGGCTATTTTATTTATACATCATGTTGGATTTCTTTAAATTTTTTCTGTATATCTTCTTTATAGCTTATTTCACTCTCCCTAATTGCTTCTTAATATTTTTCTCTTTTATCTGTACTAACCTAGGCAATTAGGGGAACCAAACTGAAAATATTGATTCAGTTACCTTGACACTGGGAAAGTCTCTTTTGTCTGTCTTCTCATTCTATTCGTTGTTATGCTGCAGTATCCCAATGATAAGTATCAGGCAGTTTCATCATGTGAGCACTAAAATGGGACAATTTATCCAGCTGCTTCCTTTAGGACCTGTATCCAATAGTGCAGGTACATGTAGCATTGGTTTTATTCATATTGATAAGTCAGAATACAATTTTGTAAAATTTCATTCTGTTGATTAAAAAAAGTTCTGGAAACTATAGGGATATAATATGTTTTCAACTAGAACAAAACAAAGAATTTTCATTTGTGACTGAAACTAATGTCAACAAAACCAACCCAACAAAGTTGCTGCTTTGTTGATGTGGACGTTAATTGAAAGAGGCACTTTTTGTGCAGAAACCAACAGGAAGGATTTCTGACTACAACTACGGGATGCATTCTTGCCTCAGTTTCCAACCTTCATGTTTTTATTTGGGTCCTCAGCAGAATATATTAATCTATCATAATTACTTATATCTTCTTGAAACTCAAGAGGTGCTGGACACAGTGGCTCTCGCCTGTAATCCCAGCACTTTGGGAGGCCGAGGCAGGTGGATCATGAGGCCAGGACTTAGAGACCAGCCTGGCCAACATGGTGAAACCCTGTCTCTACTAAAAATACAATAATTAGCCAATCCCAGATACTCGGGAGGCTGAGACAGGAGAATCACTTGAATCCAGGAGGTGGAGGTTTCAGTGAGTCGAGATCATGCCACTGCATTCCAGCCTAGGTGACAGAGTGAGACTCTGTCTCAAAAAAAAAAAAAAAAAAAAAATCAAGAGGGAGCTGAGCTTATTATTATTGCATTAACTTTGCTTGTCCTGTAACATTGTATGAATTGTGGTTTTGCAAGATGTTCAATAATTCTCCAACTTAAGTAGTCTAAAATATGGGGAGTTGAGGAACAATGGAATCTTCATGAGGTGTAACCTTAAGGAAGCCAGTTCAGATGCTTGCCTTCCCCAGGCTTCCCTGAGGGGCAGCCTAACACTCTTTCTGAAAAGTGTTAGACTTTTCGGCCCAAAAGGGACAATCAACTGGGCAAGATACTCTGACCGTCCTTTTTGAAGTAGGAAAAGCCCTATTAGGAGCCATTTTAAGGCCTGGATGCTTTCAACTCTGTTATTTTATCCTCAGATGTTCCTGTTCATTTTGCTCCCACTCATCCTTATGTAACAGGTCCTCACCTTGCTTCCCCCCTCTATGAGCAGTCTGACCATCATCATCAAGCTTACAGACCTCATTGCAGCTGGATGCAGCCTCTGGCATAATGGGGAGATGGATGGGTTGGAAGCTTTCTCATGTGCCATGAATATCACAGGACC
Organism: Homo sapiens; assembly: GCF_000001405.40. Classification (NCBI taxonomy): domain Eukaryota; kingdom Metazoa; phylum Chordata; class Mammalia; order Primates; family Hominidae; genus Homo; species Homo sapiens. The sequence goes on along the minus strand of NT_187660.1, from coordinate 51,826 downwards.
ATGAGAGCACTCCAGTGGGGATGCTCAGAGATCTGCGCACCAGTCCAGGAAGGACTCTTCCAATTCAGGCGAACAGGTTATAGTTCACATGATGTTTATGAGCACAGGCTTTCACATCAGATGGATCCATGTTCAAAGCTCAGCTTTGCTACTTCCTAGTTCTAAAATTTTAGACAAATTACTTAATACCTCTGAGCCTCAATTTTCTTATCTTTAGAATAGTCTATTAATATTAATCACGCTGCTTGTGAGAACCAAGAAGATCATATAGAAGTACTGAGCTCCATGTTGAGCTCCTAGTTGGCATTCAAAAAGTGCTATAGCCTATTATTATTATTATCATTTTTAGTAATAATTTGATTCAAAAGCTTAATTCAACCTATTCATGTTCAAACTATTCACTGTTAGCCCAGAAGAGAGTAAGGTTTGTATACAGAGGTCCTAGGCAAACTCTCTGGGCCCCACAGATCTCACACACCCAGCTCCCCTACCCCAAGCAGCCATTCCCTTCAGAGTGGCCTGCCTTCATCTTCACGCCCTGGGCTTTCATCTCTCGTTTTGCATCTGCTATCTTACACCTACCTAAGACCTCTTCCACATTTTGAGGGCTTCCTGGCCCTTTTCCTGCCATTTTGGACCTGAGTTCTCCAGCGTACGTTTTGGGTCAAATCCTTCTTCTGTCATGTTGCAGTGGCTCTGAAACAGGCCCCACTCTGAAGCACATACAGTAGGTCAGGTGTGTTCTATTTTTTGGAAAACAGTTGGAGACATTTGGGTCTATTGATTTATGTTGCACTGACTTTTGTTACTGAGGTCAGATTGTCTTCTAGAAAATTTGGTCAAACCATAGAGTAGTTGGTACAATGAAAACTGTAGGCATCTTGTCCCCTGAAATTCAAGATCAATTTTGAGTATTTCTAAATTTGGATAATGGAGCATGTTTCTGCAGATTTAGAAGGGCTTCAAAGTTAGTTAATGAATAACCTGTGTTAAGGAGTGTTATTTTACTTGTCCTTTTGTTTTATAGGGATTTGAAATGCTAAGTGTCCTTTAAATTCATGTTTAAAAATTTCTGGATGATTCTTGGATATAGGGAGTACATAACATCAATATAAACATGTTTACCCTTAGAAGAAGAAATTTTAGAATGAAACTGTTAGGCAGGAAATGTCTTTTTTTTCTTTCCAATTTGCATTTTGGGTTCGGGGGTACATGTGCAGGTTTGTTACAGGGGTAAACTGCATGTCATGGGGGCTTGGCTTACAGATTATTTCATCACTCAGGTAATAAGCGTAGGACCTGATACATAGTTTTTTGATCTTTACCCTCCTCCCACCTTCCACCCTCAAGTAGACTCCAGTGTCTATGGTTCCCTTCTTTGTGTCCATGTGTACTCAATGTTTAGCTCCTACTTATAATAATGAAAACATGCAGTATTTGGTTTTCTGTTCCTGCATTAGTTTGCTAAGGACAATGGTTTCCAGCTGCATCCATGTTGCTGCAAAGGACATGATTTCATTCTTTTTTATGGCTGCATAGTATTCCATGATATGTGTCACATTTTCTTTATTCAGTCCACTGTTGATGGGCATTTAGATTGATTCCATGTCTTTGCTATTGTGAATAGTGCTGTGATGAACATATGCATGCATGTGTCTTTGTGGTAGAATGATTTATATTCCTTTGGGTACATATACAGTAATGAGATTGGTGGGCTGAATGGTATTCTTTGAGGATCTCCAAACTGCTCTCCACATTGGCTGAACTGACTTATACTCTAATCAGCAGAATCAGCAGTGTATAAGCATTCTCTTTTCTCTGCAACCTCACCAACATCTGTTATTTTTCACTTTTTAATACTAACCATTCTGACTGGCATGAGATGCCATCTCATTTCGGTTTTGATTTGCAACATGATTAGCCATGTTGAGCATTTGTTCATATGCTTGTTGGCCATGTGTATGTCTTCTTTTGAGAAATAGCTATTCATGTCCTTTGCCCATATTTTAACAGGGTTGTTTTTTGCTTGTAAATTTGTTTAAGTCTCTTATAGATTCTGAATATTAGACCTTTGTCAGATACATAGTGTGCAAAAATTTTCTCCCATTCCATTGGTTGTCCGTTTACTGAGGTGATAGTTTCTTTTGTTATGTAGAAGCTCCTTAGTTTAATGAGGCCCCATTTGTCAACTTTTGTTTTAGTTGTAATTGCTTTTGGGGTCTTTGTCGTGAAATCTTTGCCAGGCTCTGTGTCCAAAATGGTACGTCCTAGGTTTTTGTCTAGGGTTTTTATGGTTTTAGGTTTTAAATTAAAATCTTTGATCCATCTTGAGTTGATTTTTGTATGTGATGGAAGGAAGGGGTCTGGTTTCAATCTTCTGCATATGACTAGCCAGTTATCTCAGCACCATTTATTGAACGGGGAGTCCTTTCCCCATTGCTTGTTTTTGTTGATTTTGTCAAAGATCTGATAGTTGTAGGTGTGTTATTTCTGGGTCCTCTATTCTGTTCCATTGGTCCATGTGTCTGTTTTTGTACCACTACCATGATGTTTTGGTTAACTGTAGTCATGTAGTATAGTTTGAAGCTGGGTAATGTGATGCCTCCAGCTTTGTTCTTTTTGCTTTAAACTTCCTTGGCTATTTGGGCTCTTTTTTTGGTTCCATATATATTTTGCAATAGTTTTTTTCTAATTCTCTGAAGAATATCATTGGTGTTTGATATGAATAGCATTGAATCTGTAGATTGCTTTGGGCATTATGGCCATTTTAATAATATTGATTCTTCTTATCCATGAGCATGGAAAGTTTTTCCATTTGTTTGTGTCATCACTGATTTATTTCAGCAGTGGTTTATAATTCTTGGTGTAGAGCTCTTTCACCTCCCTGGTTAGCTACATTTCTAGGTATTGTATTTTTTGTATAGCTGATGTAAATGGGATTGCATTCTTGATTTGGCTCTCAGCTTGAATGTTGTTGGTGTTTGAAAATGCTCCTGATTTTCAGCCATTGATTTTGTATCCTGAAATTTTGCTGGAGTTGTTTATCTGCTGAAGTAGCTTTTGGGCCAAGACTATGGGGTTTTCTAGGTATAAAACCATATTGTCTGTGAAAAGAGATAGTTTGACTTCCTCTCTTCCTATTTGGATGTCTTTTATTTCTTACTGTTGCCTGATTGCTCTGGCTAGGACTTCCAGTACTATGTTGAATAGGAGTGGTGAGAGAGGGCATCCTTATCTTGTTCCAGTTCTCAAAGGGAATGGTTCCAGCTTTTGCCCATTCAGTATGATGTTGGCTGTGGGTTTGTCATAGATAGCTCTTATTATTTTAAGGTATGCTCCTTTGATACCTAGGGATGTTGAATTTTATCAAAAGCCTGTTCTGCATCTATGGCGATGATCATGTGGTTTTTGTTTTTAATTATGTTTATGTGGTGAATCACATTTATTGATTTGCATATGTTGCACCAAACTTGCATCTAAGAGATAGAGCCTAATCATAGTGGATTAGCTTTTTGATGAGCTGCTGGATTCAATTTGCTAGTATTTTATTGAGGATTTTTGCATCTATGTTCATCAGGGATATTGGCCTGAAATTTTTTTCTTTCTTTCTTGCTTGCTTGCTTGCTTGCTTGCTTGCTTGCTTGCTTTCTTTCTTTCTTTCTTTCTTTCTTTCTTTCTTTCTTTCTTTCTTTCTTTCTTTCCTTTCTTTCTTTCTTTCTTTCTCTTTTTTTTTTTTGTTGTGTCTCTGCTAGGTTTGGTATCAGAAGAGGAGGGACTCTTCTCTAATTCACTCTTTGAGGCCATCTCATAGAATGGTACCAGCTCATCTTTAGAAAATGTCTTCATCTGACCTGATGGGCACATTAAATACAGTATGTGAAGATTTTCATGGCAGTTTTGGCCCCACTTTCTTTCAGGTTGTAGCAGTCTCTTCTTATAACAAGGATTTAGCAGCATAAGGGGAACCTCTCTTCAGTATTCCTATAGACAGAACCAACATATATGAGCTCACAATCTAAAATTGCAAAACACGTGGAGAAATAGTTTATCATGAATGAGAGCAAGCAAGACATTTTTGGATTATAATAATTTGAGAATGATGGATAACACTTTTAAGATGATGTATTTGATATATCTAATCTTTCCCTTCTTTCTTTTGAAATGCTTTTTTTTTTCAAAAACAAGGAAACAAGGAAATTTTCTTTTGAAAGAATTTTGGGCTTACATAAATATCGTAAAAAAGTATAGAGAGTCCACATTTACCCATCACCCAACTTCCCCTAAGTTAAAAATTATACAACCGTGATAAAACTATCGAAACCAGAAAATTAACATTAGTAGAATATTACTAAAACTACAAATACTATTCAGTTTCTTCAGTTTTTTCCTAATGACTTTTTTTCTGTCCAATATTCTATCCAGAATCCCACATTTCATTTAGTTATCATATGTCTTGAATTTCGTCTAAATTCTTTAGTCTATCTGGACCCTTTTGAAAAGTATTAGTTAGTTACCTTGTAGAGATTTCTCAGTTTGGGTTTGTCTCATGTTTTCTCATGACAGTTTTGAGGCTATGAAGTTTTGGCGAGATCACAGAGGTGATGTGCCTTGTCTAGTGCATCATATTGGGGTACAAACATTGGCATGTCCTATTACTGAAAGTGTTAACATCGATCACTTGGCTCATGTGGTGTCTGCCAGGTTTCTGTATTGTGAAGTGGAGCCCTGGCAAATTATCTTGTGGGGAAATACTTTGAGATTATACTAACATTGTGTTTTTCCTCAAACATTTTCTTACTGATTTTAGCATTTGTCAGTAGCTCTTTGCCTCTAATCATTATGACTGTAGAGTTTGCCTAATGATGATTTTGTATTATCCTTATTGCTTCTATTAATACATTTATTAACTGGAGCTTATCTATAAGGAAGAGCTATCCTTCTCCTTTATTTATTTACATTTGTAAAAGTTCATGGATGTTTATTTTATTCTATGTGTTGTAAGTCGGTACTATTGTTATTTATTTTGTTGCTCAGATTATTCCAGTTTTGACCACTGGGAGCAGCTTCGGTGTCCATTTGGCTCCTGTCGTCTTTAGACACATCCTCATCAATTTTCAATCAGTTTTTCATTTTCTCACATCATAAAATGTTCCTGAATCATTTTGCATTTTGCCTGCTCTTGCCCTGGAATCAACTGCCTCTCAAAAGATTTCTCATTCCTTGTATTGGGGAATGGTGTTTAGAAATCAAAATCTGGATGCTTGGTGTGTGTGTAGCAATTTAGATGTCGCTGAATCTAGGCCTCCGCAATCAGCATAGTTGGGCATATGTGTTTGTATACCAACACCCATATCCACACATCCATATCTGTATCTATATATTAATTTACTCGTCTATGTGTTTAAAACCTTCAGATCATATTGATTCCCTGAATTCCAATCCAGCACCATAAGATTTGCCTCTTGCTCTCACTGTCTACAATATATACTCACTTATTTGTTCAATTCCTAGCATACACCTAAAGTAGTTACAGAATTGCTAACTCATATATTTGTGAGAAATAGATTTACTAACTCAACTACAGTATTTGTGTAGACTTCTTTTTGTCTTTAGTCTTACAGTAGCCTGTCAAAATATGGTTTTCTGAAATTTCTTAAATTAATTCTTTTCTTCTCCATAGCCTTCAGTATGTTTATGTTATTTATTTGTAATGCACTTATTGGGGCTGGGATTGCTGTGATTTGGATACTTGTCCCTCCAAATCTCATGTTGAAATCTGATCTCTAGTGTTGAAGGTGGGGCCTCATGGAAGGTGTTTGGGTCATGGGGGGTGGATCCTCTAAGAATGGCTTGGTGCCATCCTCATGGTAATGAATGAGTTCTCACTCTATTACTTCGTGAGAGACCTGGTTGTTAAAAGAGCCTGGCACCTCCCCCTTCTCTCTTGTTTTCTCCCTCACTTCTGCTCCTGCCATGTGATCTCTGCACACCAGCTTTCCACTATGAGGGGAAGCAGCCGGAGGTCCTCGTCAGATGCAGATGCTGGTGCCATGCTTGTTCTACAGCCTGCAGAACTGTGAGCCAAATAAACCTCTTTTATTTTCTCTTTTCTTTTTTCTTTTCTTCTTGAGACAGGGTCTCATTCTATTGTGCTTGAAGTGCAGTGGCACAATCACTGCAGCCTCAACCTTTCCAGGCTCAAGGAATCCTCCTAACTACAGCCTCCCAAGTAGCTGGGACTACAGGCTTATACCACCACACCTGGCTAATTTTTGTATTTTTTGTAGAGACAGGATTTTGCCATGTTGCCCGCAGGCTGTTCTTTTCTTTAAATTACCCAGCCTCAAGTATTTCTTTATTGCATCATAAATGGACTAAGATGGGATATTTGAACCATTACCATGGTTCTAAGAATCAAAGCCATACAGAAATGTATATGAAAGGAAGTATCACTCTCTCCTCATGCTTACTATCCTGTTCTCCTTTGCTCATCTTTCTACCTTACCTAGATCTTTCCTGTAAGTAGCTGATGTACCTGTCTTGTATTTCTTTTCTTTTCTTTTTTTTCTTTCTTTCTTTTTTTTTAGATGGAGTCTCACTCTGTTGCCCAGGCTGGAGTGCAGTGGCATGATCTCGGCTCACTGCAACCTCTGCCTCCTGGGTTCAAGCGATTCTCCTGCCTCAGCCTCCTGAGTAGCTGGGACTACAGATGCCCTCCACCATGCCCAGCTAATTTTTGTATTTTTAGTAGATGCGGGGTTTCACTGCATTGGTTAGGCTGGTCTCGAACTCCTGACTTTGTGATCCACCTGCCTCGGCCTCCCAAAGTGCTGGGATTACAGGTGTGAGCCACCACACCCAGCCGTATGTTTTTTTTTTTTAACATAAATAAGCACATACAACTGTTTATTTTGTATCCCCTTCTTTATTACTTGAAGAATAACATAGTGTAGATAATCTTTCACATTTTGCTTTTTATAAGCTTAATGTTATGTCTTGGAAATCACTCCTAATCAGTTCACAGAAATCTTCCCAATTCTTTTTTATAACTATATAGTACCCCATTTTGTGAATGTGCCATCGTTTATTCAACCTTCCTTCTACATAGAGGCATTTAGGTTGTCTCCAGTCTTTTGTGATTACAAACAACACTACGGTGAATATTTTTGTATTGTTAGAGGTGTACCTTCAGGGTATATTTCTAGAAGTCAGATCACAGAGTCAAAGGTAAGTGCATGTTTTATTCTTCATTGCCAGATTTCCCTCTGCAAGAGTTGTGCTGGGTTATACTCCCACTGGCATTATGTGAGTGTGGCCATTTTCCTAGTCTGCCTGACAGAATGTCATAATTTTTCATTTTGTCAGTTTTATGAAAATAGTATCTCAGTGCTGTTTTCATTTGCATTTCTTTAATGATAAGTGAATTTGAACTTTTTTTTTTCATGTTTGAAGGCCATTTTTGAATCCTTTTTGGTTAATTGTGCATTCATGTCAGTGTCCTGTTTTTCGATTGCGTCTTTGTTTCACACTGTTCAAGGGTTCTTTATTTATTAGGGATATTAGCTCTTTGTGGTATAGACTGCAATTATTTACTCCTAGTTAGTTGTTTTGTGACTTTTTATAGTGTGTCTTTGTTTATTTTGGTCATGTAATTTTAAGACACTTTATGTAGACAGATTTACTAGTTATGTCTCTGGATTTTCAGTTTTATATAGAAAGGCTAAATAGAAAATCACCCATTACTTCTATGCTATCTTATTTTACATTTAAATCTCTAATACATTTGGGTTTTTTTCTTGCATATAGTGTGAAATATGGAATCTAATTTTATTTTATTTTTCCAAGTGACTACCTGGTTGTCCCAGTACCATTTATTAAACTGGACACTTGTACTCCAGTGATTTGAGATGTCAATTTTATCCTACATTAGCTTTTCATATGTCCTTGGTCCTATTTCTGAACTTCCTATTATATTACATGTCTATTTGTCTGTTAATGGACCAGCATCAAATTGTTTGAGGCTTTATAATATGTTTTAATGTCTGGTAGGGCTAGTTATGTCCCCTTTTTAGTTTTTCTTTTTCAGTGCTTTTTGGGATATTCTTAATATTTCTTTTTTCTTATGAACATTAGTATCAACTTGTCTAACTCAATTATGAAATAGCTTGCTGACATTTTTGATCAAGATTGCATTGAATTCATACATTAATGTGGCAATAGCTGTCATCTATATATTGTTAATTAATTTAATCTGAGAACAGGATGTGTCTTTGTATTTGATCAAGTCTACTTCTGTGTCTTTCAGGAATGTTTTAAAATTGTGTTGTATAATTTTTGCACATTTTTTGTTAAAGGTATTATAAAATATTTAATCTTTGTTGATATTATGCATGTGGTTTTCTTTGACAGTAAGTTCTCTACTGTTTATTTTTTTGTGTATATAGAGGCCATTGGTTTTTATAAGTTAATTTATCCTTAGTTGATATCCCTGTCTAATGTTAAATAGTAGCAGAAATAAAGGGTAAACACAGCAGGCCTATGAATGCCATGCTTAGAAAGGTCTACTTGCCAGGTTAGTCCTTGGCTGGCATCTGGGAACTCAAATTTCAGAAGTATTCCCACCATTATCTAACTAATAAGGACAGTTTACTGTGCCTAGACTGTTTATGCAAACAATTTGATTTATGCTAAACACCTGTTTTCTTTCTGGGAGTCTGGAATTTTGGTATATGTTAGGCAGAGGATGTTTATGTGTCAGACCCCAATAAAAACCTGAGTCTCTAATGGGCTTCTCTGGGCAGGAACATCACACACATGTTGCTACATTTTCATTGCTGGGGCACTCTGTGAGCCCCCACCATGGGAGGAAGAGCGAGAAGGAAGCCTCACATGGATCTGTACTCACGTGGACTCCACATTCGTCTTTTCCCCTTATGATCTGGCTGTGTGTCCTTACTTCATGGCTGTAATGAATGGTAGTCAGGTGTGCAACTGCATGCTGACTCGCAGAATTCCTCTAGAAAATCTCCAAGTGTCAGGATGGTCTTGGAGATTCTGACACACTGACATAGTGGAAATGCCTTTAGTATTTCTCTATTAAATATGATACTGGCTTTAGGATTAGATATATATACCTAATGTAATTTTTTATCACATTAACAAAGTATCCACCAATTCCTACTTTCTTGAGTGTTTTAAGCAAGAATGGGTGTTGAAATTTGACAAAGATTTTTTCCCCCTAGTATTTATGGAGATCATCATATTATTTTTCACTTAGATCTATTAATAGAGTGTATGGTACTAATGAATTTCCTAATATTGAACCAACCTTGAATTCTGGAATGAATTATCTTTTTTATGATTTATTATTTTCTTAATGTGGTGGTCTTTTTGCTAATATTTCATTTTCTATTTGGCATTGATATTTATTAGTAATTCATGATATTCATAAGTAATACTTTTCTGTAGTACTCTTTTTTTTTCTTAATGAGTCTTTACGTGGTTTAGGTATCATTGTCACACTTGCTTCATAAAGGGAGTTAGGAAAATTTACCTTCTTTTCAATAATCTGAAATAATTTATAGATAATTGTGACTATCTGGTTTTTGAGGGCTTGATACAATTCCCCTGTGAGACCATCTTGGCCTGGCTCTTTTTTGGGAGTGGGCTAGTTATTTCTTCAATAACTTTTTATTTCTTTGGAAATAGGTCTGTTTAAGCTTTCTAAATCAGATGGGGTCAATATTGGCAATCTGTATTTCTCTAGGGAACTATCCATTTCACCTAGGGTTTAAAATTTATTTTCACAGAAGTTTCCAAATTAGTCATTTATGATTTAAATTTTACTTCTGTTTCAATGATTATTTCCTTGTTGTTCTTTCTTATTTTGAATATTTGTGCTTTTTCCCCCTTTTCCCCTTAATCAAGTTAGATTGTGGTTTGTCCATCTTGTTAATTTTTTTCAAAACAACAACTGGGAGTTGGTTAATTAATATACTGTTTTTATATTCTCCATGTCATTAATTTCTGCTTTAACTTCATTATCTCCCTCCTTTATTTGGTGGACTTTGTTTTTTTCTAGTTTTTAGAATTGGATATTTAATCTTTTTTTCAGTGTTGTTATTAAATGTGTTTTGTGCAATGATTTTCCTCTGATTACTGCTTTAAATGCATCCCTTAAATTTTGATATGTAGTGTTTTCATCATTTTTTAAAAATTGTAATTTCTGTTTCTATTTCCCACAAGAATTGTTTCAATAGAACATTTTTAACTTTCCTGGCAGAAGGACCTTTCTGTTTTTTGTTTTTCTTAGTAATTTTCTAGCTTGGTTGCACTGGCAGCAAAGAGGTTTTTGTATTTCAAAATATTTCTACTTTACGGAAGTTATTAATTGCTATGTTTTGGATATTTGTCCCCTTCAAACCTTATGTTGAAATTTGATCGCAGTGTTGGAGGTGGGGCCTGATGGGAGGTGTTTGGGTCATGGTGGCGGATCCCTTCTGAATGGCATGGTGCCATCTTTGTGGTAATGAGTTCTCACTCTATTAGTCCTTGTGAGAGCTGGTTGTTAAAAGAGCCTGGCGCCTCCCACTCTCTTGCTTCCTCTTTTGCCATGTGATCTCAGCATGCCCTGGGTCCCCTTTACCTTCCCCAACAAGTGGGAGCAGCCTGAGGCCCTCACCAGAAGCTGAGTGGATGTTGGTGTCTGCCTCTACTTTCAGAGGCTACAGAACCATGAGCCAAATAAACTGTTCTTTGTAAGTTGGCTGGATTGGAATCCTTTGTTACACTTTTTTTTTTCATTGACTTATTTTTAAAAATATTGCTCCATTGTCGTTTTGTTTATATCTTGATTTTGGAAGACCTGATGTCAGTCTGATTGTTTTGCGTGCGGCCTTGATGATTTTTATCTTCTTCCTTGAAATCTTATAGTTTTACTAGAACATGTAACAGAGATTTTAGTTTTAAATATTAGCTTCATTCTACTATTTGTTTTTTTCCCTTAAGGACTCCAATAAACAAATATTATTCCTTCATTGCCCGGGTTCCATTTCCACTACTATCTCTGCCCTTTTAATTTATCTATTTACTTATTCATTTTTATTCTCTTACTTGCTTTGATATCTTTATTTAGTGACCCTTGTTATATTTTCATTTTTGTCTATTGTCTTTTGGGCATCTTTTAATTTATTTCTCATTTCTTTTGTAAAGTGATTTCTCTGAGTACATAATAGTTGTTGCATATTTATGGGGGACATGTGATATTTTGATACAATAATACAATATGTAATGATGAAATCAGGGTAATTAGGATATCCATAACCTCAAACATTTATTGTTACTTGTTTTGGGAACATTCCAAGTCCTTTCTTCCAGTTATTTTAAAATATACAATAAGTTATTGTTAATTATAGTGGCCCTATCATGCTATCAAACACTAGAACTTATTACTTCTAACTAACCCTATTTTTTGTACCCATTAAACAACCCCTTATTTCTGAGAAAACTTGGTTACCTCATCCTTGAGTTCAATCAACTTTTTATTTCTCCCTGTTATTTGCCCATTTCTGTTTTCAAATCTCTGATTTAAGGTGGGTTTGTATTTTTGATGCTTGCTTGAGGCGTGGGCATGGCGAATTCATTTTGAAGTGTGGGCTTGTAGTTTTCTTCTACATGCTTCATGGTTATTTTCAGAGGGGATTTTCCTCAGCTGATACATGTGACATTTCCGCTCCTGATAGCGTTTGCACTAGCTCTGTAGGTGTGACTTCATTTTTCTCTTGTTCATTTAATGCCGTTGGGCTTGTTTGTGTTTTGTAGGATTCCTGGCGCTCTTCTGCGGGCAGAGCACAGTCCTCCGACTCCTGCCTTGCGGAACCCCGCTTTTACCTCCTTTTCTTTTCCACTTGACCACTTGGTTGCCCAAAGGAGCTTTCCCTTCCTCTTTGCTCTTTCCTCCCCAAGGCTGCATGCCCCCAGATGGGCCCTTTCTGTGCTCCTGCTCCTCTCACAGCACCTCCCAGGGCCCAGTTCCCCCTGGCCCGTTCTGGTGGACCTTCTGATCACCTCAGCACCCCCTCTGTCTTCCCTCAGGGCTTTCTGTCCATTTGCTGTAAAGCTTTGTTGCTGGGACAGCAGTGAGAGAGAGAGCAGGCTGGGGGTTTGGTGGTATTTTCACTTTTCTCTTTTCAGTTCAGATATTTTACACTTTTGGGGTTCTCTACCTTCACATTATGTGGAAGGCATGGCTTTGTGTAGATTTTACTTTCTTTTCTTTCTTTTTCTGTCTTTTGGGAGGAAATTTTGGGATAGAAGCAGTTATACCACTGCCATTGTCCTCAGCTGTCCACATTGCCAATTTTTTTTTTTTTTTTTTGAGGTGGAGTCTCATTCTGTTGCCCAGGCTGGAGTGCAGTGGCGCGATCTTGGCTCATTGCAACCTCTGCCTCCTGGGTTCAAGCAATTCTCCTGCCTCAGCCTCCCGAGTAGTTGGGATTACAGGCACCCACCACCACGCCCGGCTAATTTTTGTATTTTTAGTAGAGACGAGGTTTTGCCATGTTGGCCAGTCTGGTCTCGAACTCCTGACCTCAGGTGATCCGCCTGCCTTGGCCTCCCAAAGTGCTGGGATTACAGGCATGAACCACCATGCCCAGCCCCGTGTTGCCGATTTCTAAAAGGGAACCACTGTATGTTAATCAACAAACTGTGCTGTGGTGGCCACAGGCCAGGTCCATGGAGATTTCAGAGGCCTACCCAGGCAAGCTTGAGGAGGTGGGGGGTGCTGGGAATATGAGGAGTTGTTGCCTAGGGTTCCTGGCCTTGTCCTTGTACTTTGCAACTTGGTGTTCCCCAGTTTGTGCTGGAGTATCCCCAGGAGTTGGGGAGGATAGACTGTTGGCAGTAGAAGGAACTTTATACACTTAACCAAGCCCCATGATCAGTGAGGGGCTGAGCTGCTGCTCCATGTGTCAGCTCGTGTCTCCAGCCCAGCCACTGAGCTGGCCCAGGTAGGACTGAGCTCCCTCTTCTTCTCTGGGGCTGCCATTCTCAGCCACCCCCGCACCTCCCTAGTAGAGTTCCCTGAAATTGCCCTGTGTCTGGGCCAAGGATACACCCCGCACTGTAGTGTGCAGTTCTTCCGTCCTCCAAAGCTCATCTGCGCATCTCTTCTGGTTCTCTTAGGCCCCAGCATGGTCGGGAGTCTTTCTCTGTCCCCCAGCGCTCCCAGCCAACAGCACTGCTCACTTCTGCCCCGTCCACCTGAATCTGCTGCAGTGGGCCCTGCTCTGGTCCTCCTGGGGCTGGGTCGGGTGGATTTTGGAGCGAGCGAGGGAGCTGAACAATGCACTGTGGGCTGGCTTCCCTTGTTGCTGCTCCGGCAGGACGGTATCTCCACAAAGGTTCAGAGGCGAAAGGAAATGAGAACGGGAGCTATGACTTGGATTCACAGGGAAGCTGAATAAAGGGAAAGGAGAGAGTTTAAACTTATCTGCAGGCATCATGTTAAATGTAATGTTTTCTTGACAAATAGCCAGCACACTGCACTATTTTTAAAAATCCCCTCATTAAAAGCTAAGACCAATTTCTTACATATGGAAGAGTTTCTATGCTACAGGTTATTCTAATGAGAAAAGAAGAAAAGTGACTTACAATACTATACAATACCATCACATGAAATATTCATGTAAAAATTCTTTTAGAACAAGAAGACACATTCTTATAGGTAAGAAATGCTATGCAGATATTAAAAATTAATTCCTGAGCACAAGAGTGAGCCAGGGTAATGCGAGTGCAGTTTGTCCAGAGTTTAAAAACCAGGACCTGGGGTTCCCAGGCCTTGAAGCCATCACTAAGGACCTAAGCCTCGCTCTCCACTCCCGCTAGGCCGCAGGGACCCGCTCCTGGGGGATGGAGGGCAGGAAGCAGGGGGCGAGGGGAGTTCCAAGCTCCTGGGGGAAGCCCGGGACTTTCCAGGGTTTTCTTCTCAGTAATAGAAAGTGCCTCCGGGGCAACAGAGCAAGACTCCATCTCAACAAAACAACAACAAAAACAAAACAAAAAGAAAGTGCCTCCTAGAGAGTAGGTGGGAGTTGGAAGTTCCTTCAGTCTTCATTTCCATCTCCCAAGCGACACTTTCTGAGGCAGGGTCCCCTGCACAGGCGTCCTGGAGCGGGAGGGGTGGCTGGCGGTGCCAGGAGAGGAGGGCAGCTGTGGGCCCGCGGAAGCACCGCCGTGGCGGGCTTGGGGTTTCGGAGCACAAGATAACAGCTGTGTGAGAAACACACACAGCTGGGTGAGGACAGACCGTCGGGACTTACGCGAAAGCCTGCTTTGAGGGTTCACGGCGCCGGCGACACAAAGGTGGAGTTTACTGCAGCCTGTCTCCAGCCTCACAGCAGCCCAGGGGAGAGGGGGCGCAGGAGCGCTGGGACCCCCGCAGATCTCGGGGCTTCTCTCAGGGTCACAGAGGGCTCCTCTCCTTCCCCTTGGCCTCCTTCCTTGCGGGGTGACTGCCCCTCGTGGCCTCCCTGACCCGGGTGCCCTGTGGGTGCTCCCGAGGGGATCGAGGTCGGGGTGGAGGATGTGAGCTCTGCAGGCCGCCCAGCCAGCGCCCACGTGCTCAGGTGTCAGCTAGGGACGCGCGTGTGCGTCAGCGTGATTTGGAGGAACGCACTGTGCCTGGAACACTCTGACTCTGTCCCTCTGCGCCTGCCCGCCTCCCCAAAGGCCAGGTCGGCTGCACGTAGTGTTTCCGCGTATGGTGCATCTCCCTGTGGCCATCCCGCCCCCAGCCTGCAGAGGAAGAGTTCCCAAAGCCTTTCCTAAATCTCCAAAGTCCCTCTGTTTCCCTGGTGGCACTTCACACTAGCTCTTTGTGTGAGGTGGGACTCGCCAGAGATGGACAGTCACTGCCAGGAGAGGCCCCTGCGTGTCCTGGGAACCTGGGATTCAGTGCGTGCTCAGAGACGTTTTAGGAGTGCAAGATTTACCATAGGCTTGGCGATGTCTTTTGTTTATTTTTAAGTTAACTGAAACAACCCAGGAACTGGATTTCTTCAAATTTACCAATTTATACTTTAATTTGGGAAAAGGAAAAGCACTCAAAAATAAATTTAATTAGTCAATCTATAATTATGATACGAATAAGTTCCACTTAAATATAATATTCCAAGCATAATAATTTGTTGAGTAAATCAAATCGTTGATACATCTTAGTGTTCCCAAAGTTAGGAAATCATCTAAGCTTCATAAAAAGAAAGCATTTCACGTATTTAAATTTTCCCCAGAAGTCCTTCTTTGCTAAAAATAGAAAAAAACAACAACAACAACAACTTTTTTTTCATGACTTCAAAATTTGCAGATATTCTGTGCCTGGAAGGAATCAGTGGGGTTTCTCATGCTTTCCACACCGTAGTTCAGGACTGCAGCCTGGAAACTGCATGATGATGGAATTTCCATCAGAGGGAATATTAGACATTATTTAATCAAATCCTTTCATTTTATGAATACATTTCAGAGGTCAGATGAGTTGAGTGCTCTCCCCCTCCGCCCCCTGCCAGGACCCTTCTGGTCACAGTGGCTCTGGGTGGGCAACCCTGTTCTCTCAGAAACCCCTGGCTCCTTGGGCACAACTCGCTGAAGTCTTGTGTCCCCAGCCTCACATGGCTGCCCTGGATACTCCAGGTGAGCAGGGCCCTATTGGGTTGAACAGTTGTGACCTGCTACGTCTGGGGACTTAGGTCTGGGGACTTACATGTGCATGTATTTCTGTATCATCATTTAAAAATCTGTGCAATGTTACATTGTAAGTGGATAGGCTATCATCAGCTTTTCCCCTTTTGTTGACATTTAGGTTATTGTCTATCTTTTTCCTCTTGAAACAGTCATGTAAGGAACATCTTTGAGCATTGGGTGGTGACTATTTTCCACCCTCCTTGCGAGGTAGGGTCTTTCTCAGGAAAGAAAGAGATTATGTGCTCAAAGGTCAGGTTTGGGGAAAGAATGGGTGTGCTGAACTCCTGAAGAAAAGAGGCCACGACCTCATGGGCCTGAGGGGCAAAGGGGAGATGGGAGCTCTAGTGGCCTGTGATCACCTGTGGCCTGGCCAGAGGAGCCAGGAGATTCAGTGACCTTGTTCCTCCCACCCATCAAGTCCTGCCAGTGTCTCCCATTGGCCAGACTTACCTGGATTCCAGAAGATGGGAGAGCTGCCAGCAGCAGGGCTGGGGAGAAGGCTGGGGAGAAGACCAGGGGCAGGACTAAAGGGCAATGAGGGATAGCCCCAGACAGTCCTCCACTTGTGCCTGTTAGGATTTTAAAAACATCGTTTGTCCAGTCCAAGAGAAAATCACTTGTCCTCAAAACAAGAGCTGTACAATATCCCATCAGCTACTGTGTGATATGGGGTGATGTTGGTTCAGTAACACCTGAAACTTAAAATGTTAGCTATCCCAATGCTCTTCCTATTATGACAATGGAGAATAAGTGGGGGAAGAGAAGCAACAAAATACCATAAAACAGAGCTGCTATAGCCCCGGCTTCCAGAGCTGATTCTGAAGTCTGAATTGTTAGTTAACTCACTTCTTTAATGCCACGTTCCCCTGACCTCTGCCACCACTTCAGATACGTGGTTTTTATCCACTGTTGAGGTGACCCAAACCATCATTCTCATAGGACCTGAGACCTTGGTGTTGTGTCTGTACTCGAGTGCCAAGGTGTGCATGAACTGGGACTACTGGAATGTAAGGAGGCACACCTGTGAATGCCCAGCTCCCGGCCAGTTCTTGCCAGCATGAGGAAGCAGCAACCTAGTTCCCTCTGAGAATTGAAAGCAGTTATCTTGGACAGTAGAGGGACTCTCCTTGTCTGCTTGATGGTCACAAGACATGTGGAGCTTCACATGGCCAGGGAGGATTCTCAGCTTCCAATGAAATGCTGACACCTGTTGTGATACCTTGGTTCTTGTCTTCTTGGTTTAAGAGAATTTAAACAAGAGACACATAGCAAAAGAAGTGCAGCATAGAGTATTGCAAAAGAAAAAGAATACTTTGAAAGTTAGGTGCAGAATAGGCAGTACACCCTGAGAGAGAGAGAAATTCAGGACGGGCCGCTCATAAGGATGAGACAACAAAGACCAGCACTAGGGAGGCTCCCAGTATGGGAGTCTTACATGATTATTTATAAGGAGGTGGGAGAGGTGTTGCTAGTAAGAATGTTCTGGGTGTTCCTCTGGGTGCATGTGCGCAGTAGCTGTACATGCTTGTTCATATATCATATGTCTCATTAGCATCTTAAATCTCCACCCAGGGGTATGT
Source organism: Homo sapiens (assembly GCF_000001405.40). NCBI lineage: Eukaryota > Metazoa > Chordata > Mammalia > Primates > Hominidae > Homo > Homo sapiens. The sequence goes on along the minus strand of NT_187660.1, from coordinate 34,508 downwards.
TTTTTGCTATTATAATGAGGGCAGGTAAAGTCAAATTGCACATGCTCTCTAGAGGGGAAAGTCCCTACTGAAGATAGCTTTGCTTGAATAGCTCAATTACAATGCAAATGCTGAGGCTTATTTTGTTGACTGCACGGTCACCATGGTTGCCGCATCCTGAGAACATAGTCACTGCCTTGACTGCCTATCCCACCTCAGGTAATAAAGGTAATGGTACCTTTATTAGTTGTGTTTCCTTGGATATTAGGACCCGCAAATCCACTGAGCTCAAGATAATTAAGACAGGGGGCAAAAATTGCTGAAGTGGGTCACTGGGTATAGTAATAAGGGAGGGAGTGCTCCTATCTCACTCCTTTGTTTCCCACACCAGTGCTTCCCAGTGGGCTGTGACAGAGATAGTGACATTCATTGGTAATTTGTTTAAGCACATACTGCATGCTGTAGGGTGGCACCCCAACTTTGCTGACTTTTGGATTGCAGCAAATAGTACCTCTGAAGCTTTAGCAGGCCACTGTTCTATCAAGTCAGCTGCTTCTGGGTAATGGAGCACATGGTACGACCAGTGAGTTCTGGTGTGATGCACTGCCTTCGCTGTAGAATAACCTCCTTGTCAAAGGAACTGAGTGAGAAACCAAGGACTGGAAAAGGAATTCTGTACATCAGTGAATGATGGGGCTGGTTGAAGCTTTACAAGAAAGAAAAGGAAATCCTTATTTGTAAAATGTTTCTAACATTTCTAACCTAATCATAGGATTTCTAACCTAATCATAAATTTCTAAAATAATCATAAGAGCCCTTGTGATTGGATTGCGCCCACCTCTATTGGTTAGAATAATTTCCCCTTCTCCGGGTCCTCAACTTAATCACATCAGCAAAGTCCCTATTATCATGTGTGTTCATCTCCTATTGCTGCACAAATTAACAGAAATTGAGTGGCTTAACCCGAATTTATTCTTTTACATTTTTGGAGGTCAGAAATCTAAACTCAGTCTATTAGAGAGGGCTGTGCTACTTCTGGAAGCTTCAGAAGAAAATAATATGGTTTTTCTTCTTTAGCCTTTTGATATGGTTAGATTACATTGATTAATTTTCAAATATTGAGCCAACCATGCATACCTGAAATAAATCCCCTGTGGTCATGGTGTATAATTATTTTCACGTATTCATGGATTCAGTTTGCTAACATTTTGTTGGGGATTTTTAACTTTATGAGATATATTGATCTATAGTTTCCTTTATGCTAGCTTTGTCTGATTTTGGCTTCACAAAATGAGTTGGAAAGTGTTCCTTCCTGTTTTATCTTCTGGAAAAGATTATATAGAATTGATGCTAGTTCTTTACATGTTCAGTAGAATTTTTATTTTGTTGTTTAAGATTTGCTAGGATAATTTTATTAAGAGATTAATATGTATTTTTAGCAAGGTAAAAAATACAAATAATAATAACAACCCTTCTGTTCATAAATATCCCTTCAGGTGAAAACACTGGAAGTCACAACAATGTAAAGAATGGGGCCCAAATAAAGCCCAAGTATTTTTTGCACACTTTTATTTATTTTACCTACCATATGATCCATAATTCAACCTTTTATTCAGTTACTGGCTTTATTAGTCTGTTCTCACGCTGCTGATAAAGACATACCTGAGACAGGGAAGAAAGAGATTTAATGGACTTACAGTTCTTTGTGTCTGGGGAGGCCTCACAATCATGGCAAAAGACGAGGAGAAGCAAGTCACATTTTACATGGATAGCAGCAGGCAAAGAGAGAGCTTGTGCAGGAAAACTCCTGTTTTTACAACCATCAGATATTCTGAAATTCATTCACTATCACGAGAACAGTGCAGGAGAGTCCCATCCCCATAATTTAATCACCTCCCACTGTGTTCCTCCCATGACTTGTGGGAATTGTGGGAGTTACAATTCAAGATGAGATTTGGGTGGGGACACAGCCAAACCATATCATTTCACCCTGGCCCCTCCCAAATCTAATGTCTTTACATTGCAAAACCAATCATGCCTTCAACAGTTCCCCAAAGTCTTAACTAATTTCAGCATTAACTCGAAAGTACACAGTCCAATGTCTCATCTGAGACAAGGCAAGTCCCTTCCGCCTATGAGCCTGCAAAATCAAAAGCAAGTTAGTTACTTCCTAGATATAATGGGGGTACAAGCATTTGGTAAATACAGCCATTCCAAATGGGAGAAATGGGCCAAAACCAAGGGGCTACAGGCCCCATGCAAGTCCAAAATCCAGCAGGATTTCTTAAAGCTCCAAAATGACCTCCTTTGACACCATGTCCCACATCCGGGTCATGCTGATGCAAGAGGTGGGTTCCCATGGTCTTGGGCAGCTCGGTCCCTGTGGCTCTGCAGGGTACAGCCTCCGTCCCCGCTGCCTTCACGGGCTGGTTGAGTGTTGAGTGTCTGCGGATTTTCCAGGCGCACGGTGCAAGCTGTCAGTGGATCTACCATTCTGGGATCTGGGAGCTTCTCACAGCTCCACTAGGTGGTGCCCCAGTAGGGACTCCTCAGTGTGGCACCTCTGACCCCACATTTTTCTGCTGCACTGTCCTAGCAGAGGTTCTTCATGAAGGCCCCGCCCCTGCAGCAAACTTCTCCTGGACATCCAGGTGTTCCCATACATTCTTTGAAATCTAGGTGGAGGGTTCCAAACCTCAATTCTTGACTTCCATGCACCTGCAGGCTCAACAGCACGTGAAAGCTGCCAAGGCTTGGGGCTTCCACTGTCTGAAGCAACAGCCCGAGCTCTGCCTTGGCTCCTTTTAGCCATGGCTGGACTGGTTGGAATGCAGGGCACCAAGTCCCTGGGCTGCACAGAGCAGGGAGGTGCTGGGCCCGACCCAGGAAACTATATAACCATGACTGGACTGGCTGGAATGCAGGGCACCAAGTCCCTGGGCTACACAGGGCAGGGAGGCACTGGGCCCGACCCAGGAAACTATATTTTTCTTTTAGGCCTCTGGGCCTGTGATGGGATGGGCTGCCAAGAAGATTTCTTTTTTTTTTTTTTTGAGACGGAGTCTTGCTCTGTCGCCCAGGCTAGGGTGTAGTGGCACCGTCTCGTCTCACTGCAAGCTCCCCCTCCCAGGTTCACTGCATTCTCCTGTCTCAGCCTCCCGAGTAGCTAGGACTACAGGCACCCACCACCACACCCGGCTAATTTTTTGTATTTTTAGTAGAGACAGGGTTTCACTGTGTTAGCCAGGATGATCTGGATCTCCTGACCTCGTAATCCGCCCACCTCGGCCCCCCAGAGTGCTGGGATTATAGGCGTGAGCCACTGCGCCTGGCCTGCCAAGAAGATTTCTGACATGCCCTGGAGACATTTTCCCCATTGTCTTGGGAATTAACATTCGGCTTCTCATTACTTATGCAAATTTCTGCAGCTGGCTTAAATTTCTCCTCAAAAAATGAGATTTTCTATTCTATTGCATTGTCAGGCTGCAAATTTTCCAAACTTTTATGCTCTGTTTTCTTTTTAAAGCTGAATACCTTTAACAGAACCCAAGTCACCTCTTGAATGCTTTGCTGCTTATAAAGTTCATTTTTTTTTTTTTTTTTTGCTGTCAATAAGTTTATGATCTTCATCTGAAAAATCCTCATGGAAAATTGTTTGGTTTAGCTCTCAGAAGCCCACTTCTGAGCTCTGAGGAAGCTTGCATTCTTTTGAGCTACTCAATCTTTCTTTTGAGCAAGGGACATTTTGGGACAGTTCCACTTCTTTTTAACTTTTTTCTTGGGCTTCTTCTCCTAGATGGGATTCTCTCATATAGCAGCATGAGCTTTCTTTTACATCTCCTCCATCATGTCTGGAGTTACACTGTTCTTCCTGTATTGAACGAACTGTTTCTGGTAAGCATCTTCATCTTCCTCCATTAAGTAGCACATGTAATCTGCAACATTCTGGCCCATGATGTGCTTCCGGTGTACTTCTGCATTAAATTCCTTGCTTTCAGAACCATAACCAGGGAATCATTTGGTACTGTGAGGGATAGACAAGCCTCTATCTACAGCTCTCTTCAGGGCACCAAAAACTTCATTGCCACTGGTAGTTCTGGCAAGGCCTGCATCCATATAGCAGGTAAAGGCACTTGGCTGACCATCAATGCTTTCCACATTGTATTCCTTGCCAGTCACCTCCACTTGGCCTTCATAGATCTTTTCCATGCCAAACCTATTGAGAAGCCTGCAGGCCAGTACAATACACCGCAGCGTAATTGGTCAGGCCAACCTTCAAACCATATTTTCGTAGTTCACATGCATATGCTGTGCGTACTATCATATCCCCTTCTGTACGGGCATAAGCAACCTGATAAATAATATCTCTGTGTGTTACACAAACTATCATCCTGTATTTGGGTGTGTTGTATTTATTTTTGTCCTGTATCACCAAGCATTTCCAAGCATAATACTCAGTTTCACCCTCTTGCCGTCTTCTAAATTTCGCTTGATATCTCTTAAAGTAGGCTTTATTCTTAACAACTTTACAAACCCCATCCTGCGGAACAGAGATCCCCATCCATGGATCAACAGAGACCTGCCCTGCTTAGAAATTTCTTCCTCCAGATACCCTAAGTCATCTCTCTCAAGTTCAAAGTTCCACAAATCTCTAGGGAAGGGGCAAAATGCCACCAGTCTCTTTGCTAAAACATAAGAAGAGTCACCTTTGCTCCAGTTCCCAGCAAGTTCCTCAGGTCCGTCTGGGACCACCTCAGCCTGGACTTTATTGTCCATATCGCTATCAGCATTTTGGTCAAAGCCATTCAACAAGTCTGTAGGAAGTCCCACACTTCCCCACATTCTTCTGTATTCTGAGCCCTCCAAACTGTTCCAACCTCTGCCTGTCACCCGGTTCCAAAGTTGCTTCCACATTTTCGGCTATCTTTTCAGCAATGCCCCATTCTGCTGGTACCAATTTACTGTATTAGTCTGTTCTCACACTGCTAATAAAGACACACCAGAGACTAGGTTCTGGGCCCAGTGATATGTCACAATCACCCTTTGTGGCAGGTTTCAGTCAAAAAAGGAGAGTCACAACAGCTGGGTGATGGATACACAGACAGGTCCTTATGCTTCCTATAGGCAGGACCCAGGAAGGAGAGTTACATTGCCTACAGAAGACCCAGGAATTTATTCCTTTCTCTAAGTCTAGCTACAAATGCCAGCATCTCTTCTGTTGGCTGGTTTGTGGTATGAGTGTCATCATCACAACTCTGAGCTGGGCTAAAGTATATGTCACAATCCAACCTTAAATATGCAAGGTCCAGGCAAAAGGTGAGAGTTACATCATCTAGGTGCTGAGTGCAGTGATGCATCACAATCCTTTTGTGGTAGGGTGCAGGCTGAAGAAGAGTCACATGACTTTTGGGTTGGGACCAGGCAGAAAAGTCAAGTCATTCAGGTTCCAGACAGAGGTGTACGTCACAATCACACATCATTTGGATGAAAGGCCCAGCCATATGTCACAATGCCACCTGTGGGCAGCACCAAGGCTGGAAAAGAGAGTCACATCTTCAAGGTGCAGAGTCAATATGTCACAATCTCATCTGTGGGCTGGGCTGAAGCAGGAGAGTCAAATCACTAAGATGCTTAGCAGATATATACAATCACACCTGGCTGTATGGCTACTGTCTCCTCACTCTTTTCTTTCCTTCGAAAAGGTCACCAGGTTTAGCTTAGAGACATCAAGACCCAGAGATCAGGTTTCTGTCCTTCTTTTAAAGCACATCTCTATACGAATTCTGCTAAGCAGGTTCCAGTATTTCCACTCGTCCAGAGAGAATTCTATGGCCACATTCCTGAATGTAAACAGTTTCATTTCCCAGCTTTCAGGATGTCCTGGCATCTTAGCTATGCGTCTCCCAGTACCTGCAGATCACAGGGCAACAGAGGCTGTGACAAAGTCACTGGGGGCTCCAGAGGTGGTGGACATGGAACAGTAGAGATAAATCCCAAGCTCTGGTGGGAGTGGGAGACAAAGGCCTGGTAGAATTTTCTAGTGAAACAGTATTGGGGAACCTGCCCCCAATATTTCAACGTAGGTTCTTTCTATTATCCATAAGTGTCAGCCAGCTGAGAAATAGAGACAGTACAAAGAGAGGAATTTTACAGGTGGGCTGCTGGGGGTGACATCACATATTGGTAGGACTGTGATGCCTGCCTGAGTCTCAGACCAGCAAGCTTTTATTAAGGGTTTCAAAAGGGGAGGGGGTGTAAGAACAGAGAGTAAGTACAAAGATCACATGCATCAAAGAGCAAAAAGCAGAACCACTAATAAGGGTCTAACAAAGATCACATGCTTCTGAGGGAACAGAACAAAGGGCAAAAGCAGAACCACTGATAAGGGTCCAACAAAGATCATAAAGCAAAGGGCAAAAGCAGAACCACTGATAAGGGTCTATGTTCAGCGGTGCACGTATTGTCTTGATAAACATCTTAAACAACAGAAAACAGGGTTCGAGAGCAGAGAACTGGTCTGACTACAAATTTACCAGGGTGGAGTTTTTCCCCACCCTAGTAAGTCCGAGGGTTCTGCAAGAGACCAGGGCATATCTCAGTCCTTATCTCAACTGCATAATACAGACATTCCCAGAGTGGCCGTTTATAGACCTCCCCCCAGGAATGCATTCCTTTCCCAGGGTATTAATATTAATATTCCTTGCTAGGAAAAGAATTTAGTGATATATTTCCTACTTGCACGTCCATTTATTGGCTCTCTGCAAGAAGAAAAATATGGCTCTTTTTGCCTGACCCCACAGGCAGTCAGACCTTAAGGTTGTCTTCCCTTGTTCCATAAAAATCGCTGTTATTCTGTACTTTTTCAGGGTGCCCTGATTTCATATTGTTCAAACACACGTGTTTTACAATCAATTTGTACAGTTAACACAATTATCACAGTGGTCCTGAGGTGACGTACATCCTCAGCTTATGAAGATAACAGGATTAAGAGATTAAAGTAAAGACAGGCATAAGAAATTATAAAAGTATTATTCAGGAACTGATAAATGTCCATATTAATATGAAATCTTCACAATTTATGTTCCTCTGCCACGGCTCCAGCCGGTCCCTCCATTTGGGGTCCCTGACTTCCTGCAATAAAACCAGGAGTCTGGAATCTTTTTTTAAAAGGAAACTTTCAAATTAATAATTCAACGTCTTTCATGGCTAAAGGGCTATTCAGATTATAGATTTTATCTGTGTTTTCATACTTTGTGTTTTTTGAGGAATTGGTTTGTTTCTTTTTAGTTGCCAAATTTGTGAGCGTAAAGTTGTTGATAATATTCCTTTATTATCATTTTAATGTCTGAAATATATGTAGTAAAATTTCCTATTTCATTCCTGATATTGGTGATTTGTGTCTCTCTCCTTTAATTTTTGGTCAGTCTTTTTAGAAGTTTGTCAATTTAACTGATTTTACCCAAAGAAACAGCCTTTTCTCCTTTGATTTTCATTAGTATTGTCCTATATTAACTCAATAGATTTCTTCTGTGATCTTTATTGTTTCTTTCCTTAAGCTTTCTTTTGATGCATTTTACTCTTTTTTGGCAAGTGTTTTTGAGGTAGGAACTTAGATTGTTGATATGAGATTTCCTTTCTTTTCCAATGTTAACATTTAGTGTTATAAAGTTTTGTCACAGTTATATTTCGGTTGCACCCTATATGTTTCTATGTGTTGCATTTTCATTAAAATTCAGTTCTATATATTTTAAAATTTACTTTGAGACCTCTTCATTGACCCATAGACTATTTAGAAGTATGTTGGTTAATTTCCATGCATTTAGAGATTTTTCTATTGTCTTTCTGTTAGTTTCTAACTTTATTCCATTATAGTTGAAGAACATACTCTGTATGAGTTTATTTTTTTACATTTGCGGAATTTTTTTTGTGACCCAGAATATGATACATCTTGGTAAATCTTTCATGGGAACTTGAAAAAAACTGTATTCTCCTGTTTTGGAGTGAAGTGTTTTATATATGTGTATTAAATCCCTTTGGTTCAGTGTTGTTCAGTTCTTCCATATTTTGAATTATTTTCTGTGTAGCATTTCTATTAGTTTCTGAGGGTGAGTTATTTATGTTCCCAATTATAAACATGAATTTGTTTTTTCTTTCAGCTCTAGCAGTTTTTCACTTCATGTATTTTGCTGCTCTGTTGTTTGGTGCATACATATTTAGGATTGTTGTATCTTCCTGGTGGATTGACCTATTTATCATTATTTAATAATTTTCTGTCCCTCTAGTAATTTTCTTTATTTTGAAGTCTACTTAGCTGGTATTAATATAGTCTCTTGCTTAGATTTTTTTTGTGTGTAACATATCTTTTTCCAGCATATAGTTGGGTTATTTTTTCAATCCTTTCTTCCGGTCTCTGTGTTTTGGTTGATATGTTTAGAAAATTTACATTTAAGGTAATTATTGATATGTTAATGCTTAAATATGCCATTTCAATTAAAGTTGCTCTTTCATATCCATAGCTTTTGCATCCATGGGTTCAACCAACTACAGGTAAAAAAAATTCCCATAAACTTCCAAAAAGCAAAACTTGAATTTTCTGTGCACTGACTACTATGTTGAATCCATGCAAGTGATGAGATGCATAGGCATTGTATTAGGTACTATAAGTAATCTAGGGATCATTTAAAGTATACAGAAGAATGTGCTTAGTTTATATGCAAATACTATGCCCCTTTAAATAAGGGACCTGAACATCTATGGAGTTTGGTATCCACAGAGGTCCTGGAACCAATTCCCCATGGATACTGAAGGATTACTGTATTTATTTTCTCTTTATTTCCTCTGTTTCCAGTACATACCCATGTTTCTTTTGTCTTGATTTTCTGTGTGTTACTTGAACATTTTTTACAGTTCTATTTTGATTCATTTATAGTATTTTTTAGTGTTTCTCTTTGTATAGTTTTGGAGTGGTTGCTCAGAGGACTACAGTATACATACATGACTTATTAGAATTACCACTTTGAGTGAAGTGTGACAATACCACTTCCATTAAGATTCCTTTATCTTTTCTTGAGTATCAGATGGCAACATAACTTTTGTTTAAATCATCAAATCGATCTATACAACTCATAGGGAAAGGAATAATCTATTGTGTGTACACATTTCTGCTTTTTCAGTTCCTTTTGCTTCCTGATGCTCCAAAATTTGTCTTTTTTTTTTTTTGAGATGGAGTCTCACTCTGTCTCCAGGCTGGAGTGCAGTGGTGCAATCTTGGCTCACTGCCACCTCTGCCTCCCAGGTTCAAGTGATTTTCCTGCCTCAGCTTCCAAATAGCTGGGACTACAGGTGCACACCACCATGCTCAGCTAATTTTTGTATTTTTAGTAGAGACAGGGTTTCACCATGTTGGCCAGGATGGTCTTGATCTCTTGACCTCGTGATCCACCTGCCTCGGCCTCCCAAAGTGCTGGGATTACAGGTGTGGGCCACCACACCCAGCCTGTCTTATTTTTTGTAATTTTCTTTATCTTTGAAGAACTTCTTTTAGCCAATCTTTAAGGGTAGGTCTGCTAGTAAAAAATTCTTTTTCTTTATCTGAGAGTGTATTTATTTCCTCTTTATTCCTCAAGGATAGTTTCACTGGATATAGAATGTATGGTTGACAGTGCTTTTCTTCAGTACTTGAAAAATGTTGTACCATTTCCTTCCCTCTCTCCTGGTGTCAGAGAAGAAATTTGCTGCCATTTGAATTTGTGTTTTCCTGTAGGTAACGCATAGTACTTTCTGGCTGCATTCAAGGTTTTTCTTTGTCTTTAGTCTTTGAAAGTTGATGATTTATTTTGATATGGATTTCTTTGGGTTCATCGTGTTATCCTGTTCCTAGGGTTTGTTCATCTTCTTGAATTTGTAGGTTTGTGTCTTTTGCCAAATTGGGAAAATTTCAGCCTTTATTCCTTACTGTACTTTTCTAACCTTGCTCTAATTCTTTTATCCTTCTAGTACTCCAGTGACATGAATATTAGATTTTAAAAATAGTTCTACAGTTCCCTGAGGCTCCATTCCACCTCTGCCCTTTTAAAAAAATATATTTTCTCCTTGCTGTTTAGATTGGGTGAATTCTATTGATTTGCCCTCAAATTCACTGATTCTTTTCTTTATTATCTCTACTATTGAGTGCATATCAAGAAGCTTTAAGAAATTCTGTTATTGGGCTTGCTCTTCCACTGCGTGAGGATGTAGCACTCATCAGACCCCAAATGCTGGTACCTGGATCTTGGACTTCCAGCCTTCAGAACTGTGCTATCTTCTCTCTTCTACCTTGGAGGAAACTGAAGCTCCAGAGATCTGGGTATCTTTCCAAGGCTTTGACTCTGGGAGGTGATGAGTCAGGGTTGGCTCTAAAGCCCAAGCTCTTTTCTTCACACCTTGATGCTGTCCAGCCTGTCCATGGACCAGTTAGAGCCAGTGACCAAACAGGTACATCAAAATGGCATCCCTCCTGGATGGCACATCCTCCCCAGACAGCCTGCCCATTCCCTGGCTCTGACAGGCTAGCAAATCCCTGATAACCTCGGAATGCCTCAAATTATGTCAATGAAGGGCAGTGAGGCTTTGATGTTGAACAAATGCCCCATGACGGATGGGCACTGGCTGATACACTTTCCCACGGTGACTCAGAAGTGTGAAGGAGAAAGGAGGGCTGAGGTGCCAGCTCCAGGCAGGCCAGGTACCCCAGATGTCAGCACCTGCCCGGCTGCCTCTGACATACCCTTAGACATACCTTTTGGCATGTGGAGCCCCAGGGGCCTTTCTTCATGTCCAGACAGGATGACTCATCTTAAGGGGTGTGGCAGGAACTGAGCATGTGTACCACCACCTGAGCTGCAGTTCTTGTTTCTGTAAGAGAAAATGCTCCCACATTATCCTACTACATGTGCTAGACCTCAAAGGTGAGAGAGAGCATGAGTTGAGGGATCTGAAATGAAAGCAGTTGTAGTGAAAAGCCCATGAAATATAGCGCTCAAGGGTAGCTAAGTCTTGCAGGCTGTAATTTATGCTGTTTCCTGCTTTGAGAATGTATCCCAACCTTTTGGTTACTAGAAAGCCTCAATTTGAATAGTAAAATACCTGAATTCTGGGTCCTCTAACTTCTCTTCATGTGTGGCTCAGTCTAACCTGTAGTTTAATACTCAGACATGACGCCTTCTAGGAAGCCTTCCTTGATGTCTCCAATTCTACATTAATTCCTCCACTATGAGCTTCCACAGTAACCTAATCTTACCCTGAGATGTCTATATCAAACTGCTTCCTCACATGAGGGAAGGCACCAGGTCTCGTTTACATTTTTGCTCTGTATCACTACAATACAAGAGAGAATGTGATAAAGGTTGTAACAGACCCGGAAAAACCACTCTGGGAGCTCTAAGAAGGGTAGTTCATGTAAATACACACACATATACATATAGTTCATGTAAATATATATATGTATACACACACACACGGCCTTCTTCAAGGAAGAGATTGCTCTTAGGATGTTTTCAGATTGAAGATGCTGTAAAATTTGTATTGATGATATAAAATTAAAAAAAAGAAATTCTGTTATTGTATATTTTAGATCTATCATTTCCATTTGGTTCTTTTTTCTATATCTTTTGTTTCTTCCCATAGTTTTTCATTTTTCACTTGTTCCAAGAGAAGTTGTTAACTGATTGTTGAGACATTTTTAGGAAGGCTGCTTTAAAATCCTTTTAAGATAATCCAGCATCCGATATATCTCAGTGTTGGCATCAGGTGTTTGTCCTTTCCCATTCAAGTTGTGATTTTCTCAGTTTCTGATATGACAGGTGACTTTTGATTGTATCCTGGATATTTTGTCTATTATTTTAGGAGACTCTGAGTCATAAATAACTGTTTTATTTCAGCAGGCAGTCAACCTGTTTAAGTTTAGCACACAGGTTATAGACTATTTACATAGCCTGTTGTTCAAATGAAGATTTAATTTTCAGAGATCTTGCAGTGCTACTTTGATCTGTTTGGTTTCTCCAGTGCTGCTGGGTGCTGCCTTGGGGGCTGGAAGGGATATCCCCAGGCTGGGCTGCCCAGATGTCTCTTCCTGTGGAGAGGAGTTTCAGGTCTGCAGAAGTGAAGAGGCTTCCATGGCTAAGTGTTTGTTAAGATGGCATCCCCCTTCCTGTGGGGGCCTCAGAACATTTCATGAGCCATGTGCTATTGATGAGCACATGGCTCTTGACCTGGGTGTCTCTTGGCCTGAGATCCCAGGTGTGAGGTGTAGTGGGGTCCCTCCTCAGGTTCTGTCCACTCACCACATATCTCTTTGTAGGGGATGGGGTGCCCCCCATGGTTACCTTTGCTGGCAGAGCTTTTATTAATCTTACTTGACAGGGGGACATGTTCCCCTGGTATTGTTTCATCCAAGGGAGGAACAAGCCCACCTAGCTGTCTTCTCTTGCTATGTTGGGAGTTGGTCTGGAAATGCTGATTTTGAGGGACAAAATGCACCCTGCAGCTGTGCTGTTCCCATTTTCCCGGGCTCCTGTATTAGTCCATTTTCATGCTGCTGATAAAGACATACCCTAGACTGGGCAATTTACAAAAAAAAAAAAAAAAAGAGGTTTAGTGGACTTACAGGTCTCCCAGTAGAATACCATAGCACATGGCTCTTGACCTGGGTGTCTCTTGGCCTGAGATCCCAGGTGTGAGGTGTAGTGGGGTCCCTCCTCAGGTTCTGTCCAGTCACTGGTATCTCTTTGTAGGGGATGGGGTGCCCCCCATGGTTACCTTTGCTGGCAGGGCTTTTATTAATCTTACTTGCCAGGGGGGCATGTTCCCCTGATATATTTTCATCCAAGGGAGGAACAAGCCCACCTAGCTGTCTTCTCTTGCTATATTGGGAGTTGGTCTGGAAATGCTGATTTTGAGGGATGAAATACTCCCTGCAGCTGTGCTGTTCCCATTTTCCTGGGCTCCTGTATTAGTCCATTTTCATGCTGCTAATAAAGACATACCCCAGACTGGGCAATTTACAAAGGAAAGAGGTTTAATGGACTTACAGGTCAACATGGCTGGGGAGGCCTCACGATCATGGCAGAAGGCAAGGAAGAGCAAGTCACATCTTACATGGATGGCGGCAGGCAGAGAGAGAGATCTTGTGCAGGGAAACTCCCGTTTTAAAACCATCAGGTCTCGTGAGACTTATTCACTGTCATGAGAACAGCTGGGAAAGAGCAGCCCCCCATGATTCAATTATCTCCCACCAGGTCCCTCCCACAACACATGAGAATTATGGGAGCTACCAGATGAGATTTGGGTGGGGACACAGAGGCAAACCATATCAGATCCCAAACAGTTTCCTCTCCTCTTACCACCTTTCCGAATTCTCCTTTAGTTGCCTCTTGCTTTATTCCCAGGGTTTATAGGTGTGCTTGGCAGGAGTAAGCAGGGAGTTTGGGGTCTATATCATTTTGTCTGGACTGGAAGTTCCTTGGAATTGCCCATTTGTTTATTTTTAATCTCTGTCATTTTGTTTTTAATTTGTTTCTAGTAGAGAACATATAATTGGACCTAACTTTAAAATATTTGCTGTTATGCCTTATATTCGCTATATTGTATTTCCTTGATACTTCCTCTTCCCATGTGCTGATGTTGTATATTGTTAAAGTTTCTTTGCATCTTGTTTTTCAGTGTTTTGAAGTTATAAATAATAGTTGCATTCTCTTAATTTTTGGCTTAAAAATATACTAAATCATATTTAAACCTGCCATTATAAATAGTAGGAATAAAACAAGAGTTGCCATGCATTTTAGGGTTCTGCTAGAGATTAAGGAACTTTATTGGCTTCTCAGCGGCCGTTTGGTTTGAGAACCTTGAATGAGACACTGCTTCCTCTTTTTCCTTGTGATGTTGAAAAGTTAGACCTGAAGGGCTGCTTGGATCTTTTGGTGCTTTTGATAGCAGCATGTTGTCCTTCTTTCACTTGGAATAAAATCCAGAGCCTCAACCATGACTTACAAAGCCACAAATGACCTGGCTGCAGCTGCCATTTACATATAATTTCCTGCCTCAGGGGGCTGGACCCCAGACACGGTGGCCTTCTTGCTAGGTGAATGTGCATTTGTACTTGTCACCTCTACGTGGGATGCTCTTCCCAAGCATGCTGGTGGTGGTTCACCTCTCTAGAGTCTCCTCAAATATCCATCCTCAGGGCAGCCTTCCCTGGCCCTGCGGAAGGAGTTCTTCCATCATTGCTGACTACTTTCCTGTGTTCCTTTTCTTCCAACAGATTATTACCTATGACACATTGTAATAATGCTCTAATATATATCTGTGGCAAATATATGAATATATAAACTTTTTCTCTGTCTCCCTTCACCAGAATATAAGCTCCAGGAGATCAGCAAATGTGTGTCTATCTTGGTCACTGTGGCATCCTGGGTGGTCCTGACAGTGCTGCCACATAGTAAGCACATCAAACAAATAAAGGAGTGAATGGAGACTAAGCAATATGGGATGCTGGCTCATGAGGACTGCACGTTTTTGAAATACGTGTACTTATATTTAGAAATCAAACCATATATCAAGTGGTGTAATAGTCATTCATCATAATTTTCACAGGTTCTGTGAGGAGAGTGGTTCTCACATGGATTCACCTAAGAAGGCTTCTTGTGAGGATATTTAATCAGATTTCTTAAGCTGAGAAGAAAGAGAAAAAGATAACTTTGTTATTTCTCAGCAGTGTTAGGAAGCTTTGGGGATTTCTTGGTTCCTAAGTGATGAATTCTCCATGCAGGCCTGTTCATGCCTGTGTGTTCATTTCCTCCTTTGGGTGTGAAGGGGGTTTGGAAAGCCTTCCCATGGGTCTGGATTTATTTGTGTCTCTGCCAGTGGGACATCTTTAGCCATGCCAAGACTCTGTCATTGAAAGTAAGAATAGTGCTGATAATAGGCAGGATAAAGGCTCTAATTTATAGGTTGCATATAATAATTTCATGTTAATAGTTGATAACTCTTGCCAAATCCTAAATCAGGCTTCCCTGCTGCCTTCCAAGTTCTTCCTGGCTAACTGTCATTTCTGGTGTATGTTATTTTTCAATATTAGTTACCTTTCCTCATAAACTATAGGGCTTATAACATAAGTCATGTAGCTTTTATATTCTTAACTGTCTTGAGAAATGTTAAGATCTGAGAAATGACATAATGTAAAAGAGTGAAAGAAAGTTCATTCACTGTAAAGCTTCATCATAGGAATGCTGGTGAAGGGCACGGTTGTCCTCATGTGCTCTACCCCACAGAGGCAGAGTGGCCACCGATCTGTGCAGTCTCTAAGTTCACCGACACAATAACTCATTCTTCTTGCCTTTGGGGAAATAAACAGCAGAAAGAGAAAATACTCCCTTAGCAGTAAAACTAAACAAATGAGAACACAGAAATGAAACTAAACAAAAAAATACGTATCACTATCAAAATCCCCCCAAAATAAATTTTATTTTCTTCCCTTTATTTAGTGCTTTTCAATAATGATTCAAGTCACTTCTAATATCTCTTTTTCATGGAATACAAAAATAGGATTAGTTTTTAAATTACAGATGATTTTAAATGGATCTCTGATTCCAATGTGAATGAACAACATAACAAGAAGTTTATTTTTAGAACGAGAGTGGTCACCTAGCTTTTCTGCCAGGCATATAAACATGAGGGTCATTTAACTTACTTTATCTTGTATCTGAGTCTTTAAGGAAGTGCTGCCTTGCAAACAGAATCATTAGTAAGTTTACTGGGAAGATGCATGCATAATTTTGGAGGAAAATTGACATACAGGCATTTTCATTTTTATTTTTACTTATTTATTTATTTTGAAACAGGGT
Source organism: Homo sapiens (assembly GCF_000001405.40). Classification (NCBI taxonomy): domain Eukaryota; kingdom Metazoa; phylum Chordata; class Mammalia; order Primates; family Hominidae; genus Homo; species Homo sapiens. The sequence continues at coordinate 18,651 of NT_187660.1, read as the reverse complement.
CTCACCCTGTCACTGAGGCTGGAGTGCAGTGGTGCGATTTCGGTTCACTGCAACCTCTACTCCCCGGGCCCAAGTAGTCATCCCACCTCAGCCTCTGGAGCTGGGACTACAGGCTTGCGCCACCATGTCTGGTTAATTTTATTTTTTGTAGAGACAGGTTTCGCCACATTGACCAGGCTGGTCTTGAACTCCTGAGCTCAAGTGATCTGCCCACCTTGGCTTCCCAAAGTGCTGGGATTACAAGTGTGAGTCACCACGCCTGGCACATTTTTATTTTTAAATGTTTGCAGTAACGATGATTTATAATGAGTTTTTACTAATTTTGATAGTCTTTCTAACCTTGCTCTGACATTCTCCAAAGATAATAAGTCAAGTTCATTTAAAATAATTCAATTATAATATATTTGAAATGCTTGTGAAAATTGCTAAATATGTCAGCTGTTAAACATGTAAGAACTTTCAATATATTTTAGAGGTTCAAAAAAATCAGATTTTTCTTTTTGCTCAGGTCAGATTTTGATGAAGATGATTTTAAAATGAGACAGGACATCATGAGCAGAAGCATCAGCACAGAAACGCAGGCTGCAGGGCATCCAATAAAAGGAAGCCCAGAGATCCCAGGGACTGTCTACCTGACTTCTGAGATATATCAGCCTGCTTGTACCTCTGCCATGGTACACCTGATGGTCATGGAGACTGTTCAGGTTCTCAAATGCCGGCTGAAGGCAGGCAGCCCTGCGCCCTTTCCTCCTTATCCAGAGTTGTGTGATGCTCGTTGATCTCCCTCGCCCTGATGAGGGATCCGCAGGGGGCGTGAGGTCCCAGGACTCTAGGTGGTCAGTTGGGGAGGATTGGACACAGGAACAGTAGCCGACTTAATTTATTTTAAAATTTTAGATATTGGCAAGAAAAGAGTGTTTTAACCGGGTGTCATAATGAGAGAGAATGTTGAATTCCAATCTGCTAAGGGCGTGTAAACCTACTAAAGCTCACGCCTCCCTCTGATTACAATGAAAACTGGACAAAAATCAACTACATATGGACTCTGAAAAATATAAACAGGTAGATTGTGGAGAATGTTAAAACCTGGAGAAGGGACCCTCTCGGGGTGGTTTTCCTGTTTTCTTCTCTCCTGGATTTCTCCCTAGAGCCAGTCTTCATCATGTAGTGGCATGGTGGCATAGGTAGCTAGTAATCCTGTAGCAACCCCATCTTTTGGCCCAGAGGAGTCAGAGAGAGCAGCACCTGCAGGCCAGGGAGTGTGGGGGAAAACCAGAAGAGAGAGCCAAAGAAGCCCCCCAGTTCTGTTCATGAACTTGCACTAGCCTCAGCCTAATTTCAGAACAACACCATCTGGGGACAGACTCAAACCAGCCCAGCAAAGGCCCAGAGGACTGACTGATGACTGGCTGAGGTTAGAACCATCCATACAGGTATCTGACTAACTCTTGAATGGTGTATGTGCTAGACAGGCATGAAGCAAGATGGCAAGGCTTAGAGAACCGAACTGAGATTTGAACCATCTGCACAAGCATGTGGCTGGCTACTGGATGATACACGTGTGATACAGGCCAATATGATCACAGGAAATTTGAATTTGAACCACTTCCCTTAGAAAGTGTGACAGAAATTGTGGTCAGAAGCCAATTAGTTTATAAGTAAAAAAAAATAATAATCTCCAGAAGATTAAAACAGAATCCAGAGTTTACATATTTTAACATTGACAGTATCCAGGAGACAGTACCAAAGGACTCGATGTACAAAGAATAAGAAAAAAATGTAATAAATTTCCAAGGGAAAATGACAGTCAACAGATAGCAAACCTAAGAGGACCCAGATATTGAAATGACCAAAGAATTTAAAGTAGCTTTTATAACTATGATCAATGAGGTAAAGAAAATGCACTTGAAATGAATGAAAGGTTGGGAGTTCTCAGGGGAGAATAGGAATTTACCAGAAAATCTAATACAAAGGTTAGAAATGAAACTACAACACCTTAAATAAAAAAGAGTTGCTTGATGGGTTCAGTAGTGGAGTGACTATGACAGAGCAAAGAGTTAGTGAACTGAAATAGATCAGTGTAAATTATCCAATCTAAAGAACTTAGAGAAAATTTTTTTACATTGCCAGAGCTCATGCAGCTGTGGAACACGACCAAAAATTGGAGTTTCACTGAAGAATAAGAAACTCACTCAAAACCACACAACTACATGGAAATTGAACAACCTTCTCCTGAATGACTCCTGGGTAAATAATGAAATCAAGGCAGAAATCAAGAAGTTCTTTGAAACCAAAGAGAACAAAGAAAACCTCTGGGATGCAGCTAAAGCAGTGGTAAGAGGGGAATTTACAGCACCAAATGCCCACATCAGAAAGCTAGAAAGATGTCATATCGACACCCTAAGATCACAACTAAAATAACTAGAGAACCAAGAGCAAACAAACCCTAAAGCTAGCAGAAGACAATAAATAACCAAGATCAGAGTGAAGCCGAAGGAGCTAGAGACATGAAAAGCCCTTCAAATAATCAATGAATCTAGGAGTTGGTATTTTGAAAGAATCAATAGGACAGGTAGACTGCTAACTAGACTAGTAAAGAAGAAAAGAGAGAAGAATCAAATAGACACAATAAAAAAATGATAAAGAGGATATCACCACTGACCCCACAGAAATACAAACAACCATCAGAGAATACTATAAACATCTCTATGCAAATAAACTAGAAAATCTAGAAGAAATGGATAAATTCCTGGACACATACACCCTCCCAGGACTGAACCTGGAAGAAGTTGAATCCCTGAATAGACCAATAGCAAGTTCTGAAATTGAGGCAGTAATGAATATTTAACAGCCTACCCATAATAAAAAGCCCAGGATAAGAGGATTTATAGCTGAATTCTACCAGAGGTACAAAGAGGAGCTGGTACCATTTCTTCTGAAACAATTCCAAACAATTGAAAAGGAGGGACTTCTCCCTAACTAATTTTATGAGGCCAGCATCATCCTGATACCAAAACCTGGCAGAGTTACAACAACAAAAAAAGAAAACTTCAGGCCAATATCCCTGATGAAAACTGATGCAAAAATCCTCAATAAAATACAGGCAAATTGAATCCAGCAGCACATCAAAAAGCTTATCCACCACGATCAAGTCGGCTTCGTCCTTCAGGTGAAAGGCTGGTTCAACCTACTCAAATCAATAAATGTAATCCATCACATAAATAGAACTAAAGATAAAAACCACATGATTATCTCAATAGACACAAAAAAGGCCTTTGATAAAATTCAACGTCCTTTCATGTTAAAAACTCTCAATAAACTAGGTATTGATGGAACTGTACCTCAAAATAATAAGAATCATTTATGACAAACCCACAGCCAGTATCATACTAGACAAGGGGCAAAAGCTGGAAGCATTCCCATTGAAAACTGACATAAGACAAGGATGCACTCTCTCACCACTCCTATTCAACATAGTATTGGAAGTTCTGGCCAGGGCAATCAGGCAAGAGAAAGAAAGGTGTATTCAAATAGGAAGAGAGGAAGTCAAACTGTCTCTGTTTGCAGATGACATGATCCTATGTCTAGAAAACCCCATCCTCTCAGTCCAAAAGCTCCTTTAGCTGATAAACAACTTCAGCAAAGTCTCAGGATACAAAAACAATGTGCAAGAATCACAGGCATTCCTATACACCAACAATACACAAGCAGAGAGTGAAATCATAAGTGAACTCCCATTCACAATTGCTACAAAGAGAATAAAAAACCTAGGAATACAGCTAACAAGGGAAGTGAAGGACTTCTTTAAGGAGAACTACAAATTCACTGCTCAAGGAAAACAAAGAGGACACAAAGAAATGGAAAAACATACCATGTTCATGGATAGGAAGAAGAATCAATATTGTGAAAATGGCCATACTGTCCAAAGTAATTTATAGATTCAATGCTATTCCCATTAAACTACCATTGACATTCTTCACAGAATTGGAAAAAAAACTACTTTAAAATTAAAATGGAATCAAAAACGAGTGCATATAGCCAAGATAATCCTAAGCAAAAAGAACAAAGCTGGCAGCATCATGCCGCCCAATTTCAAACTATACCACCAGGCTACAGTAACCAAAACAGCATGGTACTGGCACAAAAACAGACACATAGACCAATGGAACAGAATAGAGATCTCAGAAATAAGACCGCACATCTACAACCATCTGATCTTCAGCAAACCTGACAAAAACAAGCAATGGGGATAGGATTCCCTATTTAATAAATGGTGCTGGGAAAACTGGCCAGCCACATGCAGAAAATTGAAACTGAACCCTTTCCTTACACCTTATACAAAAATTAACTCAAGATGGATTAAAGACTTAAATATAAAACCCAAAATTTTACAAATCCTAGAAGAAAATCTAGGCAATACCATTCAGGACATAGGCACAAACATAGATTTCATGACAAAAATGTAAAAAGCAATTGCAACAAAAGCAAAAATTGACGAATGGGATCTAATTAAACTAAAGAACTTCTGCACAGCAAAAGAAACTAACATCAGAATGAGCAGACAACCTACAGAATGGGAGAAAATTTTTGCACTCTATCTATCTGACAAAGGTCTAATATCCAGAATCTACAAGGAACTTAAACAAATTTACAATAAAAAAACCAACAACCACATTAAAAATTGGGCAAAGGACATGAACAGACACTTCTCAAAAGAAGACATTTATGCAACCAACAAACTTAAGAAAAAAATCTCAACATCACTAATCGTTAAAGAAATGCAAAGCAAAACCACAATGAGATCACACATCAGTCAGAATGGCAATTATTTAAAAGTCAAGAAACAACAGATGCTGGTGAGGCTATGGAGAAATAGGAATGCTTTTACACTGTTGGTGTAAATCTAAATTAGTTCAACGATTGTGGAAGACAGTGTGGTGATTCCTCAGAGACCTAGGGCCCAAAATACCATTTGACCCAGCAATTCCATTGCTGGGTATATACCCAAAGGAATATAAATCATTCTGCTATAAAGATACATGCACTTATATGTTCACTGCAGCACTATTCACAATAGCAAAGACATGGAATCATCCCAAATGCCCTACAATGATAGCCTGGATAAAGAAAATGTGGTACATATACAACATGCAATACTCTGCAGCCATAAAAAGGAACAAGGTCATGTCCTTTTAAGGGACATGATGGAGCTGGAAGCTGTTATCCTCGGCAAGTTAGCACAGGAACAGAAAACCAAGCTCTGCATGTTCTCATTTATAAGTGGGAGCCGAACGAAGAGAACAATGGATAGAGGGAGGGGAACAACCCACACTGGATCCTGTCAAGGGGGAAAAGGGGGAGGGAGAACATCAGATAAATAGCTAATGCATGTGGGGCTTAATACCTACGTGATGAGTTGATAGGTGCAGCAAACTACCATGGCACACATTTACCTATGTAATAAACCTATACTTCCTGCACATGTGTCCCGGGACTTAAAATAAAATTTAAAAAAGAATAAATATTTTGAAATATTAAAAACAATTATAGTTTCAGAGGAGCAAGAGATTAAGAGAAAAAGATATTTGAAGAGGTAATGACAGAATTGTCAATCTTTGCAAAGACACATTTACAATTTCACAAAATTCAGTGAAAACACAGGATGAAATAAAGGAAAACATGCCTAGACACATCATAATCATAGTGCTGAAAACTAAAAATAAGGAAAATGTCTCAAAAACAGTGAGAGAAGAGTGATACATTACATGCAAGGGACTATGATTTGAATGACTGCAAATTTCTGATCAGAAATCCTGGAGGCAAGTAGATAGTGGAGCACCTTCTTTAAGTGCTGAAAGAAAAGAACTTTTAAGCCAGAATTCTCTATCCAGCAAAATAATCCTTCAGGAATAAAAGCAAAAAAGAGAGACATTCTCAGATGGAGGAAATGACTGGAATTCATTTCCAGCAGACCTGCTCTATAAGACATGTTAATGGAATTTCTGCAGGATGAAGCAAAATGATACTACAGAGAAATTAGATCTTTAGGGATGAAGAACAGCAGAAATGGTAAATAGTAGGTAAGTGTAAAAGATAACGTTTTTCCCTCTTACGTTCTTCAAAATAGGTTTGATGGTTGAAAGTATAAATTATAATATTGTCTGGTGGGAGTTTTAATGTATATAGATGTAATATGTATGACAACTATACCATAAGAGGAAAGGGGAGAGGTAAAGTGACCTATATCATTTCAAGGCTTGTATATTTCACTTGATGCAATAAAACTTTGTAGAGAAGTTATGTATGTATATTTTAATTCACGGAGTAAGTACTAAAATATAATTAAAAATTAATTAAAATATTAATATTTAATACTTAATAATAATATTATTAAAAGCCAACTGATGAAAATACAATATTCAAGTAACCCAAAGGAAAGCAAAAAATGGGCACAGAAATGAATAAAAAAAGAGACAAACAGAAAATAAATAATTTTGTTGACCTGAATGCAGCTATATCAATAATTGTGTTAACTGCAAACATTCCCATTAACAGGAAAATATTGAGAAAGCAGATAAGGAAGTAAGGCTCTAATATATGCTGCTCTTAAGAGACATACTTTTACCCTTGATCTTAGCTGAAAGGCTGAGCAATGATATGGGACATGCTTTTAAATTAAGCATAGAGATATGTTGAAAGTAAATGAATGGAAAAATACATAGCATGCAGGTAATAAGCATAAAAGGCCAAAGTGGCATAGAATAAACTTCAGTGCACATAATGTAATTGGAAATAATGAGGGACATTTAATAATAATAAATGGGACAGATTATAAGGAAGATATAACAATTATAAATGTCCCTGGTAAATACTCAAGATGCAATTGATTCACTAAAGTAAAACAAAATAGACAATTCCACAATCATAGAAGAAGATTTTATCACTCTTCAGAAATTGATAGAACACCTAGACAAAAAAAAATCAGGAAAGCCATAGAAGCTATGAATAACATTATCAACCACGTTGATTCAATTGACATTTGTAGAACACTATATCCAACAACCACAGAATTCAATCTTGTCATGCGTGCACGGTCAATTCACCAAGATTATAATATTACATCATAAGGATTATATACTCTGACCACAACAAATTTAAGTTAGAAATCAATAGCAGTCTAGGAAAACCTCAATGTCTGGAAAGTCAATGATACACTTCTAGTTAAATCATGAGTCAAAAATGAAATCACAAGGGAATAAGATAATATTACAAAGCAAAATGTTGATGAAAATATATAAAAAATTTTTGAGTGCACCTAAAGTTAGCTTAGAGGGAAACTTGTAGATGAAATACAACAGAAAATAAGAAAGATCTAAAATTATCTAATCTAATGTTCTACTCTAAGAAGCTGGAATGGAAAGTAAAACTAAAATACATAGGAAGAAGAAACTAATAACCATAAGATCAGAATCAACAAAGTAGGAAACAGACAAAGCAGAAAAAAACCTACTAAGCCAAAAAGCTGGTTCTTTGAAAAGAAACAATTGAACACACATCACCAATATCATCAAGAAAAGAGAGGTGACCAAACACAAACCCTACAGGAATTAAAAAAAATAAGAGAATCTATTAACAAATTTATACCAACACAGTCAACAACCTACATGAAATGGAATAGTTCCTTAAAAAATACAACTTACCAAAATAGACTCGTTTTAATAGAAAATCAAAATAGAGTTATATCAATAAAGCAGCTGAATTAGTAATTAAAATTATTTACAGAAGGAAAAGTCCAAACACAAATGGCTTCCCTGTTTAATTTTCTCAAACATTGAGTAAGAAATAATACCAATCCTATAAATCTCTTTCAGAAAATAATGGAGGTGGAGGACAGTTCCCCACTTATTTTGTAGGTCTAGTATTACCCTGATATTAAGACAAACGTATTATGTGAAAAGAAAATTACAGATCACCATCTCCCACTCACATAGATCCAAACAAGATATCAAATCAAATGCTATGGTATATAAAATAGTACAGCATAACCAAAAAAAGTTTATTCCAGAAATCCAAGGTTGATTTAACATTCAATAATTAGTATAATTTTCCATATTAACAGATTGCAGGAGAAAAACCATATGATCATTTCAATAAATGCAGAAAAAGCATTAGAGAGCAAACCATGAATTCTCAAACTGATGAAAGGCATTTTTGAAAAACCTAGAGCCAACCTTATACTTCATGGCGAAAAACTTAATTATTTTTCCATGAGACTGGCAGCAAGGCAGTCACCTTTTCCGTTCAACAGTCAATGTACTGAAGGGCCTAGTTCTTGTAATATGACAATATAAAGAAATAAAGCACAGAAAAATGAAAATGAGAGAAGTAAAACTGTTCTTGTTTGTAGGCTATATGATTGTTTATGTAGAAAATCTCAAGTGGTCTACAAAAAATCCAGTACTACCAGCACTAATATATAAATTTAGCAAGGTCAGAAGATACAAGATCAGTATCCAAAAATCAATATATTCTCATATTCTAGCGCATAATTGGAAAATATTTAAGGAACAATTGCATTTATAATGATACCAAAACCCTAAGAAACCTAGGAATAAACCTTAAAAAAAAAGTATGCTCAAGATTCCTATACCAAAAATTACCGAGATATTTTGAAAAGAAATTTTTGTAAAAGATCTAAAGATCTAATGAAGAGATATAGTCTGTCCATAGATAAGAAGACTCAGTGTTGTTTAGTGTGCAGTTCTTCCCACATTGACTTACAGATTTAAGTGCAATTGTAATAAAAATTGAACTAGGTTTTTCTGCAGAGAATGACAAGCTAATTACACAATTTATGTAGACATTCAAAGGACTAAATTCAAATAACTAAAGCATTTTTTTCCCCAAAAGGACAACTTTTGGAGCACTTACCTGATTTCCTGACCTACTACAAAGTTATAGTAATCAAGACTGTGGTCCTGGCAAAAGATAGATATAGATTAAGGGAACAGAAGAGAGAGTCCAGAAATAGACTCTGTCGATGTGTTATGTGTTATTTAAATATACAACTGATTTTAAACCACAGTGGCAAAGCAATTTATTTAGGAAAGAAAACATTTTTTCAACAAATGGTGGTGAATCAACTGGATATCTGTATAAAACCAAAAGAATGCTAGAGTTGATTTGTAGTTTTACTCCATTATCTGTTTATTGTAGTATCTTTATAGTGATGATCTCTTTTTCGTTGTTGTTTTTGGTGACTCTCTTTCCCACTTTCTACTTAAAATTATCATTTTCTCTTCACTTCTTTGGGTTCAATTTGTCATTTTCTTAACTTACAAAGATGGATACTTAGCTTTTGATTTTCATGCTTCATATTTCCCATTGTGTATATTTAAGACTATAAATTTCCCTGTAGCTGCATCCCTCAAGTTTTCATGTGCATTTTGATTGCATTTACATTTTATTTATTCAAAATTATTTTAAATTTCTATTATGATTTATTACCTTAGTTTTCTTGACTAGTCAATTTTTGACTATTTGATTTGATTGAGAATTATTTAAAATTCTATTTCCCCTTTCCTGGCAGTTATATACTCACTCTTTTAGTATTTTTAGTGGTTTAATGTCATCTGGAGATGATAGCCTTCATTCTTAACTCATTAAGGGCCCATGTTAATTGGTACTTTTAAACTCTTCAACCCCTAATTTCTTTAAGCAAAATTCCTCTTTTACATTCAGTATCTATGAATTCTCATCCATGCGGTTTTGGGGTCTGGCTAAATCTGTTTTGGTTGTTTCTGCTCTCATTCATGCTGCTTGTCTTCTTGTGTCCCTGGAGATGCAAGACTATAATCTCATCACTTCATCGTATTCTGTGGGATTCCTGAGGGCCTGCAGGCGGGATGCTTTCCTCCAGAAACTGCTGTGTCTGCTTCTTCTGGATGCCAGGGAATAATTTTAGTGCATTTCAAGGATCTTGGCTCAATGTGAGAAACAGTGGAGCCTACAACCCTCACAGGTGTTCACACCTCCTCTGACTTCAGTGCTTGATCAGCCTCGAGGTTCCAGGCAGTTCCATCCTGTGCCACTCAAGTCTTGCCGCTCCTAGACAGCTGCAGGAAATGTTTTCGTGGGGAGAGAGATTCCTTGGAAAACCATACCTTGTCTTGCTAATCTAGAATGTGTTAAAAAGTATGTTTTATCTAGGGTCCATTTGTTTGGCTGAAGAAGGGACTCTTAGACCTCCTAGTTTATCATTTTGAAATAAGTGGTAGCAATGATTTATTGTATTGGCTTATTTCAGTGGGACAAGGATGTCAGGTCATTGCTGAATCAGCATTTCTGTGACAGACTAATGATGTTTCACATCCTGATTTATACCACACAATCATCTTTTCACTGTATAAGCTGATGAAGGAGACAAGTAATATGTATAATCTTCAACTGTACATAAACTTCACATACTGTAAAATACACATTATATACCTACAGTGTTAGGCTTGATAGATAGGGATGTGCTAGATAATTACTTTATTTTGTAAAAGAGTGTATTTGTATTTTCTTCATATTTTGATTTTTTTTAAATTAAGAGATCATTTATTTTGAGCTGAGTTATTAGGTGCAATATTCAAGTTTTTTGAAGATTTTACTTTATTTTGTCTTACATTACATAACGCAGAGCATGATATTTAGGATAATTATATGACACTAAATATGTAAATATAAATGTCTATAGGTACACATCAAGAGGTGCACACCATACTCTGTGTGCATGTGGGGGGCATATACACACACAACCATCTCTATTTGGTATTTGGCAGAACATTTTAATCTGGTTTAGGCCTCTGATTTTTCTTTCAACTGATGATATCAAACAAAATAAAAGGTATAGCTACATTCAATATTTTTTCAATTTTAAAGTGTTATTTAATAAAATTTGGATTATGATAAATTATTCGTTCTTTAACAGTGGGTGATTTTATCCCCCCTGGGAACATTGGTTCTTAACAGGGGGTGATTTTACTCCCCCAGAGGACAGTGGCTGTGTCTGGAGACATCTTTGGCTGTCACACTGGTGTTGGTGAGGTGCCACTGGCATCTAGTGGCACCAGGCCAGGGCTGCTACGCAACATTTTATAATGCACGGGCCAGCCCCACAGCCAAGAACGATCTGGCTCTAAGTTAGCAGGGCGAGGGTGAGAAACCCTGCTCTAAAGAGATTCTCCTTATGACTTAGTTGATATAAAAGCAAACTTGATGGAGAATCGTGATTGAAGACCCAACATTTGGGCTCCATAGCTTTTAAATGAAAGTCGGCTAACAACTGTACATGCAGATTGAGATTCTGAAGCTTAATTTAAACTTGGACAAGCTGGCCGGCACGTTGGCTCACGCCTGTAATCCCAGCACTTTGGGAGGCCAAGGCAGGCAGATCACCTGAGGTCACGAGTTCGAGACCAGCCTGGCCAACATGGCGAAGCCCCATCTCTACTAAAAATACAAAAATTAGCCAGGCATGGTTGTGGGCACCTGTAATCCCAGCTACTTGGGAGGCTGAGGCAGGAGAATCACTTGAACCCGGGAGGTGGAGGTTGCAGTGAACCGAGATCGTGCCACTGCACTCCAGCCTGAGCAATAGAGCAAGACTCTGTCTCAAAAAAAAAAAAAAAATTAAAAAATTAAAAGAAAAAAGCGCAGACAAGCTGCTGTTTCCAATATTTGCAGTCTTTCAGCGCGATGGAATCACAGTGAAAAGGCCACACCCACAGAGGTGCTGGGCAGCTGAGCCACCGGCACCTGTTGCTTTCCGGTGACCTCTCACAGTGGCTCGGTCGTGAGCCTCTGGGCATCCCTGTGTGGGACCTTGGCCACCTGGGCAGAAGGCTCCTGCGTCTCATCTTCTCTCTTCTACTCTTTCCTGCCTTTCCCTGAGTACAGTTTTCTGAATCTGCCTAGTACTGTGAAAATAGTTACATGTGCCAGTTAAATAGACTTTTCCTTTCTTTCTTTGAAGATTACAAAAACTGCATTAAAAATGTCTTTTAAAACTCTGTGATGTTTAACTTTAAAAAGAAATTGGAAATGCGACTTTCTTGAAAGATCTATATGGAGTGGTATTTCATTATGTACGATTGAACAGTATCTTTATACACAGGTCTTAAAGAGAGTCTTCCATTCGGATTTAAATTTAACATGGACCTTAACTCAAATCAATGAGGGATTTCTGCCACTGCTGTTGGACTTTTTCTCCATGAATCTTCGTTGTGCATATATGATAGTAAATTATTTATAGACTGTGTATTTGAGTCTGATCTTTTATAAGAAGCAGGAATCTGGGCCTACCTTATGTTCACGTCTTTTCATTTTCAAGACTTTTTTTTTAAATCTTGCATATATTTTCGGTTCTAAACTGATTCTCACCACACATCCTTTCTTCTAGGCATTGGCACATCTCCACTTAATAGAATATGTTGGAGAACAAACTGCTTTGCTAATAAAGGTAAAATAAATGCTATAATAGAAGGCACTCCAGCCACTGTTCTTTGATTTTGTGAAAAAAATTAAAAAAAAAAAGCACTCTGGTAAGAACAGGTCCCATTAATTATGTAAAAAGGCACAGCAGGGAACCTGTTCTATCCTGTGCAGCCCAGAGATGAAGGGAGACTTTTTCCGAAGAATATGTAATTACAGATGCCTGCTCTTTTGCTTTTAGCCTTTATTTAAAGCCTGTCTGAGAAGGAGTGGGATTGACACCAGCCTCAGTAAATGAGTGCTGCAGGCGCCCCAGCCCCAGGGGTCTGCCGGGCCATCAGGTCAATGTGACCAGTGTGCGCAGCCACCACATGGGGATGAGGGGCAGGGTCACTCTGCCTCCCCATCCAGGGGGCTGGCAGGTCTGGGCATGGCTGGGCTTTGCTGGTAGAAACCCAGCAGAGGCTCCTGGTGTGGGTGTGGCCCTGGCTTGCACACCTATGTCTGCCTTGGTCTCGTGATGGGTAAGAGGAAGGACTAACACCCTCGGGCCCCTCTGAGTCTCGCGGCTGGTGGGTCTGACCCTAAGTGCATGCGATGGAACACTGCAGCTGCTATTGTCCTCCTTCCAGATGGTCCCAGAGGAGCAGCGCCTCATAGCCGCCATTGTCCTGGTGGTGTGGGTCTCAGCCCTGGCGTCGTCCCTGATTGACAACATCCCGTTCACTGCTACCATGGTGAGTTGCACATGTCCATGTCGACGGCTCAACTTTAGCCTGGACATAGCCTGGGGCTCACCCTCCCTTCCTAAGGCAGCAGAGGATGAAGCCTGCCCCTCTGCTGCACTCACAGGTGTAGAGGACGAAAGTGAGCAGAGCCCAGGGCAGCTGGGTGGGGAGTGCCGAGAGCCCAGACTGCAGGCTGGGAGCCGAGGCTCTGCAGCTGCCGTGGACAGCACGTCCTGGGGTGACTGGTGATCTCGAGGTCAGCCCCACTGAGAGCTGCCACCCCTCCCAGAAAAGGCTGTGCTTGCTTGCTTGCTTTCTCTCTTTCTTTCTCTTTCTTTCTTTCTCTCTCTCTTTCTTTCTTTCTTTCTTTCTTTTTCTTTCTTTCTTTCTTTCCTTTCTGTCTTTCCTTCCCTCCCTCCCTCCCTCCCTTCCTTCCTTCTTTCCTTCCTTCCTTCCTTCCTTCTTTCCTTCCTTCCTTCTTTCCTTCCTTCCTTCCTTTCGAAAATTGTGAGACATCAAAAGATAGAGACTTGCATCTTCATTTGCGGCGGAGGCAAAAGCTATTCTAACCAGCCTGTGTGTCTCCTAGTGCTTGGCCTGGGCAAGATCTTTCATTCTCTGTGTGGTCTTGAGCCCCAGCCAGGATTGGAAGTACACATCGAAGACCTTTAGTTGGGCAGATGAGCCTGTTCCTGGCGTGACTTCTGCCGTCACTGATTGCTTGGCTCAGGGCAGGAACTGGGAATCCAGGTGTGGCAAAGTAAAGATAGGCCCAGGGGCTTGCACACAAGTCTCTGGGGTCCTCTCACAAATACTTGAGGTCCCAGGTGTGCAGGGCACAGGCCAGAAGCCTGGTGAGCACTCCCCATGGCAGGACACAGGACAGGGGAGAGCCCTCTGTTCTTCTGACTCTGAGGGTCTCCCCCTTCCCCGCAGGGAACATCCCATGCAAGGGGGTCCCAAGACATCCCACCGCCCTGTATAGTATTCTGAACAATGGCACCCCCGGGCTGGAGCAGCAGGCCTGGCTGTGTGGGGAGAAGGGCAGGCCAGGCTCATGCAGCGCCGACCTTAGGCGGATCTGGGAACCTGCATCCCTCGCTTGCAGCCTGGAATTTAGTTTCTGCCTAGGTTGGCCCTCTAGTTGCTTGGCTGTTGCTCTCCTTCCAGGGCCTGGGTGTGGTAATCCTGAACTAACTCGGTGGCTGTTATTTTTTTGGTGAAGTTCCAAATTGGAGAACTCTTGCGGCTGTTGTCAAATGTCCCGGCTGTGGCCCAGCTGGCTCCACCTCTCCCTGCGCCCCAGGCAGGCTGATGCCTTCTGGCAGGGCTGCCCTTACCCAATCCTCAGCTTCATCCTGTGCATTCATCCTGTTCTCCAGGGAAACACAGTCCACAGGAGACTCCGCGCTGTCCCAGCCAATGAGGCCACAGTTGCGGACCGAGCGCAGGACCCCGACACAGCCTCCATCAGTGCTTCCTTCTGACCCTGCGCTCACAGCTGAACCCCACCTCTGGGGGGCTCTGAGGTTTGCACCCAGATCCTTTCTGGGACTGAATTAGAAGAGCCCTAGCATTGATGATTTAAGTTGCTGCTTTTTCTGAGAATAGGACACTTTCACAGTTTTGTTCCATAAATTTTTATGACTACCTAAAATTTAACTTTAAAAAATGGAATCAGAGACAATAGTACAACAAATATCCATATGTTCACCACAGAAAGTGAGAAAGTGTCAACATTTTATCCTCTTTGCCTCAGAATTTGTTGTGTGTTTTATCAAGAAATACAACATTACAGATAAACAGGCAGGTCTCTGTTCTTCCCCTGGAGTCTCAGGACCATCTCTGCCCTCATGAATGTGGGTCCCATCCATCTCTGCAGTGGCCGCTGTGGGGGTGCTGAGGGTGGGATGCTGGCTCTTGTGTGTCCACAGGGGCAGAAGCCACATACAGCATGACCACAGCAGCCACAGGGTGCAGAGGTGGACACACAGCTCTTCAAAGCCCATGCATCTCCCCGGAGTGACTGTGCCACGCTAGCATGAGGTGTCTGCAGTGGCCACATCACGGGAGGGACATGGGGAGCCACTGGGGTTTGCTGCCTCAGGCTGGAAGCGGCATGCAGCGATGGTCACAATCCTTGGGTGGGAAGGGGACATGTGGCCCTTCCCTGGAGCAGGGATCTGCGAAGTGGGTGGGCGTCGAGGTCTCTCCACTTTCCCTCACTCCCTTCTCCCCTCTTTTCCTTTGAGTGTCTTTTCACCACATTTTTTAAAAAGCTGTATTGAAGTCATTGACAAAAATCTGCACCTATCGAATGTATAAGTTTTCATGAATTTGGACATATATGTGTATACCTGTGATAATATCACCACAATCAAGGTACTGAACGCATGCATCATCTCCATACATGTGCTTATGTGTATATATGTGTGCTTCATGGTAAGAACACTTAACACCCATCTGACCTCTTAGTACACTTTGAAGTGCATGATACCATATTAACGCTAGGCACTGTGTCATACCACGGCCCCTGGAATGTACCCATCTGGGATAACTGAAACTCTACCCATTGAGCAGCCTCTGCCCATCCCCCTCCCTCCACCCCCGACAGCCACCATTCTACTCTCTGCTTCCGTGAGCGTGACGATTTTAGATTCCACACACGATGGAATCAGGCGGTGTTGCTCCTTCTGTAACTCGCTTATCTCACATAGCATAATGCCGTCTGCGTTCATCCATGTTGTCACAAATGGCAGGATTTTCTGCTCTTTTAAGTCCGAATCACCTTTCATTGCATATATATTCATATACCACATTTTCTTTATCCACATGTCCATCAGTGGACACGCAAGTTTTTCCCATGTCTTGGCTATTCTGAGTAATGCTACAGTGAAAATGGGAGTACAGCTATTTCTTCTTCGAGAGCCTGATTTCCGCTGCAGGTGGTTAGAAGATATGGTCTATAGGGTTTAATGCTTAGAAACCCCCAAAACATCATCTGACTTACCATGTGACTGTTTTTCTCCAGCTGCACGCCTAAAAAGCTGCATGTCAGCTTCTGCACACTGCGGCTGCTTCGGTCACTCCGTGTTTGGCTTCTGCCCCTGCTGACACACAGGAGCCAGGATCCTGCCCCAGCTCCTCCCACAGTGGGCTGCTGCATAGGTGGTTACGACTTGAATTCATGAAGGCAGCTCCCTGAGGAGAGGGAAGGATGAAAACAATCCTGGGGCCTGAGGGAGGAAAGGAGCTTCACATTTATTTATAATATTTTGTTCCTTAAAAAATAAGCAAAAAGGAAATCCTGCAGCAAAGGAGATGAAATGTTCAAATTTTCTCAGTGTCTGTGAGCAGTTAACATACATATATATTGCTCATATAATGTGAGCATTAACATACATAAGCATGTCGTTGTGTTGTTATCCTCTAGATTCACTTATCTCTTTTAAATCAATCTGTTTTGATACAGCAGAGAACTTTGTTAATTGGTTTGTTTCTCCTTGCACTTCAGCACGTTTTTGCATTATTTACTTTGTGATCATATTAGGTGTTAAAAGTTCATTATCTAGTAACTTCACAGCGACTGGTTTCTTTTACCTTGTGTGAGGTCTCCATCTCTGCTCTGAGCCTCTGCCAGGTTTATCTTTTTCTAGTCCTTTATTTATTTATTTTAAATTCTTTTTCCAATTGCATTTTTAAGCAGCATGCAAGTAGATTTTTAAAATTCAAAGCAGATTATCTTTTAAGAGAATAGTTTAACATGTTTACATTTATTGTAATGACTTATCGACTTGAACTAAGTACCATCATTTCACTTTTTAATGCTTTTTCCTTGCTAATTCTTTTTTTTCACCATCATTTCCTGACTTCTTTAGATTGATACATCATACCTCCGCATCCATCAACTGGTTTTGAAGGTACTGATTTTATTCCTAGTCCTTTAGTGGAAATCATTCTGTTTGTAATGCACCTAGTGGTATCAACATTTCAAACAACAGTTGCAGTGAACAGAACCTATTTTAGTTAGTTTAAGATGAGAAGGAGTTTATCTAGGGATAGTACATAGTTCTTGGAATTTCTGAGAATTTCTCAACTGCACACTGGGAATGGGGGGCGGCTGCCCACAAGCCCCCAGCTTTTGCAGCTTGCCCTGAGTGCTCAGGATCCCTGCCCCGACGCTGGCTGCTGAGTCCAGGGACTTCTGTCAGCCTGCTCTTGAGTATGCCTTGTCACACCTCTCCTCCAAATTCTCCAGACTGGCCTCTGGAGCAGGTGTGTCTGATTGGAGGAACCCATGCCTGTTCTAGCTGCAATGCAGGTGGCAAAAGTGTGTTTCTGGCTTCTGCCTTGGAGGCCCAGAACTCACAAAACAGATCTCCGAGGAGGCTTCAAAGCCTTTCTCCATCCCTACCTCAGCGCTTTCTCCTCGATGCTTCTGTGCTTCCTGGTGCAGAGCCTCGCTTGCCCTCTGGGTCCCACAGTACTGTGCACCTACATCCACCAAGTCACTGGACAAGCGGATTGTCAAGAGTGTCTGCAGCTGTCTGGGAATTCCAGCCGTTTGTGTTTGTAGCCTCATTCACTAGCGTTATACCTGGCACCAAAAAGATATTTAGCAAGTGTTTGCAGATGAATAGGAAAGTGAACTAACTGCAGTAGATTAATTGTCCTGGAATAACTCTGTGTCTGCCTCCTCCCTGGCCTGCCATCCTCTGCTACTCTGTTACTGAGGGAGCTGGACACCCCATGCTTGCTGCATGTCTCAGAGTCGCAGACCCTAGCTGTGCACCTCCCTCCTGCCAGACCACCTGCCACTCGAGACACACCCTCATCTTCAGTGATGTGGTGCCACCTCTTCAGCACGACGCTGGGGCTCTTGTGCCTTTGACAGTGCTGTTCTTTGCCACTGGTGGCAGCTGTCCCTCTCAACTCCCTCCTTCCCTGTACTGGGAGCCAGCCACACCAACCTATAGCCCTCTACATTGCCTGGGTGGGAGCTGGTCCTTTCTCTGGATCTGCCTTCCCTCTGGCAGCCTCTGGGTACGATGGCCTGCCCTCTGGGTGGAGGTAGGGTGTCCTGCTCAGGCCCCCAGTCATGTAAGGCAACTCATTCATAGTAAATCCTCATGTCTACAGTTTTCTCCCACTGGTTCTGGCTTCTGACAGATGCAGTGATAGGAATGGCTCTTTGGGAGGTGATCTGGGTTTCCTGCCTACAGAGGGGCCCCTTTGACTGGGAGGACCTTTACACTGCACAGCTGTGGAGCCCTCTGAACCCAGGGAGTGACGAGGAGAGTATGTGGGTGGCAACGCGGGTCTAGTTCAGGCCTGAGATCTTTGCAGTCATGCGTCCCTCTGCACCTGCTGCTGATGTAGAGAGAAGGCAGTGCCGCCTCCTTGCCATTCTGTAACGTTTGTGCCCTGGCCTGGCTTATGTAGATCTACA